>NC_000007.14:155266128-155579193 GCF_000001405.40 Homo sapiens | reverse complement strand
CAAGCAATTCTCCTGTCTCAGCCTCCCAAGTACCTGGGATTACAGGCATGCACCACAACACCCAGTTAATTTTTGTGCTTTTAGTAGAGACAGGGTTTCCCCATGTTAGCCAGGCTGATCTCAAACTCCCAGCATCAAGTGATTCACCTGCCTGGGCCTCCCAAGGTGCTAAGATGACAGGCGTGAGCCACCGTGCATGGCCAGATGGAGGCTATTCTCATCCTTGTATATTAGTCATGGTTCTCCAGAGACAGAACCAACAGGATGGATGGATAGAGACAGAGATGTAGACATATGGGTACACAGATAGCTACACAGATAGACAGGGATTTCATTCCATGGATACATAGATATCTGTGTAGATAGACAGGGATTTCGCTCCGTGGTTACATAGATATCTACGTAGATACATAGATATCTACATAGATAGGGATTTCATTCCATGGGTATATAGATATCTATGTAGATAGATGGGGATTTTTTCCCATGGATACGTAGATATCTATGTAGATAGACAGGGATGTCATTCTGTGGATACGTAGATATCTAGTTAGATAGACAGGGGTTTAGATATCTATGTAGATAGACAGGGGTTTAGTTATGTGACTCCACAGATAGCTCTGTAGATAGATGGAGATATATGAGGGGGTTCTTAGGGTAATTGTGAGGCTGAGGAGTCCCCGGACCAGCCATCTGCATGCTGGAGACCCAGGGAAGCCCACGGCACAGCTCAGGCCATGTCTGAAGGCCTCAGACCCAGGGAAGCTGATGGTATGATTCTCAGTCCAAGGCCCAAGGCCTGAGAGCCCTGAGGGCTGCTGGTGGGGGTCCCAGAGCCCGAGAGCCAGAGAGCCTGGAGTGTGAGAGCCCAGGAGAGGGAGCGCGAGCAATATGCCTGCGCTCGGCCTTGTGTGCTGTGGGCCCGCAGCGGCTGGGTGGCACCGGCCCAGGCTGGGGGCTGAGCATCCTTCCTCAGTCGCTGATTCCAACGCCAGCCTCTCCCGGAAATGCCCTCCAGACACACCCACACCTGAAGACACACCACACCAGCTACCCGGGCCTGCCTTCCCCAGTCAAGTCATCACCTAAAGTTCACCTTCACATCCTGTTTTACAGATTGGGGAAACTGAGTCTCAGAGGGGCTAAGTCACGGACCCAGTTGGTCCCTAACAGGAGTAGGCAGGCCTGTGTGGCCAGGAGGTTGGAGCCAGGTGCTGCTCCTCCCTCCGTCCTCACTGCAGCCCGGGAGCAGGTAGAGCCAGGTGCTGCTCCCCACTCCGTCCTCACTGCAGCCCGGGAGCAGGTAGAGCCAGGTGCTGCTCCCCACTCCGTCCTCACTGCAGCCCGGGAGCAGGTCAGAACCAGGTGCTGCTCCCCGCTCCATCCTCACTGCAGCCCGGGAGCAGGTCAGAGGTGTCAGACCAGCCTCGTCGGGGACTGGGGCTCATGCTTGTCTTGCTGGCAGGTGGGCTTGAGGGGAGGGATGTCGAGGGGACAGGCCAGCGTTTTCCTCAGAGCTGGGTGCCCTGCCCGGCCCCACCAGGCCCCGGAGTCACTATCGGCAGACAGAAGGGACCATGGCTATTTAAACTCTACGCTCATCCCGGCCCAAACGATGCTGCGCTGATGCTCAGGTAAAGGGTTGGCTAAGAAGGGGGACAGGCCACCCACAGTGCCACATGGTGTGGCGTGGATGCACCTGTCATTCTGAGGACCCCGCCCCTCCTCAGCCCTGCACAGCCTCGTCATGCTGCCCCAAGCAGAGGAAGCAGCGGCCAGAGTCCCGAAGGAGCCGTCCAGGGGCTTCAGTGGATGCTGGGATGGGGTCTGTCTGGTGCTGGGATGGGGTCTGTCTGGGAAGTACAGAGGTTCCCCTGGCCTTCCTGTGGTGTTTCAGCCTGGACCTGCCCAGGGGGCTGAAGCTTGGAATGGCCACCAGGGTAGGTGCTCCACAGCGCTGGGCAGGACTGAGCCTGTCTCTGGGGGAGGACCACAGACAATCAGAGGACAGCGCAGGCCTAAAAGTCTGGGCCAGCAGATGGGGAAGAGTCAGTGACACCAATGCCACACCCAAGGTGACACCAGTGCCTCCAGGTAGCGTCAACCGTGTGACTCACTTGACACAGGCCATGGACTTGGAGTGCCCGCCCAGGGTGACCCCGGTGAATGGCGGAGTTTTGTAGAATGCAAGCCCAGCCCAGCAGTCCACGCCTTCTTGCTAAGCTGCTCTGTACACCGAATGAGTGGGCTGGAGTCGCTCAGCTCCTTCCGCATTTAGTCCTCTCTGATTTCCTTTGGCCACAGAATAAAACAATCTGCCAAAGTGTTTTTCTTCTATTTTTTTCTGTTTTGTGCAACAGAAAAGCCCAGAGGAGAAATGAGGATGCAAAGAGAAAGAAAAAAACCCCAACCAGAGAGCTGCAAGGATATCAGGAAGAGGGAGCGTCCGGGGACGGAGCAGAGCGCGCTTTTCCGAACGCCTTACTCCGGGCTGGGGCTGCTTTCTGCAAGCCCGTGCGGTGCACGTGAGGAGGCTTTCCTTGCGGTGGTGAAATCAAACACACCTAAGGCGTGAGTCCTCCAGACTTTCCTCACCTGGGCAGCTTGGCCCCGGCCACCTGTGCCTCGCCCGGAGAAACTCCAAGTAAGTGTTCCTGACTTCAAGGGTCGGAGGTCTGTTTGCTCAGGGCTGGTTGGTAAAATCGAACGGAGAATGAAAGCTAGAGCTTCTGAAGCACATGAAGCAGGAGGGAAGCTTTAGACTCCCCACTCGAAGGAGAGGGCTCCCCTGTCCGCGGGAAGAAAGTCTTTTTTCTTAAGCTCTGTCAGTAGCTCAAAATCAGGCCACGTTTTAGTCGGCTTCACGTTTGCACCACGGCTTTCATCTACAACTGTTTGTTTTTCCTAGAGTTAAAAATACCTTTCTTTTTATTTTATATTTGTTTGTAAATAGGAAATATACTCAAAAAAAGGTACAAAATGTCTATAGCAAAAATTCATTTCCCTTTTTTTGTTTCCGTTTTGAAACTGCCACCCAGTTAGCATCCCCACAGGTTTCACCCACTTACGCCTAGTGTTCCATTAGTGGAACACTAAGCTTGTGGGACTTACTTATAGCCTACTGCTCAAGGTCATTGCCAAGGTCTGATTTTTCACAAAAAAATATTTGCGACCTCTGGCATAAATGGGTTAAGGGTAGGGTCCCAACAAGACGGCCCTTGCTTCAGATGCCACCCCCAAGTGAGGTCCCCAGGCGACCTGCACCTCTGACCAACTTGCTACAAATCCAGGGGCTCCCCTGATGACCTCAGGTTTTATAATTTACTGGAACACTCCCAGAGCCTTCGAAAGTGTTGCACTTGAATCTCGCTTTGTTGCCCAGGCTGGAATGCAGTGGCACGATCTTGGCTCACTGCAACCTCTGCCTCCTGGGTTCAAGCGATTCTCCCACCTCAGCCTCTTGAGGAGCTGCGATTACAGGCCCCCGCCATCATGCCCAGCTAATTTTTGTATTTTTATGGAGACGGGGTTTCACTATGTTGGCCAGGCTGGTCTTGAACTCCTGACCTCAGGTGATCCACCCGCCTTGGCCTCTGAAAGTGCTGGGATTACAGGCATGAGCCACTGTGCCTGGCCACGATCCCATTTTCATAATAAAGAACACACATCAGGCCAGCCAAATGAAGAGACACATGGGGTGAGGGCTGGTTGGGTCCTGAATGCAGAGCTTCCATGTCCTGCCCTGTGGATCAGCACACATCACCTTCCAGGCACATCTGGACCCTCCACGGAGCCTCAGCATCAGAGCTTTTATTGGCATCTCGTTCCATAAATACGACTGGTTGAGTGATCAGCCAAGCTGGGGAAAACTCAGTCTCTGCCTCCTCCATTGCCTCCCAGAGGTCAGCAGGTTGGGCCGATAGCCCTGGGCCCAAAGTCCTAGCCCTCTAATCATATGATTGGGTTTGCTAGTGACCACCTCCCATCCTGCAGGTATCCAGGGACCATGCTGGCTCACCTCATTAGTATAAGCTACCAGGGCCCACTGTGAGTAATGTGAATAATGAAGACAGTTTAACCACTTGGGAAGTTCCCAGGACTTAGAGTGCTGGGACAAAGGCCAGATTTTGTATTATCCAAGGGCCCTCAGCCACTCAGTTTTTCTGCCCAGAGGAGACTGATCTTGGTATCCTTCCAGAAAGATTTTATTTTACTCAAAGAGTAGCATATTACATTACAGATGCTCCTTAACTTAGGATGACATCACATCCCAATAAGCCCGTCATAAGTTGGAAGTATTTTAAGTCAAAATGCATCTAATACACCCAACCAAGGGAACATCGCAGCTTAGCCTCGCCTATCTTAACCCTGCTCAGAACACTCACATCAGCCCACAGCTGGCAACATCGCTGGGCAGCGCAGCCCACTGCAGAGGGCAGGTTGCTCACCCTCGTGGTCTCAGGGCTGACTGGGGGCTGCGGCTGCCCCTGCCCAGGTTTGAGAGAGTTCGTGATGCATATACTAGCCTGGGAAAGATCAAATCTCAAAATTTGAAGTATGGTTTCTATAGACTGCATGTCGCTTTCACACCCTCATAAAGTCAAAAAATTACAAGTCAAACCATCACAAGTCAAGGACCTGCTATATACACACTGTTTGGATTCTTTTTTTTTTAAACTTAAAAATACGTTTTGGAGATTATCCTATAGCATTCCATAAAGAAATTTCCCGGCTGGGCGCGGTGGCTCACGCCTGTAATCCCAGCACTTTGGGAGGCTGAGGTGGGTGGATCACGAGGTCAGGAGATCGAGACCATCCTGGCTAACACGGTGAAACCCTGTCTCTACTAAAAATACAAAGAAAAATTAGCCGGGCAAGGTGGCAGGCGCCTGTAGTCCCAGCTACTTGGGAGGCTGAGGCAGGAGGATGGCGTGAACCCGGGAGGTGGAGCTTGCAGTGAGTTGAGATTGCGCCACTGCACTCCAGCCTGGGCGACAGAGCGAGACTCCGTCTCAAAAAAAAAAAAAAAAAAAAAAGGAAATTTCCCTTTCTTTTCCCTGATGCAGTAGTTCATTGCCCCACACTTTAACACGTTTCCTCCTGAAGGCAGATTGTTTTTTATCTCTGGCTGTTTCAAACAATGCTGCAATGAATAACTTCAGACATGAACCACTGTATACCTGTGCGAGTGTATGCGTAGGGTGAATTCCCGCAAGAGCGTGCGAGTGTATGCGTGGGGTGAATTCCCGCAGGAGCGTGCGAGTGTATGCGTGGGGTGAATTCCCGCAGGAGCGTGCGAGTGTATGCGTGGGGTGAATTCCCGCAGGAGCGTGCGAGTGTATGCGTGGGGTGAATTCCCGCAGGAGCGTGCGAGTGTATGCGTGGGGTGAATTCCCGCAGGAGCGTGTGAGTGTATGCGTGGGGTGAATTCCCGCAGGAGCGTGCGAGTGTATGCGTGGGGTGAATTCCCGCAGGAGCGTGCGAGTGTATGCGTGGGGTGAATTCCCGCAGGAGCGTGCGAGTGTATGCGTGGGGTGAATTCCCGCAGGAGCGTGCGAGTGTATGCGTGGGGTGAATTCCCGCAGGAGTGTGCGAGTGTATGTGTGGGGTGAATTCCTGCAGGAGGAATCACTGAGTCACCCAGGATGTGTGCTTAGAACTTAAATGATTATTTGACTATTACCGGGTTACCCTCGCTGGAGGCGGTACCCAATTACACTCCCACAAGTGATATGAGACTGATGTTTCATCAGACCACTACCAACTCCTTGTGTTATCAAATTCTTAATTTTGCTATTCTTTTTGCTCACATCCTTACTCAGTTTTCTTTATTTTTGAGATGGAGTTTTGCTCTTGTTGCCCAGGCTAGAGTGCAATGGCTCAATCTCGATTCATTGCAACCTCCTGGGTTCAAGCGATTCTCCCACCTCAGCCTCCTGAGTAGCTGGGATTACAGGCACCTGCCACCATACCCGGTTACTTGTTGTATTTTTAGTAGAGACAGGGTTTCACTATGTTAGCCAGCTGGTCTTGAACTCCTGACCCCGGGTGATCCGCCTGCCTCGGCCTCCCTCAAGTGTAGGGATTACAGGTGTGAGCCACCATGCCCGGCCAGTCTTCCCACTTTTAACAAACTTTTCAGAGGCCTCACCAACAACCTCTGCTTACATCTCACTGGCCAGAGCTTCATCTCCTAGCCATACTCAGGAGCAAGGTGACCAGGAACTGAGCACATTGCTGCCCCGGCTAAAAATAAAACGATGCCACTAACCATGTGAGCGAGCATACTTCCGCAAATGACTACATCTTCCTCAGGCTCGGTTTCCTATCTACAGGTTGGGGATATTGAGTGAATTAAAGATGAATCCCTGCATAAAGCACAGATCCTGGCACCCAGCAAGCTGTCCATAAAGATCTCACAAGGCTGTTGTTTATGGAGCCCATTCTTTGGGCCCTGGTAAATGACATAGCTTGGGGAGGGGAGCAAGTGACATGAAGAAGTGGCGGGGGCTGGGGAGATATGCAGAGAATGGAGCAAATAAACCTTTCCACAGGAGCCCGGTTTCTTGCTGTCAGAGAAGGGCCTACTAATGTTGGAAAGGGAGAAAATGAGAAAGAACTGGAGGTGGCAAGACTGGGACTGGGGTCTCAGTGTCAACTGACAGGTTCATTAAAATGTACACATGGACCCAGAAACAGCGAGACATGCACATGTGTGTTGGGGTGAGCGTGTCTGTCTATATGGATATATACAGATATTTCCTCTTTCTGTCCCCTGAGAGCCTGGGAGCCATGACACCCCCACAGCAATGAACACAGTGAGGACCCCGAGCTTGGTTTCCAGATGCTGTTCTGCACTAAAAGGTGCCAGGGTCCCCAGAAGGATGCAGAGTCCATGATGGGACAGTGGTTACCAGGAGATCCTGGGGCATCTTCCCTCCCTTGCCTTCCTCCCTCCTTCCTTCCTCCTTCCCTCCTTCCTCTCTTCCTCCCTCCTTTCTTCCTTCCTCCCTCCTTTCTTCCTTCCTCCCTCCCTCCATCTTTCCTCCTTCCCTCCTTCTTTCCTCCCTCCCTTCCTCCCTTCTTCCTTCCTCCCTCCTTCCTTCCTCTCTTTCTCCCTTCTATCTTTCCTCCTTCCTCTCTCCCCATGCCCCTCTCCTTCCTCACCTCCATTTTCTTCTAAATGTCACTCCCTGTTGTCATCTTCGATGGGGCCAGCATTATTTTAGGGACCGAGTGCTCAGAAGCAAACAGAGCACCAGGGAAAATGCAGATGAGTTGAATGTGGAGACAATTACTCAGAACAGCATCTCCTCCCTGCACTAAACACTTAGCCTTCCCTCTCCACCAGCCTGTGCCCTGCAGGGCCTACTGAGTCCACAGCGGGGTGCTCTAGGGAGGTCACCTGTGCAGGCTTCGTGTTAACCCCGCGGAGCCTTCCTGCAGGGGAGGTGGCCGGGGGGCGCCTGGTGCTCAGCTGCTTTTTATGCCCGGCTCCTCTGAGAAGGGGCCGCTGCTTTCAGGGCAGGGTCCTGTCAGAGTGCACACTCATAAGCTCCTCCCACTTAGAGGCTTATGGGGTGTGCGGGGATAAAGTGGGGAAAGGGGAGGCCATGGGAGGGTACAGAGGAGAAGGAGAGTGGGATAGGGCTGGGAAGGTCCCCAGGAAGACAAAGGAAGAGCTTCTCAGAACCCCGGATGATGTCCCCCTGGCCAGAAGGGCCCAGGGACCTCACACCTTTACTTGCAGGGGGAGGGTTTGCCCTCCAGGCTTTGAGTGCCAGGGCCTGAGCTCTGTGGCTCATACCTGTGGTCCACAAGGGACGGTAAAATGACCCTGGCAGATGAGGGCTGCAGGGGGTGGGGACAGGACGGGGTGGGGTTGAAGACAGGGACATGGGTGTGGAGACCTCAACTGGTAATGGAGATCATGGGACTGGGCTGGGGACCAAAGCATGGGGACCTGGCCGTGGAGTGGGGACCAGGGATGGGGTGGAATCGGGAAGGGGTGGAGGAGGAGGGCCGGGATGGGGGACTAGGGGTGAGGGTAGGCACAGGGCGCTGACCAGGTGGGCTGAGGCTGCTGGGCACCTGGAAGTGGGCCCAGGTGCAGCACCAGCCTCTACAGGGCTGGGTGGGGGTGGGGAGGGAGGTGGGGGTGGTGGGATGGGGATGAGGGTGTGGGAACCTGAGACAAGTGTGAGAACCTTAGACAGATGTGGCGACATGGGGTAGGGGTGACTGGGTACCGAGGGAAGGGAAGACAGGGCAGGTTTAGGGGCGGGGGTGGGGGCGGGGGCGGGGGCGGGGACCAGGCAGGGACCAGCTGTGTGGTGCAGGTGGCTCACTGGGAAGGGGCCCAGGTGCAGCACCACAGGGCAGGGCGGGTATCTAGGGCGGTGCGGCCCGAGGACCTTTGTATGCCATTTGTCTGCTGCACGCCCAGCACTCGCGGAGGGGCCTGTGAGGGGCCTGGAAGGAGGCCGGTGTGCGGCGGCACAGCTGGCATGGGGCCCATGCTGCTGCCTCTGGCTCTGCTGGCCCTGCTGCTGGGGCCTGCGCTGGCCCGGAGTGCCCGGGACCCGGAGGTGTTCTGTGGAGGTGAGTGTGTATGAAGGTGGGTGCCAAAGGGGTCCAGGGGCTTCCAGAGAGCCCAGCAAACCCTTCCCCAAGGGGGCCAGGCCACTGGGCCACCGTCTTTCCCTGTTACCCGGCTCCTGGCTACTCAAAGAGAAGCCCTTTGGGGGTCCTTCTCAGCACCTCCAGTCCAGGCCTGGCGTCCAGCCTTGAGGGCAGCTGCTTTGGGGTCCCCTGGATTCCAGCCTTGTCCCCGCTGTGCCCTGGCTCCATGAACTTGGGCATTTCACCTCTCTGAGCTCACTTGGGGTGGGCTGGGGTCATGGCTCAGGCTGGCGGCCGGGGAAGGCAGCACCTGTTCCTGAGCCTCGGACGACATCTCTCACGTGCTGCTGATTACAAGACACCAGTTAGTTACAATTGATTTAAAAAACACTCTCAGATCTCCTGGCTGAAGCTCGCCCTCTCGATGCAGGAATTTGTGGGTGGCTTTTAGCTGATCAGAGAACAAAGGGAGAGCAGGCGGCCTCCGTCATGTTGGTTACGGTGGGCAGTGTAAGAGCCTTGAGCGAATCGGTGGTCCCAGCGAGGAGGACAGGGCCCGCTGTGGCAGGGACTGGGCACCTGGGAAGAAGAGTCTCTGAGGCTGGGACAGAGCCCCCAGTGCCTCCGCTGGCCCTGGCCTCGGCTGGGTCTGGGTGCGGCCTCTGCCCTTCACCTCTGCACGTTCTGTGCTGCTTCTGGATGGCTGCTGGCTCCTTGGGTTGCAGGCAGGACTGAACAAGGACTGCCTGGGCAGTTCGAGGCTGGCTCTCTTACTGGTGCTGGTTTCTCCAGCCTGGTTTTGGGACCAAGAGGGGGACAGGACAGGGGCGGTGGCTTCAGGTGTCCTGTGTGGGCACCAGGGGCTGGGGACAGGGTGTGGAGGGGAAGGCAGGGCTGGGAACCCACAGAGACTGCATGAACCAAGGGCACATCCCATGGGAGCTGCTAGAGGGGGAATGGGCTGGGGCTGAGGTGTGAGAGTGGAGGGGCTGGTGTCAGAGGAGGTGTGAGTCAGGGGTCTCCACACAGGGCCCGTCGTGTCACTGGTGGGTGTCAGTTGGGCCTTTTCCAAGAACCTTCTCAGAGTCAGTCCCCATGTCCACTTCACACATCATCAGCAGGCACCCCCTGGGGTTTGGGTGATTGGAGATGAAGCAAAAGATATCTATCACCCAAAATACATTCTTTGTCCAGACCTAGGGCCTGCTTTTCACCCTAAAGCATTGTTTCCAGGAAGCTGCTGCTCAAATGCAAATGCATAACCCAGGCTGCGGGCCCTAGCAGTGCCTCTGGAAGAGACCAAGATGAGCTTGTCAGTGCTCTGGGACAGACCAAGGCGAGTGCGCTGGGTGCTCTGGGGGGAATAAGCTTTGGGGAGGATGCTTTGGAAAGGCCTAAAAGGTTTTCAAAATCATCTTGGCAACGGATCCCTCCCCATACATGAGAGTGGTGTGAAGAGCAGGTGCAGGCAGGACCGCTTGCTGGCCTCAGGTTTCCAGAGAGGGCTGTGCGCGTCGCAGGGTGCAGGCCAGGCGGAGGCCAGGAGCCCCTGAGGGCTGAGGAGGAAATATTAGAACTCCTGGGCATGTTTCTCTCAAAACTGGACATAGTCCCTAATAGTGTTTTGCAGCATGTGCATATAATTGCAAATATACATGTATTCGAGCATTCAGACATTTTGACTTGCTGATGAGTTTTGAACACACCAGGTGCAGGGCTGGGGCATGCCAGGTGGGTGCAAAGGCGGAGCTTAGAGAAGTGGGGTGGGGAGTCAGGAAGTCGGCAAGCCCCAGGGCCAGGGCATGGGAGGTTGACAGAGAAATGAAGACCCCCGGGAAAGAGGGGGCAGTGGCACAGGCCCCTCTTGGATCTCACTGTTTCACCTGGTCCAGCTCCAACTCCATGATGATGAGATCTACTGTCTTAGGGGTTTCTTTTTCTATTCTTTCTATCTCATTCTGCATTGCTCTTTTAAAATCTCTTTCAGTATTTTCCTCCATTTGAAGCCAACCCATTTAGGGAAACCTGGGAAGAGACATCTCGTCTCCTTCAATTTGGTTGAATTCTGTCTCTCTGGCATGAACAGCCCTGAGTACTCACAGTGAATGCAGAGGCAGCAGCGCCGCTGCTCCATGTCCTGAAGCGATTCTCCTAATCCTGCCTCACAAAACAGAATACAGAAAACCTAACCTACTCAGGGGGAAGTGAGCATCCTGCCTGCCCTCCTTCCAGGCGTCATATTAGCAATAAAATGCATGAAACCAGCATTCTTTGCCACCTTCTCGCTAATCATTGCTATTTTCTCGGAGAGAGAGGCTCTTGGCAAAGGTCACAGCCCTGGACCCGGTTTTCCTTCCTGGAATATTTGGGTGGTGACATCGCAGCTGAGCCCCTTCCATGGAATTCTGTGGTGTTGGGCTGTTCTTCGTAAGTCCTATGGGAAGAGGCTAACGTGGTTGAAAACTGAAATCATGCCTAACGTTGGCAGCTGCCATCTCTGAGCAGTGGTGACGGGTTTTGTGTGGATTGCCTCCCTCCGAGGTAAAGGGGTCACCAGCCTGTTGGTGCCCTGCTGACACCTCCTAGCACCCACTTGCTGCCTGATTTGGGCACTGAGAGCTTCCTGTGGCCTCCTCTGCTGAGTGCAAAGAAGGCTGGAAGTGCCAGGGAGTTAGCGCCCCCAGGAACAGCCCTCAACAACCATGGGCCAAAGTCCAAGTCGGTCGCTAAAGCCCTGGCTCTTTCCCTGCCACGCGTGGTATGACTCTGAACATGGCTCTGCGGCCACCTGTTTTTGTGAAGGGTCAGCTGGTAAGTATTTCCATCTCCGCAGGCCATGCCATCTCTGTTGTAATTACTGAACTTTGTCTTTGGAACACAAAAGCAGCCATAGAAAATCCGTAAACAACTCGGCATGTCTGGGTTCACCCTCCGCCATGGTTGAAAGTTTCCTGAGGCCTACCCAGCCATGCTTCCTGTACAGCCTGCAGAACTGTGAGCCAATGATCAGGTAGTTCTTTATAGCAATGTGAGAATGGACCAATACAAGGTCCAATGGGCCATCTGACCTAGCTGGGGCTGGCAGAGCCAACACTTCTTTTAAATTTTTAAATTGTTAATTGACTCCTAATCATTGTGCCTATCTATGGGTGCGCTGTGACTTTTCAGTGTATCTCTTTGACATAGGGACTTCATTCCCTTGGGGTCTGTACTCGGCAGTGGGGTTGCTAGATCATAGGGAAGTTCTATTCTTAATTTTTTGAGGAACTTCCCCGCTGTTTTCTGTAATGGCTGTGCCAATTAGCATTCCCACCAATGGTGTACAGGGTTTGCTTTCCTCCTCATCCTCGCCAACACTTGCCATCTTTTTTTTTGTTTGGTTTGAGCCATTCTCACAGGTGTTCAGTGCTGTCTTACTCTGGCTTTGATTTGTACTTCCCTGGTGATTGGTGATGTTGAGCATTTTTTCATATACCTGTCGGCCATTTTTAAATAGGATCATTTGATTTTTGCTGTTGAGTTTAGTTCCTTATTGATTTTGGTTATTAGTCCCTTATCAGATGTATGGCTTTCAAATACTTTCTTCCATTCCACAGGCTTTCCCTTCGCTGTGTTGATTGCTTCCTTTGCTGTGCAGAAGATTTTTAGTTTGGTGGAATCCCATTTGTCTATGTTTGCTTTTATTACCTGTGCTTTTGAGGTCTTACCTCCCGAATTCTTGCCCAGACCAATGTCATAAAGTGTTTCTCCTATGTTTTCTCCTTGTAATTTTATAGTTTCCCATCTCACATTTAAGTCTTTAATCCGTTTTGAGTTGACCTTTGTATGTGGTGAGAGATGGGGGCCCAGCCTCATGGCCCTCGCCCCTCCTGGCCTCTGTGAGCGCCCCTGCGTCGGGGCTGCCGTGCACCTCTGGCTTTCATGGCCAATCCTCGGGTCCTCCTTTCCAGCCTCCCCTGCTGGCTGCTCTACCTCTGCCCGCCCCTGCGTGTTGGGCACCACCAACCCCTGCCCATCCTCCACCAGGGCACCCCTGAGGGTGACCAGGGTCTCAGTTCAAGGCCCCTGCTTAGACCACCCCCTCGTGGTACCCGGCCCTGGAAGGAGAAGGCCCTTTGGACCTTGTTCCTTTGTTTTCCCGACCCCAGCCATTGTGCTTTTACTGCCGTCCCACAGTCTGGAGGGTCAAGGTGGGCTCCGACTGGGGAGCGTCCCCCATGCTGCGGGACTCTTTGTCAACCCTGGGGCCGGCACCGCCAGGGGCCCTCGCTGACCTCCAGTGATCTGCTGGTGGCCTCTGAAACGGGCGGGACCTGAGGCCATTGTCGGTTTCCCATTTGGCAGGGTGTGGCAGGAATGGGCTAGGAAGGGGCACGGAGGCCTTCGGGAACAAGCGGCCTCCTTCATGGCCTCGCCTCGGCTGCTCATCAACAGGCCTCTGCCCAGTGGGCCATGCGTGTCTCTAGGCCACTAGTCCCCTTAAAGGATCCACGTGGGACTGCTGAGGTGGTGCCGTCTCCCTGCTGTCTCTCAGTGTCATCTCTGTGCCTGGCCCAGCGCTGGCACACCTCAGGGGCCCACACCCTATTGATGGAATAAGCATAATGATGCTGGGAAGAGAACGTGGGTGCTACTCCTGGCCTCAAGCTCAGGAGATGCAGGCTTCGGCTCCCCAGGTCTGTGGGAGGGAATGTCCACCCTTAGGAGGAAAGCACTGCCGGGGAGGCTGCAGGGAGCAGGTGTGGACAGGGGGCTGCTGGAGCCTGCCCCAAGAGGGCCCCTGCCCAGTGGTGGGGTCTCCGCTGAGCGGCACGCCTTCGCTGTCGGCTCTTTCTGGCTGCCGTTCCTCCTGCAGGTGTCAGATCATTTTCTTTCTCCTTTTAAACTACAAAGTCTGGGCTGGGTGTGGTAGCTCACGCCTGTAATCCCAGCACTTTGGGAGGCCAAGGCAGGCAGATCATCTGAAGTCAGGGGTTTGAGACCAGCCTGGCCAACATGGCAAAACCTCATTTCTACTAAAACTACAAAAATTAGTCAGGTGTAGTGGCGGGCACCTGTAATCCCAGCTACTCAGGAGGCTGAGGCAGGAGAATTGCTTGAACCCAGGAGGCGGAGGTGGCAGTGAGCTGAGATTGTGCCATTGCACTCCAGCCTGGGCGACAGAGCAAGACTCCATCTCAATAATAATAATAATAACAAAATGTGTACATGCTTGCCGTGGAAAACGTAGGTGCCACTCCTCTCCACCCCTACTTGCCCACTCCTGGGCTTGAACCAAAGCTGCAGCCAGTTACACTTGCCCACCCCAGGGTGGGTATCCCACGACAGTGTCTCTGGTGCAACTGTGTGAATACTACATGGATCCGTGAGGCTCGGGTCTCATTTCTAATTGCAGTGACATGCACATAACCTACAATTCGCCATCTTAACCATCTAAACGTACAGTTAGTTCTGTGGCATTATGCACAATCACATTGCTGAGCATCCATCACTCAACCCCATCATCTCCAGAACTTTCCATCTTCCCAAACTGGAGCTCTGTCCCCATGAAGCACAAACTCCCTGCTCTGTCACCCCCCAGCCCCTGGCACCCACGGTTCTACTTTCTGTCTCTGTGGGTTTGACCACTCGAGGGGTCTCAGGTAAGCAGAATCTACCGTATTTGTCCTGTGGCGACTGGCTTATTTCACTCAGCAAAATATCCTTGAGGTCCATCAGGTTGTGGCATACGTCGGGATTCCCTTCCTTTTTAAGGCTGAGTAATATTCCATCACATGTACAGACCGCATTGTGTTTGTCCATTCATTTGTTGATGGGCGTTTGGTTTGCAACCATGTTTTAGTTGCTGTGAATGCTGCTGCTACGAACACAGGAGTGCAAGTATCTCCTTGAGATCCTGCTTTCAATTCTCTGTCCATATGCAGAGGGGAAGTTGCTGGGCGCTATGGGAGTTTTTATTTTAACTTGCTGGGACACCGCCGCACTGTTTTTCACTGCAGCTGCCTGGTTTTACACTCCCAGCAGCCGCGTCCAGGGGTCCAGGTTCTCCACTTCCTCGCCAACACGTGGTGTTTTCAGGTTTTTTGATAGTAGCTATCCTCTTACTAGTAAGGTCTGAGGTGCTGGGTTTTTGTTTTTTAAACACAAATTACATGCTATACACGGAATTATTTAACAGTATTTTTTACTAACAGGGTTTTGGAGCTCTTTTCTTGACAATTTTTGTGGACCTCCCATCGTTTCTGCCAGTTCACTATCTAACACTTAGTATGTGATGGTTTGTGCACATTCTTCAATCAACTCTGCATATTTTCAATTTTTGCCAGTCTGATAAAAGAAAGTCATCACTTAATTTTATTAGCATTTCTTTTTTTCTTTTCTTTCTTTTTTCCTTTTTCTTTTTCTTTTCTTTTCTTTTCTTTTTTTTTTTTTTTTTTGAGACAGAGTTTTGCTCTTGTTGCCCAGGCTGGAGTGTAGTGGTGCAATCTCGGCTCACTGCAACCTCTGCCTCCTGGGTTCAAGGCAGAATTTTCCTGCCTCAGCCTCCCGAGTAGCTGGGATTACAGGCACCCACAATCACGCCCGGCTAATTTTTATATTTTTAGTAGAGACAGGGTTTCACCATGTTGGCCAGGCTGGCCTCGAACTCCTGACCTCCAGTGATCTGCCCACCTTAGCCTCCCAAAATGCTAGGATTACAGGAGTGAGCCACCGCACCTGGCCCTAGCATTTCTTAAATTATGTGTAAGATTGATATATTTTCACCTGACCATTCTTCTTAGAATAAAAAATAAATAGTATTTAATGAGCATAGTATAAATAGTATAAAATGAGCAAAGAGAAGAGGCAGGCTTAGAATTATTTCTTATTCTAAGCCTGTCTTTGCTCACTTAAAAAAAATTAGGCTGTTATTTTTTCCTTAATAATTTATAAGAGCCTTTTAAGCAAAATTAAAATAGTTCTTCTCATAGGTATTGCACGCTTTTGGATTTTTATTTATATTTTTAATTTGTTCATGGTGCTTTTTCTCTACAAATTTTTAATGTAATATAATTTATTAATATTTTTCCTCATGACTTCTTGGTTTCATCTCATGTTTATAAAAACAAGGCACACATTTTTGTTACTTTGTTTGTTTTCTTTTTGAGTCAGAGTTTTGCTCTTGTTACCCGGGCTGGAGTGCAATGGCATGATCTCTGTTCACTGCAAACTCTGCCTCCTGTGTTCAAGCGATTCTTCTGCTTCAGCCTCCTGAATAGCTGGAATTACAGGCATGCACCACCACACCCAGCTATTTTTTGTATTTTTAGTAGAGATGGGGCTTCTCCATATTGGTCAGGCTGGTCTCGAACTCCTGACCTCAGGTGATCCGCCCGCCTCGGCCTCCCGAAGTGCCGGGATTACAGGCATGAGCTGCCGCGCCTGGCCTGTTTCTTTATTTTTGAGAGGTGGGGGTCTTGCTCTGTTGCCCAGGCTGGAGTGTAGTGGAACTCCTGGACTCAAGCCATTTCCCACCTCAACTTCCCAAGTAGCTGGGACCACAGGCATGCACGATCCCACCTGGTAAAACTAAGCATACTTGAAGATTACCTCAAAAAATCATATTGAATCCACCTGGAAGTAATTTTGGTGTAAAGGGTTGTGGTAGAAATTGAGGCTAATGAGTTGACCTTTGGAGTACAATATACACTCATTAAGTCTTTGCTTAGCACCTTACGGTTATTATTTTAAATAATGTCTTGTAATCAATTCCCATACGCGTTAGAGTCTGGACTCCATGGAAGTTTCTAGACTCTTTGCTGTTTTTAACTATTTCTGCACCACTATTATAGATATTTCTTATTATACCTTTATATTTTAATATTACATATTACTCTTATATTTTCTATTAACTTTCAGGTTATTTTATAAAGGTCAAAAAGGTTATTATTTGATCTTTATCTCATTAGATGTATGTCAATGGATGTTTATATCTTTACCATGCTTAGCCTTCCTATCTAAGAACAGTCTCCTTTGCTTGAATCTTTTTGCCATTTCCCAGTAGAGTTCAAGGTTTTCTTCAAATGCATCCTGTAAATTTCCCCCCTTTAAATAGACTTTATTTTTTAGAGTGGTTTTAGGTACACAGCAGAATTGAGTGGAAAGTGTAGAGATTTTCCATGGGCCCCTTGTTCCCCACACCCTCCCCCGCTATCAGCGTTCCCCACCAGAGTGGCACAGTGGTCAGGATCGCTGACCCCACGTGGACGTCACCTCCTCCCCTGAAGTCCAGCTCCACCCGGGTGCCCGGCTCCTGGCGCTGTGCACTCCGTGGGTTATCTAACTAAGTGCTCTCCTCACTGTAGAGGTGCACAGAGTCATTTCAGTGCCCTAAAGCACCATTGTTTCATTTATTTCTGGCTACCCTGTCTTGTTGATGTTAATAGAATGTTTTCTTCTTTCATTTTCTTTTCTTTTCCTTTTTTTTTTTTTTTTTTTTGCATGATCTTGGCTCACTGCAACCTCCGCCTCCCAGGTTCAAGCAATTCTGCCTCAGCCTCCTGAGTAGCTGGGATTACAGGCACCTGCCACCACGCCTGGCTAATTTTTGTATTTTTTTTTTAGTAGAGATGGGTTTTCGCCATGTTGGCCATGCTGGTCTTGACTCCTGACCTTAGGTGATCTGCCTGCCTCGGCTTCCCAAAGTGCTAGGATTACAGGCCTGAGCCACCACACCCGGCCTCGTCTTTCGTTTTCTAACTGGCTGTCCTGGCTGTTGTTTGTACACTTCGTCATCACTTGGCTGACTTCTCGAAGTGCTCTGCTGTCTTTTCCGTGGATTTGTCTACATTCTCCAGGACCATCTGCAGAAACCCACCAATAGGCTCACACCTTGCCAGTGGCTTTCCCTCTCTAGTGTGTTCTACTTCCCCAGATGGATGTTTTCCCATGCTGACAGGGACCCCAGGCTTTCACCCCCTCATCTGCCGATTTCTGCAAGGCCCACAGCTGCTGGGCCCCCCAGGCTCACCCACAGATGCCACCCTGCTGAGCTCTGCCCCTTGTCCTCTGTGCTTCTGTCTAAGGTCTAGTGGTGAACTCGAGTCCATCCCAGATGCTGCCCACATGGCATGTGTGTGCATGTGCATGAGCATGTATGTGTGCATGTGCTTGTGTGTATGCGTGTGTGCCTGTGTGTACACACATATATATGCATATATTGGAGAGTTATGGTTATAATGCTCCTGGGTACACACATCGGTGTGCTGAACAGCGGTTCTCATCGTCCCATCCCCATTCCCCTTTCTCTTAGTAAGATCCCTTCTTAGAAAGCCGAAAACATGAGGCCATGAGGCTTCCAGACCCAGTGTATGCATTCTCGAAACCCACACTTCCTGGGTGACGTGTTTAGCCGCTGCCTGTGGAGGCCTGTCCTGAACGGCCGGGCCCCACGTTCCCTTTCCTGGCTTCCCATCGAGGTTACTCCCAGCGCTCACCCTGGGCTTCTTTTATAGGATTTACTTCTGCCCCTACTCTCCCCGTCCCTCTCTTTGGTCTGTGGGACTCATTTGGAGCGACGATGAAGGAGTGTGTGGCAGGAATCCTAGTGGTGCACGCGCTGCACACACTGTAAGAACCTGCTCTGTTCCCACTGAAACAGCCACCCCCGCAGGTGCGGCTCTCAGTGAGCCGCTGCCATGGTCACCCTGCTCTTCTCCAGGGCGCCTGCAACCTTGACACAATCCTATCCGTCCTCTCTTTTCAAGGTGCTTCAGACGGAGCAGATTTTTATCTCTCCCGGCCCCCCTCCCTCACTCCAGTCGCTGTGGAGGGCACTGTGTGACTCTCATTGTGAACCGACCTTCCTGCGCGCGTCAGCTGTCAGTGTGATGGACCACCCGGGCTATCGATTTAATGACAACGGTCCCTGCTAGGGATTGATCTAATGTTTTCATTACACTAAAAATGCTTTAACAAGTTCATTGGGAATTAGGCGATGGTAAAGATCCTCTCGGTTCTGATGGTGTTCTTTACAGGAGAGAGCCCTTCTCTGGTAGATCCCCACGTCTCTGGGACGCACAGCCTGACACTGTGGAGCTGCCTCCCGAAAGAAGCTCCATTTCCAGCCCCTTGCCTTGTCTGCCAGGGCTTTGGGCTCAGAAGCCCTGGGTGGCTGCTGTGACAAAGGGCTCCCCTGCTTCCGGGGCCCTGCCTCCTCTTCCCCACTCCTCCAGCACATGGCCCGCAGCCACGCTGCGCAGTCTCAGCCTCCTCATCTGTCCTTCTATTTGTTTGTCCATTGGGAGCTCAGCCATTTTCTACCCAGTTTCCCTCCATTTTATAGAACTTTAACAAGTTCACTGGGAATTAGGCAACAGTAAAGATCCTCTTGGTTCTGATGGTGTTCCCTACAGGAGGGTGACCACCTGAGTCCCGGCTGCTTCCTGGCTGTGGGTCCCTGGACAAATGACTGACACTGTCTGTGCCTCAAGGCCCCATGTGTAAAGTACAGGTGATGCCGCTTATTCATGGGGAGCTGTGGATAATACCCATGAAGCAGTGTGACTGGCACAGGGGAAGCACCCAGGCACTGTGTGGGAGGCCCTGCACCTGCCGGCTGTGGGGCTGTGGGTTGCCCGCTGCTGCTCTGACGGACCCAGGCTGCTCTGACCAAGCCAGGTCACCCACATGTCAGCCTTGGCACCCCCTTTCCCCAGGCCCGGGTTCCCCACATGCCTGGCCCCGCGCAGGGGGCTGACTGCTATGGTCCGAATGTTCATGTCCCCTCGTATTCAGATGTTGAAGCCCTAGGGGATGGTATTGGGAGGTGGGGCCTTTGGGAGGTGACTAGACCAGGAGGGTGGAGCCTCATGAACGGGGCCCTTAGAAAAGAGCCTCCAGAGAGGCCCCTCGCCCCTCCCATCACGGGAGGACACAGTGAGACTTCTGTGAGCCAGGAAATGGGCCCTCCCCAGATACTGAATCTGCCAGCACCTGAGTCTTGGGCTTCCAGCCTCCGGAATGGTGAGAAACACATTTCTGTTATTTCTGAGCCACCCAGTCTATGGTATTTTGTTATAGTGGCCAGAATGGACTCAGACACTGCCGTGTTCTGAGCCGCTGGTCAGCTCTTAGTTACTTAGTCCCCTGTGACCAGACTGGCTGTATAATTTTTTGGGCCCAGTGCAAAATGAAAATGGTGTGAAACATCAGTAAGAATTTCACGATGGCAGCCGCAGAGTGCTGCCCTGGGCACAGGGCCCTTCTGAGAGTGGGCTCTGGGCACAGGTCACTGGTCATGAAGCCGCCCCTCGCAAGTCTCTCCCAGGAGCCTGGTCATGGATGCAGACAGTCTGTGTGCCTGGACTTATGAGTGTCTCCTGCCCCAATGCCGGAACCACACCGTGCTTCGCAGGACCCCGACATGTGCCGTTTGCCCAGTCACACCTGGAGCCCCTGGTTCTGGGGACTCTCTCTGCCTCCCACGGATGGGTCCCTTCAATTGGCCAAGCTGAAAATCAGACCCAAAGGCCGCCTGCCAGCTCCACGTCACAGTGAACTCCGAGTCACATGATTGCCGGTTTGTTTTGTTTCTGCCTCTTGGGTTGATGGTTCTCACCATGATTTTTTCATGCAGCAGGTGAAGTTATGTACCTCATTGTCCCTTCTACCATGTTCCCCTGGCAGGCCACATGGCCGAGCCCAATGTCAGTGGCAAGTTGGGAAGAACTGCAAAGTCACACAGCAAGGGGCTTGAGATGGAGGGGTAAAAAAATTGGGGACAATTGGATGATAACCCAGTAGGCCACATGACTCACCCCTTTTCTTTAGCCTTCATAATTGGAGTTGAAATCTCTTCTCTGAGCCTACCCTTCAGCCCTCTCTGCCTCTGACAGTTAAGCCAGGCTCTGCAAGCAAGGGCGGCATCTTCCCCATGGTCTCTTCCTCAGGGACGGCCTCTCTCCTTGGAACCCTGGCTCAGTCCCTCTCTAAGTAAAACAAGATCCTGGTTTACGTGTACCTTCTGCACCCTTTGGTAAAGGCGAGGGCTGGCTTTGTGTTCTGGGAATGGTCACTGCAGGTCCCCACTCCAACGGTGCCATGGATGGTGATGACCATGGTTCGGGTGGGCCTTTCCCTGAGTCCTCTGCACTTGATTTTAAAATGTAAACCACGCACAAAATGCCTGCTTTTCAAGTATTTTTTCGCTGTGACTCAAATCTATACTCAGATGCATAAAGACGGCATTTAAAGCATGGAGACAGGATAATGGTTATTTACCCTGCTTAAAAAGAATGCCATGGCTCAGCTTTGGGTTTCTTTTGTCCTCTGAGATGGGGGTTGTTGGGGGACTGGGCCATTCCCCAGGTTCCTGTGTAAGGGGATGTCCTGGGAGGGGCTGGCTTGGTTGGTGCTTGGCTCTCGGCCTGTGTGTCCCTGTCGTCTTTCACTCCCTGAATCCCTCTTTCAGCTCCGAGTTCTCAAGATTGACCAATTTGTCCACAGTGGATGAGGGAGGCTTTGGACTGTCTTGGAGTACATGGTGGCCTTTGACCTGGAGCTGACCTGGAAATTAGTGATTTGCCTGAACAGGCAGCAGACACCATGTGCCTCGCTGGCCTTGCCTGGGTTCTGCACCAGGACGTTGTCAGAGGTACAGCACTTGTTAGAGTCGGTGGCACCACAGAGCCGTGAGCGGCACGGGGGCTGGGAGGGGGCTTCTCCCATCATCCTTCTACGGGTGGGGCCCTTTCCATGGAGGATACCAAGCTGCCCCTTTGAAGAGGAGTTTATGCCCCAGCTCTCAAAATGTGGTTTCCTAATGAAGCGACAGTAACTGTGTGACCTTATCCCGAGTGGGACTGGCTGTCTACACACCTGCCCCTCTGCTTCCTCAGCCAGACCCGGCCGCCCTCCCTTAGGCCGGACAGCTGTGAGTTTAGCTGGAACTCATTCTGTTGTCTTTAGATGCTTTCTTGGGAAATTATTTTCTTCCTAGGCGAGCAAGTGCCTGAGTCTGCTGGGAAAGGTGGGATTCCTTTAGACGGGGCTGAAGGGGCCGCGAGGTGGCAGAGGCTGCCAGGCTCGCCGTATGAGACTTGAGGTCAGCCTCATCATTCTTTATCAGTTTATCAGAACTCACACAAGTCGTACGTGTAAGGTTCTTTCTATAACAAAACTTTCCTGGTTGGTAATGAGGGGCCCTGTGATGTGCACGGAGCTTGGCCCGGGGCGCTCCGGCTTTAGAAACACGTCTCCACACTGCTCTCGGACCACACTCTCCCTCCAGCTCTCTCCCCATCAGCGCTTGCTTGAGGGCCTCTCTATTGCACAGACAGCACCTGGGTGATGGGTGACTGAGTTCTGGAGACAGACTTGCTTTTGAATCTTGGTTCTGCAGCCAGGGACAACCTGAAGCACTGTGCTTATCTGCTGTAAGCCTCAGTTTCTCCTGTCCGTTAAGTGGGCTTGATAAGAACAGTATCTGTCCCAGAGAGTCTATCCCTGACTTCACCATGGCACCCGTGGCATTCTCAGCAGGTGTCTGCCGTGCGTGCGGGAAGCGCTGCGCCCAGGAAAGTGTGGTCATTGCTTCAGGGCCCCTGGTCCCCCGGCTCACTGTAGACGTGACTGCCCCTGAGCCTCTTTAATCACATAATGGGAACTTTCACTGGCAAGAACCCAGGGGAAAGGAGCCAACACAAAAATAGCTCTGCTGGGTGCCTTGGGAAAATAGGTAACAATAAGCAACCTGGTTTGCTATTTTCTAGACTTTTCTTGACATTATCAAATATTGTACAGAAGATAAATTTAGTACTCAAGAAACTTGGCATAAAAAACTTTAAAAGAATAATCATGCCAGGCACGGTGGCTCACGCCTGTTAATCCCAGTACTTTGGAAGGCTGGGGCAGGTGGATCAGTTGAGGTCAGGAGTTCGAGACCAGCCTGGCCAAAATGGCAAAACCCCATCTCTACTAAAAATACAAAAATTTAGCCCGGCGTGATGGCTCATGCCTATAGTCCCAGCTACTCGGGAGGGTGAGACAGGAGAGTCATTTGCACCCCAGAGGTGGAGGTTGCAGTCAGTGGAGATTGTTCCACTGAACTCCAGTCAGGGTGACAGAGTGAGACTCTGTCTCAAAAAAAAAAAAAAAAAAAAAAAAGATTTACTGGAATAAAAGAAAGATAAAAAATGAGATTTAAACAACGTGGATTCAGCCAGGTGCAATGGCTCACGTCTGTAATCTCAGCACTTTGGGAAGCCGAGGCGGGTGGATCACCTGAGGTCAGGAGTTCGAGACCAGCCTGGCCAACATGGTGAAGCCCCGTCTCTACTAAAAATACACACACAGACACACAAATTAGCTGGATGTGGTGGCACGTGCCTGTAGTCCCAGCTATTTGGGAGGCTGAGGCAGGAGAATTGCTCGAACCCAGGAGGCAGAAGTTGCAGTGAGCCAAGATCGTACCACTGCACTCCAGCCTGGGTGACGGAGCAAGACTCTGTTTCAGTCAATCAATCAATCAATCAGTCAATCAATCAATAAGATGTGGATTGGATTTCTGGTTGACAGAGCAAGACTCTGTCTCAATAAATAAATAAATAAATAAGACATGGATTGGATTTCTGGTTACCTGGAGGCTAACCAAAAGAAGGCTATCCTTTTCTGTTAGGATAAAAAAATCTCTCAACTGTGGATTTGTCCCCATTTCCCCCAGAGGAAACAGTGTTTGCTGATCATATGATTAAAGGCCATTCTCCTGCACGTCAAAGGTAACTGAGTAAGACCGGAGGTAAATAGAATTATACTGAAACTAGAATTCTCCCTGAAAACAAGCACCAACACCACAACCTCCTGCGTTGCCTTGTTTTCTAAAGGAACATAGCAGCGCAGGGCAGTTTGGGCCCTGAGCGGCCGAGGCTTGCTGCTCCATTTAAAATCCTGTTTCCGAGGTCTTGCTTCCCCGCCGGTCCTCACATGCAGAGCATCTCGAAGCTGTTAACATGAGTACTTGCTTCCACAGTGGCTCTGATTTTAGACCTGGAAAATATAATTTGGGTTAAAACTCAATGGGGAGTCCCTCCTGCAGACGGGTTGCCGTGGAGATTGTGTTGGGGCGCGCGGCCCGAGGAGCCTCGGGGCTCGATCTGCCTCCGCGCCAGCTGGCCGCGCGCCCCTGCCCAGCACCCTCCTGCCGGCTGCCGCCCTGAATCGCTGCCCGGCGCTCTGAGCATCGTGGCATGTCCTGGGGTCTCTGGGCCGGGAGTAGCTTTGCTGAGAGAACCCTGATTTTGTTCAGCTTTGCCAAGAGCTGCAGAGGACTGGCTGGCCCTTCCCAGCCCCTGAGGGTGCGGCCCCATTGGCCTCAGCCAAACACCATCATTGCGTCTCCACGCCAGGACGGGGGCTGGGCCAGGCTGCGGGACAGCTTTGGCCAATGGGAGCGGGAAGGGGCTTGCGGGGGTGTCAGGCAACGTTTTCCTTACAAATGGAAGTTGACAGGGCAGTAGTGATCCTCCACACCTCCAGATGTAGGGCTCTGAGGGTTTGAAGCTTAGAACCGCGGACACCATCTGACATCCCTGTGGGAAGACCAAGAACGTTGCAGAGAGGTGGAGACAGAGTCAGGAGGTGCCTGAGGGGCTGAGGCCACCAGTGCTGACGAGCCAACCTGTGGACGTCTTGCCCTGTGGACATGAGATTTCCCCTTACTGCTGGTTATGGCTTAATTGTGTCTGCCCCAAATTCATGTGAAATTCCTAACCCCTAATGTGACTGTGTGTGAAGATGGGCCCAGTGACCTCTAAAGAGGTCATTAAGGTAACATGGGATCTTGGGGTGGGCCCTTTAGACAAGGCCCATATTAAACTTATGACTGGTGTCCTTATAAGAAGAGAAGATTAGGACACAGACACACACAGAGGGACGGCCACGTGAGGACATAGGGAGAAGACAGCTGTCTGCAAGTCAAGGAGGGGCCTCAGAAGGAACCAACCCTCCTGACACCTTGATCTTGGACTTCCAGCTGCAGAACGGTGAGTGATAAGTCTCTGTGGTTTAGGCCCCCCAGCTCTGGTACTTTGTTATGGTGACCTGAGCAGGCCAATACCATGCTGAAGCCAACATAGGCTTAGGGAGTAAGGAACATAGTCCCTAGCTCAAAATGGCTTCAACAATTAGGAGAAAATGGACGAAAGTACATGTATGAAGCCAGGAGGTCAAGCAGCCCATGGAGGCTCAGCAGTGTCACCAGAGCCCAAGTGTCGTCCACATTTCTACCCTGCCCCACTCAGCCTGTTGCTGTGAACCTCAGGCCGACTCCCTCATGGTGCCAGAATGGCTGCCACATTTCCAGCGATCACCTGCAGATGATGTCATCCAGAGGCAGGAACGAGGTGTGAGGATGTTCCTACATGTCTCCACTTTGTAAAAGAGAAGAACAATGCCTGTCTAGAAGCCTGCCAGCCACCCCTTCTCACATCCCATCTCCACAATTATGACACGCACCCATCCCAAACCAGCAGTTGGCAAGATGCATGGAATTGCTGTGGTTGAATTGAACTTGGAATGAACCTGTTTCTCTGATACACATGGATGACAGTGACTGGATAGGGAGGGTACTTTATTAATTGAGAAGAGAGTGGGAGGGGGATGTTGGTTAGGCAGCAACCAGCAGTGTGCACCCAAACCTTCACATCCAACTCATCACTAATTTTATTGCTTTTACCTCCCCAAAAGCTTTGAATTCATCCACATCTCTGTATCTCCTCCACTGTGCAGTAATCTCTTGCCTGGATCATTGCAGTAGCTCAATAACTGGCTTACCAGCATGCCCCCTGGTCCTCTCTAGTCTGCTGTCCTGGCTTGCAGCCTAAATGATCTTTGAAAAATGCACATCTTAGGGCTGGGTGAGGTGGCTTATGCCTATAATTCGAGCACTTTGGGAGGCCAAGGTGGGCAGATTGCTTGGGCCTAGGAGTTGAGACCAGCCTGGGCAATATGGCAAAACCCTGTCTCTACAAAAAATACAAAAATTAGCTAGGCTTGGTGGTGCATGCTGGGAGTCCCAGCTACTTGGGAGGCTGAGGTGGGAGGATCACTTGAGCCCAGGAAGTCGAGGCTGCAATGAGGTGACATCACACCACTGCACTGCAGCCTGGAAGACAGAGCAAGAATCTCTCAAAAAGAAAAGAAAGAAAGAAAAAAAGAAAAATGCAATCTCATCAAATCTCACCTTACTCAAAATACTGCAGTAGTTCCATTTGGCTGAGAATAGATACACAATTCCCTACCTGTATCTGCAGGGCTCTGCCTGGCCTGGCCCCCAACCTCTGTAGCCTCAGCACAGAGCACACTTCTCCCTCTCCTTTCTCCCCAGGTATCTGAGCTACTGGTTTTTTGTTTGTTTGTTTGTTTTTGTTTTGAGATGGAGTCTTGCTCTGTCACCCAGGTTGGAGTGCAGTGGCATGATCTTGACTCACTGCAACCTCCACCTCCCGGGTTCAAGCAGGTCTCCTGCTTTAGCCTCCCAAGTAGTTGGGATTACAAGCGCCTGCCACCATGCCCAGCTAATTTTTGTATTTTTAGTAGAAACAGGGTTTCACCATGTTGGCCAGGCTGGTCTCAAACTCCTGACCTCTAGTGATCTGCCCGCCTCGACCTCTCAAAGTTCTGGGATTACAGGAGTGAGCCACTGTGGGCTACTATTTTTTCTTGTGCATCAAACTCACCTTGCACTTTTCCACCAGGGTGTTTTGGCAAATACACCTTCATCTGCTCTTCACCTGGTAAATGCCTGATCATCTTTCAGGTCCTACTTGTCATGCTCTTAGGGAAGCCTCCCGTGTTCTTTGACAAGGTCCAGCCCACTTGTGCTGGGTAACTTACCCCAAGCCAGAGGCTGAAGACATCAGCTGACTGTTTCTCCCAAGCTGAGAGTGGGCTGGGAGGTTCGTGGGCTGGTGATGCCTCTGGAGGCTGGCATGTCACCTCTGCCACAGGTACTGGCCAAAGCAGGTCTCAGGTCCAGCCCAGACCTGAGTGGGGCAATACACACCAACTCTTCATGGAAGATGGCTAAACGCTGCAGTCTTCTTTCGGTCTTCTTTTCTAACCTGCCACCCTATCCATGTGGGTTTGCTTAGCACATTGCATTTCTCCTTTGTGGAACTTGTAGATGCTACTCTTTCATCTGCAAACTCCATGAGTGATGGTGGCTCCTCCCACTCATCGTTACATCTCCAGCACCCTGGGACACAGTACTCGGAAGAAAAGTGCTTAAAGTTTGTTGAATGACCAAATGAAATGCAGCCATGCTCTAGGTTAACTTGAAACAACAGCTATGTTTCAAATGAGGATCCTTTACAAGCCTAAATTATCCATCTTTTAAGCCTTTGAAACAATCTAACAAGCACAGATAGAAAAGTTAAGGAAATGATGGTGCATCTGCTTGATTGGATATTACGTAACAGTTTTTAAAATGGCAACAACCACGCCCAAGTTGGGAAAATCCTTATGACAGAAAAATGAATAAGAAGCAATGAGGAAGACGCACATAAAGAATGCCTTTCCCTAGCTCAGACACCGTGTGCTCCGGCCGGGCCCTCCCAGGAGCGTGCACTCTTTGTCCTGGGAGCCGCGCCCTCTGGTTTTCTTCCTGGCAACTCCTGCTTGTCCTTGGAGGTCTTCCCCAGGACTGTGCATTCCTGCAACTTTCTCTTTCTCTGCAGTAACACTCAGCTCGCCAAGCTTGTTCATGGGATTTTTGTGGCTGAGTTGGGACCCTCGAGGATGGGGCTGTGGCCTCCCTCACTGCTGCACCTCCCACACCTGACCCAGAGCAGCACAAGGTTCAGAGAGTGTGTGAGTGTCCTGAGCCTGCTGCGCTGTCCCCACACACAACCCCCATTGTTATTGGCTTCAGTAGCAGAAGTGGAGCCTCCCTGTTCTGGGGGCCTGAAGTCTATCATCAAGACGGGCAGGGCTGCGTCCCCTCTGAAACCTGGAGGGGTGGATCTGTGCCTGACTCTTCCAGCTCTAGCGTTGCTGGTGGTCCTGGGCCTTCCTTGGCTTGTAGACACCAACGCAGTCTCTGCCTCTGTCATCACGTGGCCTTCTCCCATGTTGTGAGGTCACCTCCCTGTGTCTCTCCTCTTCTAGAAGGTCCCGTCGGTGGATCAAGGCCCTCCCTACTCCAGTATGACTTGGTCTGAATCAATCCCATCTGCAAAGACCCTATTCCCAAATAAGGCCACATTCACAGGTACTAGGGGTTGGGATGTCAGCTTATCTTTTTGGGGGACAGAAGCAGCCAACAGGGCAAGTAAGGAGAGGAGGAAGGAAGGAAGCAAGGAAGCTACTTTTGGGTGTGGTGAAGCTGAGACTGGATTCCAAAGCCCCTCTCCTTCCCGCACCTGCCTGAGCCACGGGCACAGCGGCGGGCCTGGTCGATGCTGTGAGTCCATCATGGGCCCTGATATCCTGTGGGCAGTGGGAGATGCTCCTGAGTTAGCCAGGCCTGGGGCGCCCAGGAGGCCGTGCACAGCAACATCCAGCTCACCCCGGCCTCTGCACAGGCGCAGCTCGTCATTGGGTTTCAGCCTCTTCTCATGGCCTCCTCGTAGCACAGAGTGGGGCCCGCCACACTTTGGGATGTCTAGAGACCAGGCTTAAAGAAAGACTGTGGCATCAGCCATTTCCACTTTGGGGAGCAGGAGTGTTGGTTGGGGGGAGCCACCCCTCCGTCACGTTTGCCTTGCTGGCCTCCTGCAGCCTTGGGAGTCGGGGCTTCATCTTCCCTCAAAGGAGTGTGGGGGGCACAGCCATGCAGGAGATGCAATGTGAGTGGTGGGAGTTGCATGGGCACTAATCACTACCATCGTAATACCAGGGCTCCTGCCTTGCTTATAGAAACTGCTAGAAAATGGTTTGTTCTAGAATTGAGCCATGTTCTCTGAGGTACCAGAGAAAGTGGCCCCTGCACCCCTCTTTACTGGTCAGCAGCACCTGCTCCGGAGAGGTGCAGGGTGCAGGAGAGCTGCCACTAGCCAGTGCACCTTGGGACAGGTAGGGCCCCCATTGCAGAGCACAATGACCTCCTGCATGTCAAAGACATTTGCAGATCTCAGGCCCAACCCAGACCCGACTCAGAGTCTCCCAGGCTGGGACCTGGGTCTGTACTTCTAGCAACTCCCCACGTGGTTCTGATGTCACCTCTGCTTGTGGCCTAAAGGCCACTGGAGGAAAATCCACATTGCCTGCAGCTTTGGATGGCTTGGTTCCCATAGCCGCTCCTGCTGGTGGGGAGAGTGGCCCAGACACCCCTGGAGGAATGGAGGCACGGCATCCACCACATGCGAGCTCCTTGGAGGGCACGGGCTGGGACTCAGACCTCGGTGGCTTCCTTGGGCCTTGCTCATAACCTTGAAAATGGCAAATGCTCAGATATTCATTGATCCCTTCACCTCTAGGGAGATGCAGCCTCCTGTGGGCATGTGCAGAGTGTGGGCAGGAGGGTTGTGGTGGCGGGGCCCTGATTTGTAGCATCTGCCTATGCCTGTTGTGTAAATACTCCCACCCCTGTTGATCCGGGCTACCTGTGTGATGTCACTAGCTGTGGAGTTGGGAAGCAGCACACATGCCATCTGCTCTTGCAAGCCCCTTGAGATGGTTCCGGCACCTGAGCCACCGGAGGCTCATCTGAATCTGTCGTGACATCTACCTCCATCTCTTTCCCATTTCCAAATCTTCCTCTAAGAGAGAAAGGGAGGGAGAGGGAAGGAGACAGCCATAGTGGCAGGGGCTGGTAGGCCCAGCGGGAGGGGGCTTGCCCTCTGGCAGGCAGTGTGACCCACCAATCCCCCCATGAGGCCCCACTCCCGCCGCCTGCTCTAATAAACTCTAAACTCCTGTGATTTAAGTGAAGGTTTCAGATTAACATTTAAATTAATGCCGGACTAGAAATCTGGAGCCCAGGTCGCTGATGTGACTGTTAACTTGTTCTGTGACCTGGGGCGGAAATTTAAAATGATCTTTTCTTGTGGAGCGGCCCCTCCGAGGGGAGGTCAGGGATGGCAGGCCTGGGGGCCTCCTGTCCTGTTGGAAGCCCAGCACCTTTCCTTGCTGACGGGGCCACCCTGACCTCAAGAAGCCCTGCATGGCCACGGGGGGCGGGGTGCTGTGCCCTGGTCCTGCTACTGCCATCCCGATGCTCAGGGCATTTGGGGATGCTCGATGACAGGTGTGCACTACAAGGGGCTCTGCCTTTTCACGGCCTATCTTGGTGCTTGTGAAATGTGGGCCTGAAATGAAGGCAGCAGAACATTAAAATATTGACCCAGAGAGCCCTGTGAGCTGAGCCCACTCACCGGCCCCTTTCCACTTCTGCCGGCAAGTCCAGCCTTGAGGGATCCAGGGAGCCAAGGACACCCACAGTGACCACAGCACAGGGAGCGTCCGGGCTCAGGGTGGGGCGGCTGGGCAGGAGTCTGGGCACGGGTCTGCAGGCACAGAAAGCAGAGAGATGCCGAGGAGAGACGGGGTCCCAAGCTAGTCACTGAGCCCAAGTCAGGGATTCCAAGCAGTCAGTGGGGCCAGGAAGGGGACAGCAGGCAGGCCACGCCTGGCAGGCACTTACAGACTCATGCAACACCCTCCCTACGATGGGAGAGACTCTGGGTAGAGCCGGGTGACGCTCATCCATGGCCCAGCAGGGTTTGACGCTGGCACTTGACGGCAAGGCCACATTCTTTCTGTTGGCCAGCACTGTCCTCTGCCAGCCAGGAGGTGAGGACGCACCATCTCCAGCTCCTGGGTCCACCAGGAAGGGCTGGAGGAGGCTGTCAGGGCAGAGGCCACCTGGGCCCCTGGAGATGCTGGGCTGGGCCCACCCCGGTTCTCGGGGAACCTTCACACCCGGCTGGCGGCCATCCTCTCGGGCTATGCATTTCTCCTCTGAAGTTGGCCTGGAGGCCAGAGGCCACCCCTCCTTTGTGCTGATTGCTTTGGCCTCTGCTTCCAAGACACCATTTCCCACCATCTGCCCTCTCTCAGGAGCCAGGGTAAAGGACATCAGACAATCCCATCCCTCTTCCTCCTAATCTCGTGTGGGAGCTGGGCTCCTGCTGTCCTCAGGGGTCCCAGGCGGCCCCATTCTCAGCAGTAACATGGTCACCGCCGGCTCTTCCTAGAGGACTCCTCATCTGAGCCTACTGGGCTGTTCACCACCTGTGGGCCCGGGATTCTGGGCCCACGCTCCCCTGGCAGCCCTGGCCCTGCGCTGACCGAGATCCCCCACTGGGGAGCACTGACCATGGAGGGTCCTTTCTTATTCCATCCCAGAGGTGGAAGGTGAGTGAGTGTAGTGAACTCAAAATAGCAATGGCTTAGACAATCTGGATGCTTGTCTCCCTCTCGTAAGGGTGGAGGGTGCTGTCCCGGTCAGCACAGAGTTCTCCCCTTGCAGGCCCCAGGACCCGCCTTTGAGTTCCTCACCCTGACATCTCCCAGGCCACCCTGGTCCTGGGGCCTGAGCTGAGCTCCGACCTATAGTGGGTCAGAGAGGGCAGAGGGCGAGCACTGGCTCTTTAGGAAGATTCCAGAACACATGGTTGTAGAACCAAGTTACAGGCCCTGGCCTAGCTTCAAGGGAGCCAGAAAGGAAGTGTTTGTTCTTGGAGCTGTAAGTCCTGCTCCTAGAGAAGAGGGGCTTGCCTGTGGTCAGTAGCTTTGAGCCCCTGTGCACTGCGTCAAGTCCAAACAGTAAGTGCTGATGTGGACACCCGAGACACAGGTTTTCATGCCTCTGCCATGAAAACTTCCTTCTCCTCCTGGAAGCCTCAGAGAGACAGGCTACTCTGTCAGAGACCTCCAGGCCCCAGAGGAGCCCAGTACATCGTTAGATGTACTGCTCACTAACAGGTAATCATAGTGATCAATGATCTCATACATGGATTGAAGGTCACTGACCCCTAAGAGCAGGGTAGGGAGGGAGCGCGGGCTGTGTGCCTCTGAGGACTGAGTGCCATCTGTGTCCTCAAACAGTGGCTCGGCTGCTGATTTCTGTAGTACCTTGGGTAAGGGAGACACCTGGGAAAGTCTCTCCATCTCTCCAAGCCACGTCCGTGAAATGGGGATAGTGCTGGAATCACCACCACAGGGTCCTGGAGTCCACAAGGGCACGACACGTGGAATGCAACACCCAGCAACACCTAAAGGCAGTGAACATGCTGGTGTTCCAGCTTCACGCCCACAACTGGCCTTTGTCCTCATCCACACAGCCTGTGCCCTCAGTGCCCGCATTCGGACACAGGATGAGAAGGGAGCACTAAACGCAATGTCACCTGTGCCAAAGTCATGTCCTGGGCAGAGAAAGGCTATGCTGTTCTAACAGGGACCAAAACACAGACAGAGGGAGAGTGACTCAGATGGAAGCTTTGGGTCTCGTTTCACAGCCAGGGGAGCGGTCCACATGGGCAGGCGGCCTCTGCTCCGTGGCCATTCAGGACACTGACATCGCTGTCTCTTTTCTCCCACATCCCTTTGGGCTGGTCCTGACATGCTGACTTCCAACCACAGAGAGGAAAGCCAGAATCAGTTTTCAGTTCAGCAAATGAGGCCGATATTGGAGGCATCACCTCATTTATCTTTTATTTGTGAGAGTTCAGACCCTAAGGCACAGCTCAGCCGCCTCCACTGGGCAGCCACAGCCTGGGGAGAAGGGATTTTAGGGGACAAAACCAGCTACATTTCCCATAAAAATAAATTTCAGAGAGTCCCCTTTGACTTCAAATCCAGCAAAAATGTATCTTTTGGAGGAGGGCCCAGTTTTGACCCACTTTTCCCACAGTGCAGAAGCTACTTGGGAGTAATTATGACAACCCAGAGGGGCTTCCAGAGTCCTGTGGACTCAGAGGATGAGCATCTGCAGTGTTTCAGGAAAGCACCTGTAGTCCCAGTGACTCAGGAGCCTGAGGCAGGAGAATTGTTTGAACCTGAGAGGCGGAGGTTGCAGTGAGCTGAGATTGCACCACTGCACTCCAGCCTGGGTGACAGAGCAAGACTCTGTCTCAAAAAATAAATAAATGAATAAATAGGAAAGCACATTTGAAGGCTGCACATGGTGGCTGATACTTGTAATCCCAGCAATTCAGGAGGCCAAGGTAGGAGGATGGCTTGAGTTCAAGACCTACCTGGGCAACATAGTGAGACCCCCCGTCTCTTAAAAAAAAAAAAAAATTAGCCGGGTGTGGCGACGTATGCCTGTAGTCCAAGCTACTCGGAGGTGGAAATGGGAGGATGGTTTGAGTGTGGAAGGTTGAGGCTGCAGTGAGCTGAGATAGTGCCACTGCACTCCAGCCTGGGCAACAGAGTGAGACCCTGTCTCAAAAAAAAAAAAGCACATTTTAAATGTAAAAGTAAATTGTATATGGTTTTGAAAACACAAAGTACAAAAGGGAACATAAAAAAAGTCGTCTCTGTCTCACTGTCTTTGAAAACTCTGCAGAGGACAAGAGTCCTCCCCAGGTCCTGGGCACGTCGGCACTGTCCCTGTTCTAGCTAGAGGGTGGCACAGAGGAAGCCACTCCACAGGCCCGGCTCTGGCTCGCCTCCTCCTCTGATCACAGCTGTTTTGTGTCTTGTTTAGCGTGCAGGGCGCTGATGGACGAGATAGAGCACGACATCACCAAGGCTCGGCAGAAGAAGACCAAGGTGGGATCCTTCCGAATCAATCCCGATGGGACTCAGGAGAGGAGAAAGGTAGTGGAAAAGATATTATGTGCCAGTGTATAATTGCGGATATGGGCAATTACCAACCATTTATCCAAACAGCAGTTGGTCTTAATCTTCTAACCTTTCTCTTGTTCAGGGTATCAGCTCTAAATTGCTTCTGAGTCCTGGGGGACCCAAAGTAATCTTTAAGCTTGAAATTGAAGTATCTCTCTCAGCACCTAAATTTTGTGTCTCGTCAAGTCGAAAGACATTTCGGCACTGTTCTTCATCAGAATAAAAATAGCGCGTCTGTGGTTCTTGGTGAGGCCAGCAGGGGGCCCAGAAGAGGCTAAAGGGGCGGCCTAGAGACACTCAAAGCAGAATAGTCCTCTCCTGGGTACCACACTCCCTCCCCCACTGCAAGATGTGCAGATTTCTAGTTGGGGGTGCAGGTTGTAAGACGCACTTTCTGGAATAGACCGGACAGTTGGCTATGGAGAAGGAAGAAACGTTCTTGCACAACCTAGAGAGGGGCTCCCCCTGAGGATCAGAGGCAGTGAGTGGGGCGCTGGAAGGGTGGAGTCTAAGACACCAGGCGGGACCCATTAGGGGACACCTTCCCCTCTGAGCCCTCAGGTACTAGGTGCCCAGAACACATAAGCCAATTTCAGCATCATTCTAAGAGAAATATTATTAGAAAGGTGTTCCCCAATATCATCCAACTCACTCAAAGCTAAACAGAAGTGGGTCTGGATTTCTTGCAGCTTTCTTTTGTTGTGATGCACTGCACCTGTCTTAAATAATGCAAACTAGGCTGTCTGTGTGGGGTCCGTGTCTTCCTGGAGCTGTGTGCCCATCCGAAGAGGACAGGGCAGGAAAGGAGAGTCACAGACAGGTGCCGTGGTTGAACTGTGGGGCTGTGACAGGCAGCCCTTACAGAAAGTACCTCAGGCTTCTAATGCGCCTCAGTTATGAATGAGGGAGGAATTTCCATCCACAGGTCAGTACCTCCCACAGGAGAGGGCTGGGCTCTCAGGGGTCCCTTTTGGGTTCGTTGCCTCCCCAAAGGCACACTCAAGGATGGATCCTTCAAGAGCCGTGTCTGGCAAGTCCACCGGAGGGACCCCGTGCAGGCCCACTGGCTGCTCTGCTGCAGGTCTGACGCCTGCACCCCGGAATCTCAAGGTCCTTTGTGGTCACCTGAATGCAGGACATGTGCCTCCATAAAATCCAGTACAGTCCTGGTCCCTGACACCAGCCGGGAGCTGATTCCCACTGTCAAGCAGGGCCAGGGAAGATGTGAGTGCCTGTCTGTGTGTGCATTGTGTCCACATGTGTAATGTGGGGGTGTGTGCCAGCCAGCATAGCTTTGAAGATAAGCTGAGTCTTAATATTTTGATAACTTCAATCTGGGCTATCAGACACATCATTAGTGCTCCTGGGCCAGCAGAAAGGAAGTCTTTCTCTACAGGCCCAACAAAGGGGAGCCAAGGAAATGACCGCAGAGCCCTGAGGAAGGGGCTGGAAGGGGAGGAGCCGGGTGGCCCTTCTTTATTGACAGCTGCTGGGCGACAGCCTTTAAGTGATTTTCTAGTCCTGACAATGACCCTGCAGAAAGAATAGCATCTCTGCATTACTGATGAGAGCGGGGGGAGTCAGGCCAAGTGGCCGCAGCTCCCACAGCGGATGGAGGGCCGTGCAGGGACTGGGATGGCAGCACCTTGTACCTTCCACCCTCCTCAAATTCACACTGCATCCTTGAGTGATGCGACCCAGGAGTCCACGTTTGGGGGTCCTGAGCCTTTCCAGTGTGTCTAATCCCAGAATGGAATTAAGTTTGCCTGGAGAAAATGGGCCACACCCTCCCCTGCTTTCTGTTGTCTTGGAGGATGTTCCACTTCAAGGCGATCAAGTTGAAATAGCTTTTCCGATTTTGCCAGGAACACTTAGTCTGCAAAGCAACTGAAAGCAGCTAGACGGCTACATTCACCAGTGTGCCTAAGGCAATCTTAGAGTCGCAGCTACAAGGAGCTGGTGCTGATCTCAGGTGATCTTTCTGCCCAGGGCTCCTGCTCAGCCAGAAGTAGCCCAGGCCAGCATCACACGGAGACTTCTCTCTGCAAACATGGTGCACCCTGTAGGCGCGCGGGTGGGTTCCTCGTGTTGGAGAACTCGTCTTTAAAGCCCTTGTGTTGGAGAACAGCATGGCCTGGCGGTGGGTGTGTGGCTCAGCAGTTCCTGCTTCTGGCTAACTCACAGCAGAGTGACCCCCTCACGTCCCAGCACTCTCATGCTTCAAAGAGCTCCACTGTCTTCCCCTGGAAACTTCTAGAAGGTCTCTCATCCTTCCCACTTAGAAAACTCTTCCTTGCTGTGATTCACATTCCTGTGGCATTGTTTTCTTCCGTCAGCAGGCTACTTGGCCAAATTCGGAAGTAGGGGATCTGGCAGTGTGAAGTCAGCTCTGCCCTTGCTCTGCTTGGACTTGGATGGGGGCCAGGCTGGTGTTACTGCGGGGGCTACTCTCCTCCTTCCACCCAGCAGCTCACAGAGCACGTGCTCAGCTTGGCCTTCAGTGAAGAACAAAAGAAGGCACACAGCTGCCAAATGAGAGGGGTCTCGGGCCCCCATTGTCCTGCCTGGAGGAGTCTTGAAGCCAGAGGTGTTCCCAGCCCGGCCCGGCTGGCCACAGAGCGGCAGGACCCCTTGCCTGCTTTTTTCTCCTTTCTGGACCTCAGTCAGGCTGGAAAGAAACACAGGCCGTGTCTTCAGAGCTGAGGGTGCTGATGCCACAGGGTCCTTGGAGAGGCTGTTCCTCTGTGGGAGGGGTGAGGCGGGTTCCCCCGAGAATCCGAGTTCCTAAGGGGAGCCACGGGAAGAAGCAAAGCGAGTGAGTGGCCTCTCGGCACTGTGCGGACCCAGTGTGTGCAAAGCGGCCTGTGTCCATACCGGGCTATTCTCTCCGTCTAGCCTCGGGCGGGGGTGGGTCTGGGAGGGCAGTGTGGACAGGGGAGATGTGCAAACCAGCTTCTCTCAGGCCAGGCCTCCCTTGCTTAGAAGAAGAGTCAAAGGAGGCCCCCAGAGAGCAGCCAGTGAAAGGGCTGTGGCCGCAGGCGGGCCTCTGCCCGCACTGGCTCAGTCCCTGGTGTGGATGTGGGGCTGGGACAGACACAGAGGAGGGCCAGGTGCCCACGACAGCCTGCATGTCCTCTCAGCAGCGGGAGGGTCTTGGGGTCCGGCTGCACCACAGGAGCCCCGGGATATGTGGGGACCCCGCTTTTTTTTCTACTCTGCATACTTTGCCACTAGCAGCATTGTGGCTCAGACAGAAATCCCCCAGCCCCAGGGGTGTGCAGTGGCTCTTTCCACGTGAGGCCCAGCAGTGAGGCCCCAGCATCAGTCAGGAAGCTTGGGTGAGCCCCGAAGGGCAAGCAGAGGTCTCCATGAAGAGCCTTTCCATGCCCACACCCAGGACCTTCCTTCCTTGGCTCCCTACGCCCGCCCATGAGCAAGGGGTGCTCTGACCATGGTTGGGGGGTCACTCCTTGGAGCCTGGTGACTCCCAGACCCGTAGGTCCGGGGAGCAGCTGGCAGGACCAAGCAGGACTTGCTTTCCCTGGGGCTCCCCTGACTCCCCTGCCCAGCTCCGCCTTCCCTGCCTGCCTGACTCCCCTGCCCAGCTCCGCCTTCCCTGCCTGACAGCACTCAGCCTGGCAGGGAGGGAATCAGCTCTCAGGCCCTACAGCAGGGGTTGTGAATACTCCACATCGAGCGTCCCACTGCACGTGTTCTGCACCGGCTTCTAGGATTTTCCCAGCAGACTTCTGCCCCCCCGACCCTGCCCCTGTCATGGCAGCCGGCTTGCAAACACAGCGTTCATTGGCTGCCTTCCAGTAGAACTTCCCCTCCACTCTAGTGTTTCCAGAACCTTCCAGGTAAACAGCCCTGGGAGAATCCCAGCAAAGACAGTACTAAAAGGCCCCTTCAAGCAAAGCATCCCCTCTATAGGGCTGCCGTGGTTTCTGAGTACCAGGGCTGCTTACCCACCTTTGAGTGATGGTTATAGAGGCTGGTGCGAGGCTGGAAGACTTCCCTTCCTGGGAAGGACCTCAGGGTGTGTGGCTCCATCCACACTGTCCTCCTGGCCAGCCAGGCAGCAAGACCCTCGAGGAAGGGTGCTCCAGCTTCCCTTGAGTTAGAGCAAGACCCATGGACAGTCGCCCCACACTCAGCAGACTGCGGGGGCTCTGGGGAGCCTCCAAGCCAGGCCCGGTTGGCCTCCCTCCTCATCATCTGAGGCTGACCTGCCAAGCAGGCTAGAAGGGAGGAAGGTGTGGGTCATGTGGTGTGGGGAATGATTAGAAAATAAGGCTCATTATTGTAATCAACATCATTCTCAAGCTAGCTCAGAAGTCTTCAATGTTATCAACTTTATGGGACAGCCTGTAGAAGCAGAGAGGATGGAAGGGGCAGCTGTTTAGTAATACACGATGTACAGGGACCTCAGCTCCCGGGGACTGACTGCCTTGCTCTGTTGGAAACATTCTCCCTAGCCAAGGATTTTAGTGCCATTCTCCTTGAGAAATGAAATTCACGTGCCACGTCTTGCTCGATGTTCATGATAGGCTGGGAGCTCGTGCTCCGCTCGCGGAGGTCTCTGTCTTCAGAACAGCGGGAACGGGGAGGCTCAGCGGGGGAGCACTCACTAAAGTCCAGAGTTCAGAGAGCTGCCTCCTTGGCCTGGGGCTGTTGGGGACAGGTGGGAGACCACCCCTGCTGCCACCGTAGGTGGGATGTCTTCACTCGGTAGCTCCTCACACTGGCACAAAGCCTCGTCTGTTCAGCAAAATGCAGCCAGCATCTCAGCACTGCGGTTATTTCCCTATTATTTATTTATTTTTTAAACAAATTGGATTAATGGCACCTTTCCTAAAACAGGGCAACACAGCACAAGACAATTTGGAGGCAGTTACTTCACATTTGCTTACCTGTCTCCTCTCCCAGTGATGAAAGGCTGGCCTCCCGAATGAGGGTACGCATGCACTGCTGCTCTCAGCGGGGCACCCAGGGTCAGGGAGCTGGAGTCGAGGGGCTCACATTTGCTTTTAGATTTTGAACCTCCGAGCTCCAGTCACTGGATACAGGATGACCAGGGCAAGCCGTGTGTTACCCACAGGGACCCAGGAAACGTGTGTTCACCGAGGGAATTGTAAATGATGAAGCAGAGCTCAGGGGCGTCCTCTGCCTCGGCTGAGTGTGAGAGCAAGGCCTCGCTCTCTGCGAAACTTGGAAAGTTCAAACAGAAAGCACCAACAGCAACAGTGAGGACGAGGCCAATATCCGGTTTGCACCAACACCTCATGCTTCTTTAAGCTTTAAAACACAACTCTGGGAGGTAAACTGGGCCACTGTAATTAGCTTCATTTTAGAAATGCAGATGAGGCCCAGAAAGCTTTAGTGACTCACTTAATTTTGACAAATTAGTATTAATTTAATTTGCTGATAAGTTAATTTAGAAAAATTCCAATACCATTTGCTAGCGCTAAGATGAGGAGAACGAGACCCCAGTGCACGGTGCTTTGGCAAAGCCGAGCACTTGAATTAAAGGACATTGGAAGTCCTTCGAAGCTGTCTCAGAATTCTGGACTTTCTAACCTTGTTTCCTCCTCCAGCCCCCAAGTGCAGAGAGCCTCTCCCTGGAATTTCCTTATCCGACTTAGGAAACTTCTTTCCAAAAGAAATACAATTGTCTTAAGATCTCTTCCCGAGGAATCTGATCAAATAACCAGGAAAGATTTAGCCACCAGAGGAGAGAAAAGCCTAAAGGTCACCCCCACCCCCAGACTTTTCATCTGTTCTTCTGAGGGCAGCTCAAAGTGATGACCCTGGAGGCTTTGTCACATAAGAAGAAAATCTGTGTTCACGGTGCAGTTCTACCCCTCACCTTCCCATAACTTGCTGGTCCTATTCAGTTTCCTAAGAGAATCGTTGACAAGATAATGTCTGCCTCCTGCGTCCATTCCTTTCTCCTAAGAATCACTGACTCTCCCCTAAAATGGCCCACGGGCCCCCACTTCCCTCTCCTCCATGAAAAGGGTATTTAAGTCTCAACCATCTTGCCCTTGTTGGAGTCTCATATTTCATATGGCTCCCATGCTAACACACATGAATGTTTGTCTGCTTTTTTCCCCCCGTTAATCTGTTTTTCAGTCATTTCAGCAAGCCTTCACAGGGAGCAGAAGGGAAGCTTTCCCTCTGCTCCCACACTATTGACAGAGCTACCCCATCCCATTATGTACTATGAAACAACAGGGCACTATAACATCCTGGAGCTGTGCAGTGTGCAACCTGCACAACTGTACATGGACAAAATGAGAGGGCTGGCTATTCTATCAGGCCAGCCAGGAGGTGCAGGGGGATTCAGTCCATCAGCAATTTTCCTACTCGCTAGAGGGCCATGAAATCCGTGTAGTGGCATACAAGAATGTAGAAATATATATTAAATATCAGAGTACATCTTATAGAAAAGGAAAGTATGTTTTGTGACACTTTATATAATGGGTTTTGGTGTAAGAAGTGGGTCATGTCCAAAAAATTGGAAGCCACTATAGCAGATGGCTGTCCTCAGCATGATACGGTAGCCTAAAGATATTTGATTTAGGAAGATTATTAATACCCAAACAATGCCACAACAATTCCTGACTCCTTCTGCAGAAAGAAAATCAGAACATCTCCTCTGAATCCTCATATTACAGCAGTGACAGCTTTGGCTTAGCGGCCTACGCTTTCTATGGACCAAGGGACCGCAGCTGGGCAGGGTGGGGTGGGGAGCGACAAAGAAAGGGGCCCGAAGCTGGCTCCTGGCCCCTGGTGGCAGCAGCCTTGGGGCTCAGATTCCTGCTGATGTGCCCTGGCACTGGTCTCCTTTGGATCAGCATTCCGGGTCTACATGTGGTGTGGACTAGGGGAGGAATTCTTCCCCCATAGGAGCTCACACTCTGACCCAGAGACCTCAGCAGCCGCCAGTGTGAACGCCACGTCTCAGAGAGTGAAGGGTGAGTTGAGTGGGGTGGGCAGGAGGTGAATAGGAGGGGGCGCGAGTCAGCCCATGGCGGTGCTCAGAGCAGAAAAGTGAACAGCTTTGCATGGGGTCTCTTTTTTAACAAGGAGGACATTTGTCCAGGATCTCCCACCCCCAGCCCCCAGAACTCCCCCTCATATCTCATGGGTCAGGAGGGCCTCTAACGCCTGTGGCTAGACCAACTGCGGGGCAAGTGGGGCATTCGCAGACGTCCCTCAGATCAATCCAGACCCAAGCTCAGGGCCTTGTGGGGGCGTGGCCTGTCCTGGGCACGTGAGGAGGGGCAGAGTCTGGGGTTAGCAGGAGGGGGGTGGGAGGGCTCTTTGGTGGATGGTCCCCAGATCTGCCACAGTTCAGGGTCACACGCGGGTGAAGGCGGAGAGCCCAGGAGACAGTGAGACCAGCCTGCAGGGTCCCCAGTGTCTGAAAATGAGGTTGGTGGCAACAGTCCCTAGTACTTACTTGCATTTTCTTGCAAGCACAAGAGGAAGGGATGGTGTGCAGATGGACTGCAGGGCTGGAGGCCACACTTAGCAACCAGGAGTTTCAGGGATCACCCCTAAATTGTTTTGCAAGGGCTGTTGGCCCATGGATGCCACCTTAATAAGAAAATTACTTCAGCAACAATTGAGAAAGATGATGGTGCAAGAAAATGATGTTCACAGGAACCTGTAAATTGCCATGTGAAAAAATCCGAAGGGTATTTTCCTATTATTAAGTGCAAAAAAGAGGTTATTAACCCGCACATACAGATGCCCTCTTACGTGTCTGTGTCTGTTCACTGCAGGAGGGAGCCTCAGGAAATACACTGAGACAATAGTCACAGTTCTTGTATCTGCGTATTACTGCTGAGCTCCTTTCTTTCTTTTTTTGTTTATCTGTTAAAATTTTTTCTATAATAAACATATTACTTGTTAAATTTAAAACATAAAGTTTTGAAGGTTTTTTTTTAGAAATCAAAAGAATTCCATGATAATGTAGAAATTCCTATTCTAAAAAGTAGCATTGTTCTTAAGAAGATGGAACACTATACACAGACACGTGATTTTGTTTCGTATAAAATATTCAACAGAGGCTGGACGCAGTGACTCATGCTTGTAATCCCGGCACTTTGGGAGGCCAAGACGGGTGGATCACCTGAGGTCAGGAGTTTGAGACCAGCCTGGGCAACACGGTGAAACCCCATCTCTACTAAAAATACAAAAAATTAGCGGGGTGTGATGGCACATTCCTGTAGCCCCAGCTACTCAGGAGGCTGAGGCAGGAGAATCACTTGAATCCAGGAGGCGGAGGTTGCAGTGAGCTGAGATCGCACCATTGCACCCCAGCCTGGACGACAAAAGCGAAACTCCGTCTCAAAAAAAAAAAAAAAAGAAAAGAAAAAAAATTCCACAGAAAGCTGTGATGTGGCCCTTCCTTGAATTGTCCAGCTTCATTCCTGGTGGTGTCACTGGCCCTGGAGCAGCCTCAGGAACCGATGCAATCCTCTATTTTTGCTCCATGCATGTGTCCTTTGGTGCTTTAAGAGTCCTCGGAAGGAGAGGCTGGAAGGGAGGTAGCTTCCCCCTTTATCTCTGCTGCTACTCTCTCTTCTTTCCATAACTCTCATTGGCCAAGGACCTGCTCTTCTGAGACACGTGGGTCTCATCTCTCAACCATCTAGAGGACATGAGAAGATGTTAGCATGCGGAGTAATAAATAGCCCCGGCTCCTTTACTTACAGTCCTCATGTTCCTTTCCTCTCAAAGAAGAGCAAGAAGCATCAACAGATGGATGCTCTGGTCCTTACATCCCTAGGACTGGGGGTTGTATACATTTTTAATTTATTTGGTGGCTTTTATTGTGTACCATCTTCTATTTTATTTCTCTTTTATCTTATTTAAAAAGAGAAACACCATCACTCATTTTTATTTAAATTGCTGGCATGATTCTTTACTGATGGTGTTTGTCAGAATAGTTTAAGTATCATACACTGCCTGGTGTCAGTGTGGATCACCACGAGCGTTGAGAGTTGACTTCTTGCTCATGTCGTAGTCTAGTGTGGGTTGGCACGGGGCTCTGCTCCACTTGGTCATTCAGGGACCCAGGCCCTTCTGTCTTGTGGCTCCTCCTCCTCCAAGCCCGAGTCCTGTTCATCCAGCAGGTGGATGGGGAGAGAGAGCATGGAGGATTCTGTGGGAAATGTTTACAGGCAGGGCTAACAGGGAGGGGCCTTGCTTCTGCCTACGTTCCACGGCTGGGACTCCAGCACATGTCCTCACCTAGTTGGAAGAAGGGCTGGAAACAGTCGAGCTGTGTGTCCAGGAGGAGGAAGAAGTGGAGTGTGGTGACCATATAGCAGGTCACTGGTCACTGGAGAGAAGCCTGGTAGCATGGGACAAAGAAAGGCACCTCAGTATGGCCCTGGATGCATTTGGTGACCTGAGAAGTTTCCTGAAACCTATGACTATAGGTCTCAAGCACAGAGCGGCCCGTAGGCTTTCTAACCTCCCAGTACTGCAGAAATAACCAGCCCCGCCCAGGACCTGTCTGCTGCAGTGGGTGATCAGTCATCCACAGCCTCCCCTTCCCTGGGGACTTCACTCCAGGTAACCACAGGTAATGCTGCAAGTCCCTGTTTCACCACTGCATGCCATGGATTTACAGCATCCCATTTCAAATGGCACCTGGATCCCCACTGCCTCTGACCCCGCCAGGTGAGGACAGCCCAGCCCAGAATATCATCCCGGAGGGTTTACTACCTACAGCCAAACCTTGCACCAAATAAAATACTTGCCAGCCTCCAGTTGCAAATCTCAGAAACACTTGAGCTCTTTTAAATGGAAAGGAATTTACCTGCCTCTTCATACCACAATACCCTCCCCATACCTGATTCCCATGAGAAGATGTTGTAGTCTTCTCCAGAAAATCCTGATGATAGCAGACGATGCTTACCAGAGAACAGCAGAATCGGTGAGAAGTCTGGCTCTCCGTCCACCGCCTTCCAAATCACAGATGAATGCATCCAATGACACGACCCTGATCCCATAGAACCCTCCAGCTGCAAATGAGTCTTGGAAGTGTAGGGCTTTGCTTTCCAGCCTCTGCAGCCCCGTGGAAGGTAGGATGGGCCCTGAGTGTCACCTCCCTATTTGAAGCCTTCTAGGATTAAATCAGGCCTCGTGTGTAGGCAAGGAAGGGAGAAGGGGTTTTGGGGAGGCAGTTGGTTGGACCTGTCTCATGATATGTGCTCTGTTCATTCCCGGCTTCCTTCATGTCCTTTGGTAAAGCTTTTCTGTCTTACTCCTGTGGATTCTGTACATTTCTTGAGTGTATCCTTATGCCTTGTGTGTGTTCGGCTGCCATTGTGCCTGAGTGTGTGCACCTGTAAGCTCTTGGCTTCTCCCATCTCTGGATCATGATTCATCTGCAGTTGAAATGCTCCCTTCCTCCTCTCCCAAGTGTTCAAACTGAGAAGGCTCTCCCCTGAAGCTTCTGCTGTTGGTCCGGCACAGCTCACCTTCCTGGAGGCAGGGCACATAGGAACAGCTGGCATTAATACTCCATGATGATTGAAGCCCTGGCACCAATGCTGGGTCCATCCCACAAGTGCTTGCATACTGACCAGGCAAAGGCAGGAGCCCCACAAATGTTGGATTTGGCATTAGGGAATTGGGGATGCAGGAGTGTTTTGCCACTTGTTTGTTTTTGAGCGGAGCCTTCTCCGTGCCCTTTGCAATGTGCTGTGCATCCAGCTGCCTTTTCTGCTGAACACAGCCCTGCTCTCACATCAGCCAGGTCACCGCTGGGCTGTCTCAACCTCCCTTTCCCCAAGCTGGGGTCCTGTGCCCACCAGAGCCAGAGAACCGCCGACCTCCTCAGTCACATCCTCCCAGGAAGATAGGTGATGCCCTCCAGCATCTCTTGTCCACAGACACCGAGCAGAGGCTGAGCTCTGACTCCCCAGCCTGGTCTTTCCTGCTCAGGAGCCGCCCAGCGCCCGCTCCCTCAGTGCCCAGAAAGCCCTGTGCTTTGCATGTTAGTTGTGGCCTGACTGTGGCCTTCACCGGAGGCCGGAGTCCCATTACGTTCCAGTCTCCACGCCAGCCCCTTGCTGCTGTGGGGGCAGTAGGGGAGGTTCAGGACCCAATTCTATGAATTGCCCGGACCTGCCACCAGGGCTGCCTCGCTCAGTGCAGTGGGCCATCCCGCGACGCTGTGAGTGGAGCAGGCTGAGACCTCAGCCCCTGCAGCTGATCCGCCTTCCCGGTCAGTCCCACATGCTAAGGCCTGACGTCATCAGGCCAGGGTGGAAACTCACACCTGGGGGAAGAGGAGCAAGTGTTCGCATCGAGTGTGTGTGTGTCTGTGTGTGCACATGCAAGTGCACATGTGCATTTGTCTGTGCACGTGTGTACACGTGCATGTGTGTCTATGCATGCGTGTGTGTGCCTGTGTGCACGTGTGTGCATGTGTGCCTCTGTGCACGTGTGTGTGCATGTGTGTGTGTGCATGCACGTGTGAGTGTGTGTGTGTGAGCTCAAAGTCACCTATCTCAGAGCAGAGACAGGGAAGGCGTGGAGCAGCTGCGTGGGCTGGCAGCCTATCTGGGCACCAGAGGAGGCATCTGAGGCCATCAGGAGACTGTGCCTGGGTCAGGGGAAAGGAAAGGCGGCTTTTCCTGCTTACCTGTTTTGGGGCCCCTAACCCGCTGCAGTGCACATACAGGGCAGGCATGTCAGTGTCCTAGGGGGACGCAGTGCTCTTCCCGGCGGGGCCAGCAGGGGGACCTTTCCCCCCGGGCTTCCAGTCCTCCGGCCGCCACCTCAACAAGGGGTTAACACCCCCTCCCCCTCCCAAACCTCAGGGATTAAAAATTTATGCTGTCCCCAGGGGATGTGGGGAGGAGGAGGGGATGTGGGGGACACAAAATTAAAAGGGAAAGAGATTATTTTTAATCCTCTTGGTGGGTGCTGAAACAATGCCGGGAGAGCAAAGCCGCTGAGAGTTTGTCCCGTTAGATCCAGGCGTGAAGGACGGACTGTACTACAGGGAGCAGGTAATTACAAACTGCACATCTTTCTCCTCTCCGTAAGAAATTCGCCTTAATCCCATAGCTATTGCTTCTCCGGTCAAAGGTGCTCAGATTTTCATAACGCCCGGCGCTGTGGACGAGTGGAATTCACATTTGATACCCGCTTTTCCCCTCGGGGGTTTCACGCCGGACCGGGACGGAGCGAAGCGACGGGCCCTGCTGGTGCTGCGGGGCTTCCCGCGCGCTGGGTGGCGGAGCTGGCCCCGCTCTGCGCGGGCCGGAGCGTGCACCTCGCTGTCATTCTGAGGCGCGCCCTGCACCCGCGGCGAGGTGGCTGTGCAGGCCTCACCTGGGCATATGCTTAGAGTAAACAAACGTTAACTTTGCGTGGAGAGCCACCGGGAATGAGGCACAAGCTCGTTTTGTTTCCCCTCCCTCTTTGACGAACGGGCATGTTCCGAGCCGGCACATCCGAGCAGACTCACTTATCTGCCAGGTGACAATGTCAGACCCCGAACGAGAGGTGCCTGGCTCTTTCCTCCCTCCAGCCGTTCCCGTCGGGCGCGGAGTGGGTTTTGAGGGTGAGCGAGGCCGCGCCGTTTGGGAGGCGCTGTTTCTGCGGCTGCCTGTGTGGTGTGAGCCACGCAGATGTTGTCACTGTACGGCGTATGCTTGGTTACTCTAACTGCAATAGAAGATCCTCTAGCGATGTGCAGAGCTTGCACCTGTTAGAAGGACGTTGAGTGGGTATCGATTTGGGATTCTTTTGGTTGTTAATAGCGGTAAAGGAGAAATGAGCACGTTTTGTTTTCTGACTGTAGACTCAGACGGGTGGTGTGTGAGGGCATGAATTTTCCTGACTGATGAGATGAACTTTATCCGTCATGGTTCCCAGGGACTCCCAACACGCATAGCCAGGAGACGGCGAGGCACAAGCACACAAGTTCGGTCTGTGTGTTGCAGACCGAACTCCATGAGCGAGGCAGTTTTTCCATTGTAATAATATGGGAAGATATTGTAGAGGTATTATGGGATTTTAAAATTCAAATTCTTTTCAGTTGGATTTGATTGAAAAAAAAAATTCTCAGCAACCTATTTTAGGAGGAGGTGGTAGGAACCATAAAATATAGCAGTGGATCATCTGGGGTCCTCCCTCTATTTTTGAGACGGAGTCTCGCACTCTCGCCCAGGCTGGAGTGCAGTGGCGCGATCTCGGCTCACTGCAAGCTCCGCCTCCCGGGTTCACGCCATTCTCCTGCCTCAGCCTCCCGAGTAGCTGGGACTACAGGCGCCCACCACCGTGCCCGGCTAATTTTTTGTATTTTTAGTAGAGACGGGTTTCACCATGTTAGCCGAGATGGTCTTGATCTCCTGACCTTGTGATCCGCCCGCCTCGGCCTCCCAAAGTGCTGGGAGTACAAGCGTGAGCCACGGCCCCGGGCCCATCTGGGGTCCTCCTTCTAAAGAGCTGGAGAAGGCTGTTTAAGAACAGTTGGGAAAGGCAGTGACCTACAGGAAGACACAGAGCCTGCAGGGACACACAGAGACACAGCTCTCTTCTGTGAGCAGAACCCACGAAGCTAGCTTTGTCATCAATCAGCTATAAAACCAATCACGCTGAATTTTCAGAACCAATATTTCCTCTCTAAATGTTAGTATCATTTTAACTTATGAAGTATCCTCCTAGACATTGATCTCTGCAAAATCTTATGTATTAGTTTGAGCAGATGCTGACGCATATCTTGCTTTATTTGCTCAAGCTGTCAGTCTGGAATCCAGGTTGATCCGGTTCTCACACTTTAACCTGATCCACGCAGGGGGAGTGACAGTGCGCACAGTGAGGGCCACTCATCTTGCTCGGGGCTTCTTGCTGTTGCTTCCGGGCTGACAGTGGCCAGAGGCTCAGGGCTTAGGTGGCTCTGGGGAACTGGTGAAGCAAAACGAGCCTTTTCTCCACTTCTGAGGCACCGCCCTGGAGCTCTGCCCAGGCTCTCTCTTAGGCCGGCACCCATTGGGCCTGACATTCTTGCTGGGATTCCCTGTTTGCTGTCTGCCTGGTGTGATTGTGTGAAGCTGAATGCAGAGAAAGCTCCCAAAGGGTCAACAGGGCTGCTCTTAGGAAACAGAAGTACAAATAAGGAATTATCCCCTCTCTGAACGCTGGCTGTGTCTCTGTGGGCACAACCCCATCTGACAGGGAAGTGCCGATATCCTAAGCTGCAGAGAGAGGAAGAGAAGGACCCACTTTGAGCAGCCTATAAGTCAGGACCAGCCGGTTGAAGGCTTGGCGGCGTCCAACACCAGACTGCGCCATCCAGACACTGTTTTAAAACTTCTAAATTAGTTGTCGAAGCCTCTCAAACTTAAATGTCGTGGCTAGCCTAATTACCTACATGTTATTTAGATTCTATTTCTTGAATCTCAGTTTCTAAAAACATCAACATTTAGCACGGAAGGCAATTACTTGTCAAGAATTTTGGCATAGTGTGAGCCCAAATTTTCCTTTCAAAAAAGGCTTTCTGGAATGAGAAGCCTGTGAACAGCTAGAGGAGAGAGTGAGTGGTCACACCGTTTGCAGCACCGGCTCTCAGCTGGGGCCTGAGGACGCAGGGCACGCATGCCTGTGGGAACTAGGCGGGTTGTGTCTGGGGACAGTCAGATTGGTTCTGTGCTCAGTTTATAGCCAAGGATGTCAAGACAAACTGCACAAAGGGCTCCACCTGAACAAAACTATGCGGAAGGCCAAGGCAGGGAGACCATCAGACTGGAGAGCAGACAGCCTTCGTCCCAGGAGAATGACTGAGCCCAAGTTTCTACTTTTGGACCTAGGTTCTATGCCAGTGGTTCTCAACTGGGGATGGTTTTGTTCCCCAAGGGACATTTGGCAGTGGCTGGAGACATTCCTGGTTTTCACAACTGGAGGGGAGGAGAGGCTCCTGGTATGCAGTGGGTGGAGGCCAGGGACGCTGCTCAGCACCGCAGTGCACAGGGCGGCCCCACAGCACAGGATCACTGGGTCCCCCACGGCAGTAGTGCTGAGGGTGGAGAAACCCTGTTCTATGAAAGTCAGGAATTTTCTTCACTCAAATGCAGCATGCCAATGTTTAGAGGAAGTTGTGGCTGTAGCCATATAAAGAATGATCTGAGGCTGCCTGGCCGTTGGCAGTGGTTCATACCTATAATCCCAGCACTTTGGGAGGCTAAGGTAGAAGGATCGCCTGAGGCCAGGAGTTCAAGACCCCTGGGCAACATAGCAAGATCCCATTTGTAAAAAACTTTGTTAAAAAGATATAGCTGGGCATGGTGGTACACATCTGTAGTCCTAGCTACTTGGGCAGGTGCAGGGGTCATGGAGGGGAGAGGGGCTGAGGGAGGAAGATTGCTTAGGCCCAGGAGTTTAAGGCGATAGTGAGCTATAACTGCGCCACTATACTCCAGCCTGGCTAACAGAGTGAGACTCTGTCTCAAAAAAAAAAAAAAAAAAAAAGACCCTGCTGGTGATGTGTGTTTATTTCCATTTAAAAACCTTTGCTGCCAGTTGTGGACCTCTGACTATAGTTAGGGCCGATGTGGAGAGAGACACATCAGCAGGACAGGAAGAGGCTAAGGTGGTTGTGGAACCGTGCCCCAAATCCGGTGAAGCAGTGCACTGGATTGAACAGTGCCTCTCAAATTTGCATCCACTCAGAAACTTGAAGTGTGGGCTGCATGCAGTGGCTCATGCCTATAATGCCGTAATTTGGGAGGCTGAGGTGGGTGGATCACTTGAGGTTGGGAGTTCGAGACCAGCCTGGCCAACATGGTAAAGCCCGTCTCTACTAAAAATACAATAAATTAGCTGGGCGTGGTGGCAGGCGCCCGTAATCCCAGTTACTCGGGAGGCTGAGGCATGAGAATCGCTTGAGCCAGGGAGGTAGAGGTTGCAGTGAGCTGAGATCATGCCACTGCACTCCAGCGTGCGCGACAGAGTGAGACTCTGTCTCAAAAAATTAAAGAAAAAAAAAAAAGAAAAGAAACTTGAAGGGTGACCTTATTTGTAAATAGAACCTTTGTAGATGTTGTCAGTTAAGATGAGGTCATACTGGAGCAGGGTGGGGTGGGGCAGGGCCTAATCCAGTGGCCAGCATCCTTATAAGAAGATAAGATGGAGACACAAAGACACACACTGGGGAGAATGCCAAGGGCCCTGGGAGGCAGAGGGGCAGTGATGCGTCCATAAGCCAAGGAATGCCGAGGGTTGCCAGCAGCCACCGGAACCATGAAGAGGGAAGGAAGGACCCTTGCCTGAGCCTGCAGAGAGATCACGGCCCTGCTGGTTCCTCAGTGTTGGCCTCCTGGTCTCCAGAGCTGTGAGAGAGTGAATTTTTGTTGTTTCAAGGCCCTAGCTTGGGACACTTTGTTACAGCAGGTTAGGAAACAAACACAGGCCAGAGGCATCTGAAGCTGTGATGGGTGAGGGTGATGGCCAAAGGACCCAGCCACGTGGATGGTTGGAGGCTCAGGGTCCAAATCCAGCCCACATAATGTGGATCAAGATTTCACGTAGAACGTCGGACTTCTGGTTTCTCATGAAAGACTGGGAAACAGCTACTTCCAGCCTCTGGCTACTCGCTGGGAGCTGACTGTCCAGTTCCCTCTCCTGGGGTCTTCGGAACCTCCAGGTTCGGAAGCCCAGAATACTCATGGCTGGGACAAAGTTGTTTTTTCTTTTCTTTTTTTTTTTGATATGGAGTCTCGCTCTGTCACCCAGGCTGGAGTGCAGTGGCGCGATCTCTGCTCACTGCAAGCTCCGCCTTCTGGGTTCACGCCATTCTCCTGCCTCAGCTTCCCAAGTAGCTGGGACCACAGGCGCCTGCCACCATGCCTGGCTAATTTTTTTGTATTTTTAGTAGAGACACAGTTTCATCATGTTAGCCAGGATGGTCTTGATCTCCTGACCTCGTGATCTGCCCACCTTGGCCTCCCAAAGTGCTGGGATTACAGGTGTGAGCCACCGCGCCCAGCCCAAAGTTGTTTTTTCTTAGGTGGAGAAGCCTTGTCTATAACCAGGTCTCTAACAGAACAGGGAAGTGCAGGAAGACCAAGAAGGCCGTGCTTCAAAGATGGGAGTCTCTGACGCTTTGTGGCAGCGGAGACAGTGTCCTGTTCTTCAGCTGGCCCTGGAGAGCCACAGCCTTGCTGTCCTGCCTATGCGGGGACAGGGGTCCAGCTGACATTTCTGAGTGCCACTGTCTACCCACCCACCCTCTGCTGGACTTGAACTTCCCTTCTCTCCAGTTAGAATGAAGAAGTGATCCCAGCTTGGCCTCCACATTGGCAGCAGCTGATCCCCCCACGGCGTAGCTTAACCTGGGACAGAGAAGGAAGCGTGACAATGACCGAGAGCTGGCATTGTCAGAGCTATGTGAACACACTTGCCCAGAATGGGCGAGTCTGGGCTCCTGGGCCCGCCCACCACAGTCCTACAAGGCCGAGAAGACCAATTTAAAGCAATGAAAGAAAGTGCTGGCGAGGATAAGGCTCTGGTGGAGAGGTTTTAATTTTATATTAAAAGGGGTCTTATTCTCCTGCCCATTGTTGAAGTCAAGTCAAAGTTAATTAGGCTCTTTGGGCCCTTCTCATGTCCTTTTTCCTGAACTTTCTGAAAACATCAGAGGAAAGGAGCCCTCTCCAGCCACATGGAGACTGGGCGTATGTGTTCTAGAGAGCTCTGCTGTCCCTTCTCTACAACGATGCAGGATTAATGGTGATTTCTAATATTTGAGGGGGTTCCTGAGGCCCACTAATAAGCCCATCTATTTAGCAAAGGAGCTCTCAAGCTGCCTGAAGGTTTGGGGAAGGAGCCTGAACTCCTTCGGGGCCACCAGGGCCACGCCTCAGGAGAGGCTCCTGGAGATCCCTGCACTGGCCCAGCAGCGGCCGGGACCCCTGTGTGTGGCTTTCCAGGCCCTGTGCAAATCAGGTAGGCTGAATACTCACATGTCTCATTACTCTATGTGGGTTTTCAAATATTTCTTTGTTAAAAATGTTAAGGCCAGCTGCCGTGGCTCAGCCCTGTAATCCTAGCACTTTGGGAGGCCAAGGCGGGAGGATAGCTTGAACTCAGGATTTTGAGACCAGCCTGGGCAACACAGGGAGATCCTGTCTCCACAAAAAATACAAAAAAAAAAAAAAATTAGCAGGGTGTGGTGGCGTGTACTTGTGGTCCCAGCTACTCAGGAGGCTGAGGAGGGAGGATCATCTAAGCCCAAGAGGACGAGGCTGCAATGAGCTGTGTGATTGCACCACTGCACTCCAGCCTGGGTGACAGTGAGAACTTGCCTCAAAAAAAAAAAAAAAAAAAAAAAAAGAAATTAATTATCAAAATAACACATGATGATTTTAGCAAGAGATAAGAGAAAAGACGCATGTCTACCTCCCGACCCCGCTCCATTCCCATCAGAGTCAAGAGCCTTGCCCTTGCCAGCACTGCAGTCGCTCAGACACCAGGCAGCAGCTATGCAGGTTTTTGGCTTCGACGTTTTAAAATAATAGTGAAACCCCATCCCTACTAAAAATACAAAAATTAGCTGGGCATGGTGACAGGTGCCTGTAGTCCCAGCTACTTGGGAGGCTGAGGCAGGAGCATCGCTTGAACCCGTGAGGTAGAGGTTGCAGTGAGCTGAAATCATGCCAATGCCCTCCAGCCTGGGCAACAGAGCAAGACTGTCTCAAAAAAAAAAAAAAAAAGAAAGAAAGAAAGAAAGAAAGAAAAAAGAAAAGAAAAGCATGGCTGCCTAGGATATGGACATTTTCCAGTTAAGAAGACCATTCTACAGATGGACACATATTGTTTCTGGTGTTTTGCCACCACACAGTGACGCTGCAGCCTCCGTGGTGCTGCATCCTTAGGTATTGTTGATTGGATTTCTCCAGGACAGATTCCTGAAAGGCAGGGGTCAAAGGTAGGAACATTTTAACACTAACCCATGTTGTTGGACTGCTTCTCTGCAGGCTGCAGCATGGATATTCCAGCCAGCAGTGGGTGACAGAGGCTGCTTTCTTGCATATTGCCAGCGCTGGGTAATAGCATTCTTTTAATTTTGGTAATCTAACCAGTGAAAGATGGTATTTCGCTATTGCCTTTATTCCCCTTTCATTGACTACCAGTGCAGTTAAGCATCTTTCCACCAGCGTGCTATTTGGATTTCTTATTTCGAGGTGTGTATTTGTAGCCTTTGCCCAGTATTCTACTGGGTGGTTTGTCTTTTATGCCATTGTGAATGTGGGGATAGTAACTCTCCCTGTCCCGCCTGATGCATGCCTCCTCTGGCTGTGATCTGTGTGCGGTGGCTCCTCTCCCCCATGGACACCTCCCCGTCCACGAAGGCATTGGGCACCCCGTCTTGTTTGAGAATGTCCCCTGCCAGCCGTTTGTTACACAAATCGCTTTCTGAATTTTCTTCCATTACTGCATGCTTTTCTTTTCCGTCTACCTGTGGAGTCGACATGGAGGGTGTTTCCTGGGTGAACATCACAGCGTGTACCAGAGCCGTTTATCAAATAAGCCTTGCTCCCCCACACTGAGTTGGAATGACACTGTGTCACTTTTTTACAAAGATGAATTTGTGGAAAAATAAGATATCAGATATTCTCTCACACCTTCTGAACATCAAAAGTATTTTGATAGCATTTTTTAGGATATTTGTTAAATTCTGCATTTTATTCTAGCTGTGTATGTACTGTAACACATTTCTATCCTTAATTACATTTTTAATCTTGTACCCCCATTCCCTAGCACAAGATTTTGCTCATAATAGGTTCTCAATGTCTGGAAAATGAAAGAATAAGTAGTTGATAATAGCTATGTCATGTTAATTCTATGAGGAGTTGGGGACTATTTCTGATATTTTGTGACGACTCTAGGAAAGTGATACAATGTCAAGAAAAACAGAGGAGTTAGGCACCTGTTCACCTACTGGGTATTTAATTTAATGACGTTGTGTCTGGGATGTCAGGTTTTAGCTGATCAAGACTAGCATGATATAAAAAGAGTCCACAAGATCAGAATTGGTATTTCATAGATAAGACACAAATAGTGTGGCTTTGGGGTCTAGGAAGCCCTGTTTATCCAGACAGTAGCTTTGCAGTACACTAAGCCCTGTTGGGTGTGGGCCTGAGATGGAGTCTGTGGTCTTACCGGTACTGGCTGGGACAAATTTGAAAATCTGTAGGAGAATATATTACATGAGCAGAAGCGCAATGTTCTGATCAACCAAATATTCTGTTTAAGAGGGGGAAACATTGCATTTAGAATTTGGGAATAAAGAAAGATGAGCTGGGTGTGGTGGCTCACACCTGTAATCCCAGCACTTTGGGAGGCCGAGGCAGGTGGATCACCTGAGGTCAGGAGTTTGAGACCAGCCTGACTGACATGGAGAAACTTAAAATACAAAATTAACCGGCCGTGATGGCGCATGCCTGTAATCCCAGCTACTCGGGAGGCTGAGGCAGGAGAATCGCTTGAACCCAGGAGGCGGAGGTTGCAGTGAGCCGAGATTGCACCACTGCACTACAGTCTGGGCAAGAAGAGTGAAACTCTGTCTCAAAAAATAAAAAAAAAGAAAGAAAGATGAAATGCTATACTATCCTCAGGGAGAAGAAATAAACAGGCGATTCAAGATTCCTGAACGACAAAAATAACCATCATCTGAGGGTGTGAAGTGCTGAGAGAGAGAGAAAGGTGATGGTAGCATAGCATGGAGTTAGGGGTAGTTCACCAGGTGCTGATGGCCTGTGTGTTCCATTTCATAAATACAACAGGTGCAGCTGTGCTGCCAGGTGCTGAGGGTTGTGCTAGCCACCACCTAATAGACCTGAATCTTCCCTTGGGCCCCTTAGAACAGTGGTCCCTAACCTTTATGAGTCTTCCCTCAGGCCCCTTAGAGCAGCGGTCCCCAACATTTATGGCACCAGGGATCGGTTTCATGGATGACAATTTTTCCAATGACCAGGGAGGGTGGGGGGGATGGTTTGGGGATGATTCAAGTGCATTATATTTATTGTGCATTTTATTTCTATTATTACATTGTAATATATAAAGAAATAATTATGCAACTCACCATAATGTAGAATCAGTGGGAGCCCTGAGCTTGTTTTCCTACAATTAGTTGGTCCCATCTTGGGGGTGATTGGAGACAGTGGCAGATCATCAGGCATTAGATTCTCATAGGGAGCCCACAACCTGGATCCCTTGCATGTGCCGTTCACAATAGGGTTCACACTCCTATGAGAATCTAATGCCGCTGCTGATCTGACAGCAGGTGGAGCTCAGGCAGTAATGTGAACAATGGGGAGCAGCTATAAATACAGATGAAGCTTTGCTCACTGGCCTGCTGTTCACCTCCTGCAGTTCAGCCTGGTTCCTGACAGCCTGCAGACTGGTACTGGTCCAAGGCCTGGGGGTTGAGGACCCCTGCCTTACAGGAAAGTTCTTCTTTTGTCATTCGTATCTTGGAGGGAAAATGAATCTACACTTTGGCAGGTGTGGCTCGCGCAGTGCCTGAGTTTACCACCCCACCTCTAGCCTCGGGGCAGAAGCGGGGGCCATTGGACTCCATTATTAATTCTTCACTTCTGAAATCAGACTTCCGTTAGCACCTCCGGCTTCCATAACTAAGCACTACAATCCAGATGTCTTACGCAGAAATGATTCCCTCGTGGGGCAAAGGCCAGAAGTCCAGGACCATGGTGTTGGCAGGCTCATATTTTTCTTGGGGGCTCAGAGGGAAAATCTAGTCTGTGGCTTTTTCTAGCTTCTGGTGGTGGTGGCAACTCTTGGTGTTCCTGGGATTAGAGATCTATCACCCCAGCCTCTGCCTCTGTAGTGCCACAGCCTTTCTCCCCCGTGTGGTCTGGGTCTCTTACCATGTGACTGGTAAGGCATCAGTCACATGGGATTAGAACCCATCCTATCCTAATATGATCTCATCCTAGCTGAGTGTATCTGCAAAGACCCTTTTTCTGAATAAGGTCACATTCACAGGTACTGGGGTTAGGACTTGAGTGTCTCTTTGGGGGACACAGCCCAACCCACTGAGGTTTTATGACTGGGGGATCCTGGGGCACTCTCCACTATCCAAGTCCATGAGGCTGATGGGCTTTGTCCCCGCCCACCTTCTGTGGGTTGTTCTTGGGTGGCAGGGGTGTTGGGGGCACCGACCCAGCCCCCGTGTTGCTCCGGTCCCTCTGTGGCCTCTTCATGTTCGGTCACTGCTGAGCAGCTGCAGGGTGAGCATCAGCTCCCAGAGGCTGGAGCTTCCCACCCTCCCACACGGCCCTGGTGGCCGGCAGTGTGCCCTTCCCTCCAGATAATAATGAAGATGTTACGGGAAACAAACCCTAACATTGACCTTTGCAGCCCCTCGTGAAACACCACTCCCTGCCCCCGCCACACCGACCCGTGCATGGCTGAATGTCATGTATCCTTTGTCTCTGATCTTTGAGTCGGTTTCCGGTACATGAGACTGTTCTCATCCAGGCGGGTTCAGACCATTTGGCAAGAATAATTTCCCAAGCCTGGTATTAGATGCTGCACAAAAGTCTAAATACATAATGCATCTAGCCTCGGATTTTGTAATTCTGTCACCCTCAAAACAAGCTGTCAAAACTGTCTGGCATGACTTATCCTTAATAAATCCCTAGTCCTGTTAATTGCTCCTTATTCCACTGAATAAGAATTGTTTGAATCCACAAATCGGGTAAAGAATGGAGGATAATGGGATGTGTTTAGAGGATTGCAGTGTTTTTCCCCCAGGACAAAAGGAGCTAGAAGACACAGTGGGCACCGTGCAGCTCCCATACAGGGAGGCTGGATTTAATGTGCTTCAGCTTTGAGTCTGGCTGTTTTCAAATGGTTCTTTCCATAGAACGTTTGGCAGGAAAGTGATACATTGGTTGTCTTGGAAAAAGAGAAGGGAGGCTGAGTTCCGTGACACTGATTGTTCTAGAACCCATTTGGGGGCACCTGCCTGGTGCTATGCGTGACTAGCGTGCTGTAAGAAGTAACCAGGGGAGTGTGCATGGTGGTGTAGACAGGTATAGTGGCTCTTACGAGGACTGTGGAGGTATCCCAGCACCTCCATGAAGACGAGGTGCTCACCCCCTCTGGCCCTGACACTCAGAGAAAGGCTTTGGCTCCAGATAGACCTGGTTTATCTTCTGGCTTCAGCATCTAACCTGGTTTTGTGACCCTGAGCAAGAGACTCACCCTCTCGAAGGCTGCGTTTCCTCCTCTCTGAAGTGGGGTGGGCCGCCAACCTCAGGGTAGGAACTGGAGCTGGGATGGAAGCCCCCAGCAGGGACACCCTGACATGGCTACTGCCCACCCACCTTAGGCCACGAGGAAACCAGGTCAACAGGCACTTACAGAGTGTGCGCCACATGATGGCATGGGCAGAGACATGGCCTGGCGTGACAGTCACACCCTGGGCCTCCCCCACTTTGAAGTGTGTCTCAGGGCCTCGGTTTCTTGGCCTACAACATGCGGTAGCGATACCCACCCCGCCAGGCTGTCACAGAAGACTGCACCTCTATATGTGCAAAGCCCCATTCATGGCTCCTGGCCCAGAAGGCATCCTCAGTCAATGCCAACAGGTAGAAGATGCAGCGCCTGGGTGAGCACAGCCCGACTCTCCACGTGGTGCCGCAGCTGTGTGTGTGGATGCATGTGGGCACGTGTGTGCACGTGCGTGTTCAACACGTCTAGAGGAACCTCGGTTGTGCCCACTAGGAGGAAAGTGCTGTTGGCCTCCAGAGAAAGGAAGATGATTTGGCAGGGGCATGAGCAGTTGGGGACCTGCCCTTCCGGAGATAGGATGATGTCAGCCGCAGGGCAGGGCACAGGTTGCAAACTGCAGGTGCAAGGCCGCTGAAGTGAGGCTGGCATGCTGGAACCTGGCAAGCATCTTCTCTAAACATAGTCCATAGCTCAGGGTGCCGGGTGCCAGGCCCCTGCCACCACTCTGCTCAGCTGGGGACAGTACGCAAATGTGGGCGCAGCTGTGTCCCACGAAACTTTATGTATGGACAATGAAATTTGAATTTCACATCATTTTCATGTGTCATTAAATATTATTCTTTTGACCTTTTTTCAATCCTTTATAAATGTAAAAACCAATCTCAGCTCATGGGCTGTACATAAACAAGGCGGCGGCCCAGGGACTCTGTATAAGAGGGAGGCTGCCGCCTGGCGATTTCAGGCCCAGACCACAAGTGCTGGGAGGACAGGGACCCCTTCACTTTGTCCACTGCTGTATCTTCACATCCAGCAGGACCCTTGTGCAGAGGGGATGCTCAGGGGCCATGAGCAAGCAAGGGGATCTTAGCGTTTGGCTTCATGGCGTGCACTAGACTTTCTACTCTGGGGAGGTTCTTTGTCTGTCATTCTTGGGTCCCCTGCATGTAAAGAAACCTGGTCCTTCCCATTAGAAACACCACTTGTTTTTGTTCATGTCAGTCCTTCGCACAGAGCTCCTGGGTGGAGTTTACGGAATGCATGTGATCTCTACAATCACAGAGCCCCATCGGCGACTTTCCTGGAAGGCTCGCTCCACCCACAGCCGAGGATTCTTGGGCCTGGAAGAATACGGGACTAAGATTTCTTCTCTTCAGGAGCTTCTGAGGGGAGGGGAGCCAGCCTTCCTTCCTTCCTTCCTTCCTTCCTTGCTTCCTTCCTTCCTTCCTTCCTTCTTTCTTTTTTTTTCATTCTCATGCCTCAGCCTTGTGAGTAGCTGGGATTACAGATATGTGCCACCACGCCAGGCTAATTTTTATATTTTTAATGGAGATGGGATTTTGCCATCTTGGCCAGGCTCATATTGAACTCCTGACCTCAAGTGATCCGCCTGCCTCGGCCTCCCAAAGTGCTGGGATTATAGGCATGAGCCCCTGCACCCAGTCAAAGGGGAATGTTTCATACCCCAAATTTAGAAACATAACCCTCTTTCAAGATCTGGGTATTAACGAACATAAAGAGAACCCTTAGTCCAATGCACAGCATCAAGAGGGAAGACATTTAATGTCATTTTGAGATTATTAATTTTTAAATAATGAAAAAGTTTTGTTCAAATGGAACAAAATTATCTCACATCTATCTGCTTTTTAAAAAATAAGCAGGGGCCAAAATGGAAACAAATGACGTGAAGGACTTAAAAGAGACAACTGCTGTAATCCCAGCTACTCGGGAGGCTGAGGCATGAGAATCACTTGAACTGGGGAGGCGGAGGTTGCAGTGAGCCAAGATCATGCTATTACACTCCAGCCTGGGTGAAAAGAGTGAAACTCTGCCTCAAAAAAAAAAAAAAAAAAAAAAAAAAGAAAGAAAGAAAGAAAGAAAAAGAAAAAGAGACAACTGGTGGCCACTCCCAGCAGGCGCTAAGAAATGCCCTGGGACCGCATGTGGGTGCTCTCGGCCGGCACAACGAAGCTCACACTATCTGTCCTTCTACCATGGGCTCTCGCCTCCAAGTGGAGAGGATAAACAAGAGCCAGAGGTTTCAGAGGAATCCCAAGCAATGAGCTGCCTGTTCCTCTTTCGAGAGGGGAGACCATTACAGAAATTCACAGTGTGATTTGGCTTGCAGCTTATTTTATAGATGTCTCTGTCTTAGCTGAGCACTCTTCCATTCCTCGGCCAGAAATATGAGCATACGGGAATGTATACCTACGGCGACCTAGTTACCCCAAACTTAGGAATATGTTCCGCAAAAATAATTCTACAGGAAAAAGTGATACAGAAATCCTCATAGCAGAGTTACTGATCATTTTTAAAATGTTGTCAATACCCCAAATGTCCCAAAGTCAAGGAACTATGAGAGGAGCTATGAATTCTTATTGAGCACTCTGTTACCACTAACTGTGGATATGGAGGCTGTGTAATACCACGGAAATGTCTGAATTCAGTGTGAATATGTGGGGTGGAGGATAGAGAATGAGAGCTACATGTGGGTGAAGGCTGGAAAGAGACACTTTGATTTGTCAGGATGCTAAGATTGTGAGTTCATTGTTTCCCTTCAGGTGTGAATTTCATTACTTGAGTAAACAGGCAAACAACACAAAAGATTTTATTTAACAGGAACAATATTAACTTATTAATAGTCTTTTTTTTTGCCACCAATAACAGGTCAGGTTTGGATTCAATCTGTTCTTTATACTTTGCACCCATTTTTCTTCTTTCTTTCTTATTTATTTATTTATTTATTTATTTATTTATTTATTTATTTTTGAGACAGGGTCTTGCTCCATCACCCAGGCTGGAGTGCAATGGTGCGATGTCGGTCCACCACAGCCTTGACCTCCTGGGTTCAGGTGATTCTCCCACTTCAGCCTCCCAAGTAGCTGGGACCACAGGTGCTCGCCACCATGCCCAGCTAATTTTGTTTATTTTTTGTAGAGACAAGCTCTCACTATGTTGCTCAGGCTGGTCTCAAACAAGAGATCAAAGGATCCTCCTGTCTTGGCCTCTCTAGTGCAGGATTACAGGCACGAGCCACTACACCCAGCCTGCATCCATTCTTTCCAGTCTGGCAAAGATGGTATGAACCTGGGATCCAGGAAGCACTAGGCAAGCAGCAAGACACAGGTCACCCCTTTCCCGGCCCCTGGGGTGTGGTGGCCTCTTCAAACACTCCAGGTGTTCGCTGATGACCTGCCCTCTCTCTACCTGAAGTGATGACATGTCTGGTCACAGCCTATTCAAAACTTGGTATTTCTTAGACAAAAAATTTTGCAGCCAGGATAAGATGCGGTGTGTTAAGCATTGAAACCCATTTCTAAACTGGAATTGGATTTGGCTCTAGAATGACCTGAATTTGGTGGATCAGAGAAAACACGACCCCTTTTTCTTCCCGGCATTTCTTCCTGGATAGTCTGGCTGGCATGTGCCTGCGCAAGGTAGCCTTCCACCACACAGGCTGCCCGTCCCTGAGTACTGGAATCCAGTCCTGCAGGGTGAGACCCCGGACACCACTCTCCCACCTGGGGAGTGTGCTGCAGAAGACCAGAAATGCAGGAGAGAAAATAATGACACGAAGGATCTAAACAATTTTAGGAAAATGCCCAGCCTTGTAATACAGTAAAAGATCTTACTCTTAAGACAGGTGCCAGGAACCACTAAGATGCCATTTATCATCCTTCTCTGCTTCCTTGGTTCTCTTTGAGTGCCAGTGAAAGGTCCACCCTAGAGCTCTCATTGCTTTCGAATGCACAATATTCAGCACTCAAGACACTGGTAGTGCCTGGCTCTCCCAAAGGTGCCGTCTTTGTGCCTTTTGGGTCTGAGAACGGAGGCATCTTCTTCAGCTCATCCCAACATTGCTTGGAACAGGACAAGGCTGTGAATCAGGGTCTCTCTGGACCAAATGGCCCTTCCTCTGATCTCTGCTGCATGCTTTCTAGATAAAGCACAAAAGCAGAATATAAAACAGTCAGCAGGTAGCCACCCTCTTCCTCTTCCTCCTCCTCATCTTCCTAAACTAGCACTGCCCACAGTTGGCTGTACACACAAATCACCTGGGACTCTGCATGACTGATGAGCTCCCACGGAAGCCATGCTGCTGGCCCAAGGACCACCCTTTGAGCACTGTGGATCTGGCCACCCCTCCTGGCAGCTCCCAGATCCTGAGAGGATGGGAGGAGAAGGGTTTCGGCAGAGAGAGCTTCACGGGAAAGCTCTTCAATGCCCGCTGGTGTGAAGGGACCAGTGGGCCTTGGTTCTGGGTCATATGCAGGACGGTGTCCCTCCTCCTGCTCCTCACCTGAAGGGAGAGGACAGAAATCACTGTGCTGCTTAAATGCCTGCCACTTTAAAGGTGTTTAAGATCTAAGACAATGATGGCTATCGGAGATAAAATAAAAACACTGCACCTTTCTGTATCGCATCAAATGTTTTGAAGGATTTTCCAACCAATTACTTGATTAAGGTGGATATCATCGCCCTGGTTCTACAGAGGAGGATGCTAGAAGACAAGAAGATGTGTGGCTATCCCCGCCCATGGCCAGTGGATAAAAGTGAAGCCAGGCTAGCATTCAGGTGTTTGGGCGGACCCCGAGCCCAGTGCCCCCACTTTGCCGTGTTGCAGGAGAAATTCAGATGATGAACCATTTTTTGCATGTGCAGGTGCAGCCCTGCAGGGACCTTTGTGTTGCTTGGCGTGTGGGGTGGACCTGCTGGCCGCCTCTGCATGGTGTCCAGGCTTCCTGGAGGTGGAGTCACCTGTTCTTGGTGAATGCTCAGATCCATGGGCTTGGGCTGCACCTAGCAGAACTTGAGGCAGGAGGACGTCACGCTGTGACTGTGGATACAGCTGCAGCTGTATAACAAGTCCCACAGACAGGAGCCACTAACAATGGAAATTCATTCTTGCATGGCTCTGGAGGCTGGAAGCCTAGGATCAAGGTGTCTCAGGGCTGGTTTCTCCTGAGGCCTCTCCTTGGCTTGTAGATGGCGTCTTCCCTCTGCGTCCTCACATGGCCGTCCCTCTGTGCGTGTCGGTTTCCTAATGTCCTCTTCCTACAAGGACACTGGCCAGATTTGAAAAGGGGCCACCTCAATGACCCGATCTGATCTTAATCCCCTCTTCAAAGATCCTATCTCCAGATACAGTCTCATTCTGAGGTCCCGGGGTTTAGGGCTTCAACATATGGATTTTGGGGACATGATTCAGCCTACAGCTATGGCCCTACTTGGTCATTTGTGGAGGGCACGGCACATGCAGCAGCTGCTGCAGAAGTTGATTAGGAAATAGAATGCCCCAAGGACCAGCGGCCATGTCTCAGCTAAAGGCCAGGGTGGCGGAGACCCCAATCACAGCAGTTTCAGCCCATCTGCTAGGCCAACAGAGGCAACGCCCACGACAGCTCAGCCCAACCTAAGGGCTTCCCGGAGGGCTGCTGAGGTTCTAGGAGGCCGAGGAGTCACCAGGAGGGAACAGAAGGTGGCCAGGCGGGACCAAGGGAATGGCCCGAGTGTCACCCTGGGCCCAGGACATTCCTGGGGATGGCACACTGGGTCTGAGGCATTGTGACTGTAAGAAGTAGACTCCTGCTGGGCCATCACCAGCTTCCCGGTCAGCTGAGGTAACCCTTGCTCCTACTGGGTGACCCAGCGTTCTGGAGGCACTGGGTGTGCCCCAGGCTGGGGTCGCAGTCTTCTGTGTGGGTTTCCATCCAGCTTAGCCTGTGACTCCTTGAGGACACCGCGTCTCCTGGTCATACCGCAGCCTCCTCATCTGAGAGTTCCTATTGAGGTCCCCGCGGTTCCACTCTGGCTGTCATCCTGTGCCAGCCCGCTCCTCGCTGGCCAGCCCTGAAACACTGGGGTCCTCACTTGGGAAGTGGGGTTAAAAACTCTCATCCTCTCCCACTGAGACTGTTGTTTTGGCATAGGTTAAAGTAAATTTGATGCAAAAACTTCTCGAACACTGTTACTGAAACAACATAACTGATTTTTCACAAATGTTCTAGCCATATTCTGCCATCATTCAGAACTCTTGGGAATACCCCTCCTGAAACTGCCCTCTGGGTGGATGGTGTTCTTTAACTCTTGTCTCCCATGGGGGTGGATTTGACTTTTGAGTCACTTGTTTCAGGGTATGGTCAGTGGACCATTCCCTTCGAATCCTGGACACAGAATGAGTCCTCTTAGCCCTGAGGTCTATCAAGGGACAAAGACAAAGCAATAGACAGGGTGCATGTCATGCTTTAATCTGTGTAAAAGAGGAGGGGGGACACACACACGCGTGCACGTTCATTTGCTCACACATGTAGACACATAACTGGAATGTTTCTCACGGGAGGAGATCTGGGGGCCTAAGGGGTCTGGGGGAGGGATGAGCCTTAGATTTTACTCTACCCTTCTGTTCTTGTTTTTGTTTTAAAGAAATCAAATTGATGTATTACTTTTTTCCATTAACAAATGTTTTTAAAGAAAGAGCTGTCTTTCTAGACCCTGGGAACCAGAAAATGAACGCTCATTGAAAAGAGGCTCTACCCTCCCTGCTGCAGAGAAGCCTCATTTCATCCCAGTTCCAGACAACTTCTCCCTTTCCCCAGCACTCCTAGTCAGCAGCACAAATCTGCCAAGAGATGCACCTCCGAGAAATCCCCGAATCTCCTCGTTTCCCCCAGTCGACTCCCCAGGCAGCCTGGTCTCTCCCTCCACCCTCCACACCTCTCGATTTGTGACTGGACATCAGGGGGTCATGTCGGGCATCTGGGATGCACAGACACCCTGCGGTCCCCGGGTCCCTAGGGTGGGGGAGGTGAATCGTGTCTATTTCAGTGGGTGAGGCGTCTCCCATGGGGGGAGCCCAGCACCCTGCAGCAGCTCTCCAGGTGTGGCTTCAGACATGGCCTGGTGGTCTGGGAGGTGGAAGAGCCTCTTGTTCTAATCACCGAGGCCTGTTCTTAGGATGTGAAAGAGTTCCTGGCCGGGGCCGGGGGGGGGGGGGGCGGCCTTGAGACCAGGACCAGGGTGTGGAGGCCAGATGAGCAGGGACTCTCCTGAGGTGTGGCCCTGTGCATGGACCACAGGTCAGGAAGAGCAGAGGGTCAGGAAACCTTGAAGCCCCTCTGCTTGCAGCGGTCTCTGCCTCCCCGGAAGCCATACAATGTTTTCTGGTTTGCTTGCCAGAAGCCAGCTGGCCCCTTCTGCATAATCCATGTGTGTGCATGCATCTGTGTGCCTATATGCATGGCGTGGTGTGTGCGTGTGTGCAGTATGTGTGTGCTTTCTCATCTGTGAGATGAAGCACGCAGAATTTCCTGACTCATCATCCAGTTCATTTGTCCCTTTTCCTCTTAGATATCTAACATTTTTTATTTTATTTTATTTTATTTTACTTTATTTTTTGAGACAGAGTTTTGCTCTTGTTGCCCAGGCTGGAGTGCAATGGCGCGATCTCGGCTCACCGCAACCTCCACCTCCCGGGTTCAAGCGATTCTCCCGCCTTAGCCTCCTGAGTAGCTGGGATGACAGGCATGCACCACCACACCTGGCTAATTTTGTATTTTTAGTAGAGACCGGGTCTCTCCATGTTGGTCAGGCTGGTCTTGAACTCCCAACCTCAGGTGATCCACCCATCTCGGCCTTCCAAAGTGCTGGGATTACAGGTGTGAGCCACTGCACCCAGCCAGACGTCTAACATTTTATAAGGAAGTCTTGCCATATGCCCGCAAGTATTCAGAAGACCAAGTTGGGAAATGCCCCAACAGATTCCAAAAATAGGACTTTTCCGCTCTTCTAGGTTGGGGAAATGTTTTGCAGAGGTGGTTCCAAACGGATCATCACTCATCAACCATTATGTTCTCAGTAACAAGACGGTGAAACATGCAGATCTTTGTTGGGCAGAAAACTGTAAAATAAGGAAACAGTTGACGACAATCGATGACAAAGGGTTATATTATCATTAATTCATGTTTATTGGACTTCCACTGGGCACATGTTCTTTTCCAAAAATTTTATTTTAATTTTTATGCAGAATCACGGAAGCGTCCTCTTTTTAAACGTCGGAATTAGAGAAGTGTATTTGTCTGACATTAGATGGAGTTCAGTAAATATTTGTTGAATGAATGAACACATTCGCATCATGCTCCGTTTATGCCGCAATATTGTTGCCTCTGCCTTTTTACGTACTGTCACTTTCTCCTCTTAGGAGTTTTTGGAAAGCAGTAGGAGCCCTCTGAGCGGTGCCCACCGGAGGGCACAGCCAAGAGGTGCAGTGTGAATTGGGTGCCCAAAGTCCTTGCTTAGAAGATTTTTTAACAGAGGTTAAGCTTATGGTATTTTTCATGTGACAGATTGTATTTCTTTTCATTCTACCTAAAATGTTCAAAAATTAAAGGGTTTATTTTTCAAACTGGCAGAATACGTTTTAAAATAGGAAAGCAAATGCTAGTACCAATTTTGCATTTAATAATAAAAGGAAAGTGTGTTTTTTAACTTCATAAAGAATCAAATTGTTAGATGACCCCCATTTGGAAAGATCATTAATGTTGATTCATTACGCCTTTTTTTTTTCTGTTTGATCACTGTTAAGTTGAAAATAAGCTCCAGAAATTAAAAAGAAAAATGAATTCTGGAAAAATATCCCCCCAAAATCACATTGTTCTTATTTTATTACCTTTTTTTTTTGAACAACCTAAGCATATATGTTACTGGTAATGTCTGTGAGTAACAAGAACTGGAACACTTACTCGCAAACTATTTTGTTTTAAATAAGAATGACTTATTTCACTTTAATTATAGCAGGCAACATTTAGGTATTATTTTCATTAAGTATATTATTATTTGTGGTAAATTGTACTGAAACATTTGTGTTTTCCCCCCAAGGTCTTATGGACACCACAAATTCACGTGTTTAAATATGGAGTTTACGGTGGCTGGAAGCACTCCTATTAATTCCGTTATATGTGGTTTGGGCTCCCTAAATAATGTCTAGCTAAAACCTCTCTTATTACGTCCAGATGCAATTCATTTTTTTCTGATATACAGAACACTGGAAATGTATCAGCCTTTATTATTCCTCATCGAAATGAGTGCCTTTAGATTTCTAATTATATTGTCTAATAAAACTAAACAGTCAATGCTATTTGCATATTATATGAAGAAGTGTCATACAACAAACTCATAGCAGTCAATTAACATAAAAGCTAATTATATATCTCATCAGCTTACAAGAGTTTCTGAATTCATGCTTCCCCTGTTGTAGCCTAGAGCAAAGGAGCTTTGAATTTTCACTTCTAAATATTGACTTTTAACTAATATCAGCAGTGATTTCAATTTTTATGGATGAAAAGTTAGTGATTAAACTAGATGCAATATTGCTACAATGCAATTAAAATTTTACATTAACTAAACCTCTAGAAAGAAAATCTTTGCTACAATGTGAAATTAATTATCAGTCACTAAACAGGTTAAGTACTGGTTTCATATCTGAAGGACACTCCAAAATAACGATAAAGATGAGTGAAATTTATTGGAGGTTGTCAGACTGTAATGGGAGAGACAGATATACCACAACGACAGTTTCCACTGTAACATAATTGTATTCCTGCTGATTGTGACAGCTATCAAGCAAGAAATTTACTACAAGATTAACAGAGACACAGTAATGAACAAACATGGAGGCATGCTGTAATTGGCCGTTATTAAAGTGTTATCATAGAGGTCTGTAATAAACTCCCTAGCTCTTCTCTTCTGGAGAAGCCAAAGCCAGAACTTTCAAGTACTTCTTTCCACTCTAAAGTAGGGCTATGGGTATCTCCCCACCCCCATTCCATTGCTCACACAACAAGCACAGGGTCAGAAGAAACGTAAAGGGGGAGAAATAGGCACTGCATTTAGGAAGTATGATTAAGAGTTATAGGTGGGGTTCAAATCTGGGAAAAGTTAGGATTGACTTGGAGTGCTTGGGTACTCTAAGATAGCAATGAAATTATCATGGATCATTTTTCTACTTATAACTTGTACCAAACAAGTCCATATGTAAAAGCAATGGCAGATAAGAAAACTGTGCCAGTGCGTGGGTTTTCTCTGGCTACACAGGCCTTCTCATTCATATTTTAATGAGGTTAGTATCTCTGAGACAGTCCTTGGAGGGCAGAGGCAAGGCTCCCTAAGATTACAATAGGAGGTGCTTTATTGACAAGTACTATTCAAAATCTTCACAGTATAGAAAGACTTCGTTTTATTCCACTTGTCCCAATCCTTATTGGCCTCTTATAATCAAAACACTTTGAGGGGGAAAAAAAAGCCCAGTTATTCTGTGAACAGTCTTTAAATGTACTGAACGTAGTTCAGCTACTTAGAATCATTTTAAACTCTAATCATGTACATTTGAATAAATGTATAAAGAGCTGTAATGCATAAGTATCTTTTTCTTAAATACTTTCTCAAAAAAATTGATGCTTTGGGATTTCAGGATCAAAATTTTTCTTAATCTTCTGCAAAAATGAACTCCACTCGTCTCATGCTGGCTGTTTTCCCTTTCCTGTTTTTAACGAACATCGTAAGGTAGTGTCTCCGAGCTAGCTGCCAGCAAACATTTTCTACTTTTAAAGAATGTTTACTCTAAAGGGCTAGCGAATCACATCAAAAAGCCAGTCAGCCTTCATAGACTGACAAAATTGTAGAAATTCACACGTTTGTACCTTGCCATAACATATTTGTGTTAAAATAGGCAAAACAGTAGCATATTCAAACATGTCAAATTACACTTTCAAAATAAAAACAATCCACTGGTAGGTAGAAAGTTTTAACATGGGGAACTGTTTCCAAAAGGTGCAACCTAGGAAATAAATCAAGTGGCCCACAGAAGTAAGTTGTGGAAGGCCTTCCACACACAAACATTACAATTTTGCTCAAAACTTATATGCTCAGCAACTTTTGCAAATAGCTCACAATGTTCTGTGAATTGAAAAATTAGTTTTCAGCGTGGCCTCTACTCAACATGAATTAAGTGGTGTATTAGGATGGAATTTGGTGTTCTAATGGAAGGAAGGCCTAAGTTTCTGAAAGCCCCCAGCGATCAGACCCTGGTTCCTCCTGGCTCTGTCCCCATCCCCCCAAGTATCAAGTATGTTTACTTTTCAGATGGGAAACGAGAGTGGGGGAGGGAGGAAGGAAAGGAGAGAGAGAATGAATTTCTTGATTACAGTTAGATATTTTTAAATGACAGCGTCTACTCTTCACTTTCAAGTAAAATGCTACTCTGTTGACATCCAGAAACTACTATGAATATATTGTATATGTATCAGCTAAGGAAATAATACCTAAAATACATGCATCACAGAAAAAGAAAACCTCCGTAATCTTTCCGCTAATGATCTGTCTTGATTAAATTACATTTTAAAATCTGCCTCTGCATTTTATAGTTTTTCCAGTGATTAATACGTGTTTAATTATTTGTTTCTGTAAATTAATAAAACAGATTTTCAGTTTTGTTTGTTAATCTACGTATTCTTTGCATGTTTTACAACTTAATGAAAATTAATGAACGGCATAATTAAAGCGTAAGTAGAACGCTACTTGTGTTTGAAATGTGCACTTTGAGCCACTTAGGCTGCAGTTTTTGACTGTAGACATTTTTAGCGATTAAAACATTCATGAGTTTTAAAAGCGTGGTATTTGAGTGATTAGATACGTGTGGTGGTATATTCTATTAAATAGTCCATAAGCTATTTAACTTCCGATTCGAGTGCCTGGGCCTTGAGAGCAGCTCAAAATCAAGCTCCAGCCGAGTCGTGGGGGAGAAGGAGGGATGTTACCTGTGCACAGGGGAGGCGCAGCTGATAGTTAATCGGCGGCGGTATTTCTCTGACGCGTCCTCTTCCCAAGTTTCTTTTAGAATGTTTTGACAAAGTGGCTTCCTTATTGAAACGGGGGGCGCCGGTGGCGATGCTGGGTGGTTTGTAATGGAACCTGGGTCTCAAGAACACAAGCGCACCCTCCGCCCGCGCTTTCAAGGGGACGCCGCCGCGCCGCTGATGAGATTTGTGGCCAGATGGCGGTGAAGCGCGGAGACCCTTTGTGCGCCCCGAGCGCGCCTGTGAATGTAGCGCGGCCGCTGGCACCGGAAGGGTTCATACTGCGCCTGAAAGGGGACAATGGAGGCTGGATAGATCAACACTGCAGAAATCGAGTTCATTTGTGATTCAGCCCCTTTCACTGCGGTTGTCATGCAAACTTCCTACTTTGATCAGCAGAGGGTGGAGAGGGAAAAAGCCCGCAAAGGCCCGGGCTGCGGCGCGGTCCGGCGCCCTTGGCGGCTCCACGCCCCCTTCCGGAAGGAGCCGCGGGGACGCCGCATCCTGCACCTTGACCTGTCTAGACGGCCCCGAACGTTTTGTCTCCGTTACCAAGGGCGAGGGGTGCTCTTTGACCCGCGCCCGGGGCGGAGGTGGTGGCCAAAGGGTCCAGCTGAATCCTCGCCGAATTCCGGAGGGAGAGGGGCGCGCGGGGACGTGCACCAGCTGTTCCCAAAGAAAGCAGCCGAGGAGCCCGCCTGGGAGATGGGGCGCCCGTCCGTGAGCCCCTTCCTCTCCCAGCCCCACGTCCACCCCAGCCCGGGCCATCGCGCGGCTGCAGCGTGGGGGACGCGCAGCCAAGGGCAGCCCCGGGGAGGGCCAGACTTTGGGCCTCCCCAACTTCTCCCCGACTAAGGGGATCTGAAGCCAGCTGAGCGCGCGCTCTCTCTCTCGCTCTCTCTCCCTCCCTCTCTCTGTCTCTCCCTCCTTTCCCTCTCTCTGTCTCTCTCCCCCTCCTCTCTCTCTCCTCTCTCTGTCTGACAAGTAGATGGATAATAACTGCCATTTTCTATGCGTCATGCTTTTTGCTACATGCTCAGTGATTTCTAAACATGATTCTATGTAGAGGTATAGTTTCTAGTTTGAATGTATTTTTTTTCTGGCCACTTTGAAATATATGCACTTTTAAAAAACTGGAATTTACGCTAGCCCCGTAATGATGTAAAGCAGGTCGTTGTTACATTGTAATAACAATCTGCGGTACCGTCTTCTGGGCCCGTGCTAGGGAAGTGGCACACGTTTGCATTCAGGGAGAGTGTGGCGTTTCCATGTGGACTCGCCGGAAGGTCTTTGAAGTAACATTAACATTAAGACAAGTTTCCTCGCCCTGTCTTTCTTCTTAGATCCCCCTAGCTCAGTCGGAGGCGTTCCTAACGGATCTTTTGGAGAAAGTCTGTGAGCGAATGAACGACTACAAGCTTGAGGAAGACCCTGTGACGAAGGAGAGAACTTTCAAGAGATTCGCTCCTAGGAAAGGAGACAAAATATACCAAGAATTTAAAAAATTGTATTTTTATTCTGATGCTTACAGACCTTTGAAATTTGCGGTAAGCTCTCTTCCTTGCAGATGAATCGTATGATCCAGAAACGTGTTTTTGGAACTCTTTTTTGTTGTTTTCTACTCTTGTTGTGGTTGAGTTTCAAGACATGGAACATCAAAATGCACATTAAAATGTCATCTGCTGACTTTGTTGTCTTGCTGCTTAAGTGCTCACCATGCGTTTAGTAACTTGACTTTTGAGACACCTAAGGGGTTGTGGCAATTTATGGTGATCAATGGACACGTCTCAGTGATACTTTACGGAAGGTGCTGTGCACAAGTCCCGGGGACTTTAAGACAGTTTTGCAGAACGTTTTGCTTAAACCATTTTGCTCGTGTGGGGACTCCAGAGTGGTCTTAGTCAGTGCTGGTGCAAGGAAGGTCTCTCACAGGTTTCCACATAAGGAATCAGGGGCTGTGGTTTCTAGGTTAAAAGCCAAATTAAAACGAATGCCGCTTTCAAATATCTACAGCCAAATGACAGAGGGAGAGTGATGCAACCACCTCTTTTTTTCTAAGGCTTGACAGAGGAGGGAGAATTGTATCCTGAGTTAATTCGAATATTCTAGCCCAAACTAAGTTAAACAAAGGCTTAGGTATGATAGTTAGCCTGATGCCAAATTTCCTTCCAGTGTAATGTTGATTTTTTGTGAATGCTAGTCTCTGGCTTGCTAGAATATGCTTGGCAAAATACGTTGCAATATTTTTCACTTTAGTCAATGCTGTTGAATCAGACAAAGTGATGGGCAGTCCTGTTTTAAAAAATGTATTAAGTTCACACATTGGCCAAAATACCAGGCCTGCTGAAACCTTGAAATAAGGGCTTTAGCCGATTTTTAAAGATTTTATTTTAACTAGAAAGTAAAGGCAATAATCAGGGTTAAAAGTACTACAGAATAAGAATGACAATGAATACGTGTGTTTGTATTTCACAGGTTTTAAATAGGCACATTAGAGTCGAATTTAAATCTTTTAAAATGCCATTAAACATTTTTAGAGTCTTGCTTAATGAACTCAGAAAATGATTTACAAGTCTCTGGTGAATACCACTAGGTAACTTCACAGCTCCCGAAAGTATAACCTGGTAGTTCCTTAACAAAGAAACATACTTCAGTTAGAATTTAAGATTTTCAAATGCAGGGGTGTATTTGAGCACCCTCTTCTCTGAAAGGTCAGGTATTTTTTTTTAAGTGAAGTGAAATGTTGGATGGATCTCTAAACAGCATGAAAAGACACCTCCCGAAGTAACTGTCAAGGGTGTTCTCCACAGTGAAATTGAAGATGCGTTTGTTTTGATTGCTGAGAAGGCTTAATTGTTTTCACACTTTCAAGCCACAAAATGGATTATTATGTTAAATCACAAGGAAACTGGTTTAATCATTTCGGGGAGCTGTGGTCTTCTTTTTTTTTTTTTTTTTTTTTTTTTTTTAGTTTAAAAACCGTTGGACTTTTCAGCTCCTTCGATAGGAGGTCCATTTCTTCCTATGACTTCCAGTCCGATTTAAGGAAGCGAAACATGCAAAGAGATGTTCCTTCCTCAGGCTCCCATGTCTTCCAACACAACTCATCATTTACTTAAGCCCCAGGAAAATGATGCAATTAACATTCTGGGAAGAGGGTTAATCCAATGCAATGATGTATTAAACCAAAAGGGCGAATAAAAATGGACCACCTTGGTTACATGATTTCCTATGTTTAGCTAATAAATTGTTGCAAAGTCCTTCCTAACAAAGTGCCCCGCCAGTGTGCGTCTATCCACATATGTTGTTATTATGTTTCTACAGTGTGAAACTATAATAGAAGAGTATGAAGATGAAATATCCTCACTTATCGCCCAGGAGACACACTATCTAGCTGACAAGCTGTGCAGTGAAAAATCAGGTACTGTGTCTGATGTAACATGTGCTCGCTGCTCGCACACCCTCTCTCTCTCACTCAGCCTTGCAGCGTCTTGTTTGCAGACCGAGCCTCGCTGCCTCTGCGATCCACGGCTCTGACACAGGATCCCCCGTCTCCGCTGAATCAGAAACGACAGCATGTGAGAGAAAACAGATAAACAGAAACCACAGGGCTGTGTGGCCTTCCTCTTTGTACTTTCTTTCCTCTATATATTAAGTGAATTCAAACATTCTTGATTTCCAGTTAAGGAGAAAATTCTTGTTCAGAATTAGAAGACTCCAAAGCACTTTCTTTTTAAAAACTTTGAGAGAGAGGATTTTTCCATCCTGGACCAGGGAAGGAGACCCTCACTTCATGGCTTGAGTATCTGCTACAGCAGCAGAAGGTGCGATTTTTATTTTGTAAGAACTTTCTAAAGTTTTTTTGTTTGTTTGTTTGTTTGTTTGTTTGGGGGGATGCTGGATTTTTTTCCAGGTTCCATTCCTGTATCTACTTCTTAAAAAAAATTTTTTTCTGGCTCAGAGGGTGGAAAATAATAGTTAATTCTTAAGCATATACACACACTCAGAAGCTGGAAAAAATGAGCAGAATTTTATTTATAATATACAAAGTTGAAAGCGATGGTCACTGACTCTCCGCTCTGTTGGCTGTACGTAGACCTTCTAGTCCCCTAACTTGGATGCTTGTTTAATACATTTATAAGAATGGAGTACACAGTTGTGCATTCTTTTGGATATCTTTGGGAAGAAATGAGTGAGTAGATATGAAGACAATGATTTAAAGCCAGTGGGGTACTTTTAAACAATGTGGAAGTTTGAGACAATTAGCATTCAGCAGTTGTTTACAATAAAGTATATAATACACCTACATCCATTATATCAAATGTAGTGCCAAAGTCCTTAAAATAACAGCTACTGAACATTTGTAGATAAATATTCATGTCATCAAAAGTTATTAAACAAGAAGTACACAAATCTCCCATTAACAGAACAGGTAAAGTTTTGTTTTTTTTGTTTTTGGTTTTGTTTTTGTCTTTTTTGCTTATACTCTGAGTAGATAATTGGGTTGTTTCTGTTTAAAATCCAGTTTTAATGAAGCTTGCAAAAGAATACAGTGAGACGACGTAGTCAGGATTATTCAGGCATTTGGGGTATTTTTCTTTGATGTGGGAGATATACTATAGAAATGTGTGATGTCCATGACCACAACTTCCCACAGGAAATGTTTTTAAAGTGTTTCAAACAATTCAGAGATGTATGTAGGCATTCAGATAGAAGCAAAAATGTGATGAACAATATTTGAAATATTAATTTCCCTATTTTTTCCTCATAAAGGACGTGGTCTATGACAAACGCAGATCCACTGCTACATGGGCCCTCTCTCAGATGCTCCAGGAGGACTAGAGAGGGTTCCAGTAACTAGTCCCAGCAGTAGTCACCCCGAATAATAAGATCCTGGGGAAAGACTGCTCCCAAGTTTGTCAATTTGACTTAATTTCAATAATCTTAACTACCTTTCTTCATTCCTTCTGCATATTTATAATTGGAATAAAACTTAACACTAACCTTGAGAAAATGCAAGCTGAAAGAATAAACCTAAGATAGGTGCAATTTTGCAAGTATAAAATGAAACCTGATGAGATAATTCTTAATTGGCATTTGATTTTTAAAACACTGATTAAGTCCTTACCACTATGAACAGCAGTACTGGAAGTAAAAGGTGTAAAAGATACTCAAAGGTGCAAGCCACCATTGAGCCGCTACGTAGTGAAGCGGGGTGAGTCCTTTCAGGTAATGTTTCTTCATGAAACATATTTATGGGTGTTCTAAACCACTCATAAGTTAAAAACCGAGAATAAATTAATCCTAGAGAGAGACTGGACTTCTCCCACCCACTCAAAAAGCCCTACTGTTGAAGTGAGTTAATAGCACGATAACAAGGAAGAGAGCTTCTTCAAACTGAACAATTTTTGCTAGAAAAAGCTCAAGCAACACATCAATGATAAAAACTCTGATAAGTGACTGAAGCAACAGAGAATTCATGCATCTTAACACATTGGGATGGTTTCAGACAACTGAAGGGTGAGATGTTCGTACCGTAGAAGACTCCAGATGCACTGGTGCCTAATCTAACATACAAGGACAGCCAGTTTACAACCAGAATATGACAGTCATACTCTGCTTTGTGAAGGCGATACTTTTCCTTGTGATCTTGCCCAACAGCTTTGCTGTGATAGACACTCCAGAGTTTAAACAGTGTCTTAAAGATGTGACTGTGTGTGTGTGTGTGTGTGTGTGTGTGTGTGTGTGTGTTGGGGGGTATGAAACTGCACATTAAGCAATAACTCTTTACTGAGTGTATACTACGTGCAACGCTCTATGCTGTTAAAATATTCACACACTGCTTTTAGGAAGATAAATATTTAGAAAATAGACATTGGTAGAATTAGAGGTTTTATTGAAACTTTAGTTCCTTTCTACACTTTACATACACCTTGTTTATATATGAGTTTCGCTTTTTTTCTTCTTAATGTAGATTATTTCTCTTTATTTATAATAATCACATGCTGGCAAGTAGGGCACATTCACAGACTCTTCAAAATATTGAAGTTCTAACATTCACCAATACACAAAAATAAGTGGGGAAGAATGGAGAAAATATATATGTCAGATTTAAGATGATTGTGTTTGGATGAAAATATAACACATCACTGAGACTTTCATAAACATTATGTGTCATTTTTTTGATGAGTGAAAAAAAATATCCATGAAAGGTTATAGGATTACAAATGAATCTGTGGCTGCCACTGCAGTTTATATACTGGATAGAATAAAAGTCATCAAATGTACTCTGTTTTTGGAGTGTGAGACAGAGTAACAGGGGGTTATTCCTCAGATAATCTCTTTTTTTCCTAGGCAAGACATAAAGGCAAGTTCATTAGATGTTCCTGGTGGAATATCTTGGGGCATATAGTTCAGACTTCTCCAGAATGTCATTTTGATGTCTTGGAGTCAAAATGATTAAAATCTTAATGTGCTATAGGGTCGTGATGAAAAGTGCAGCTCTGTGCCACTCAAGGTATGGAACAGAGCACTGTAACTTAGAAATGAATGGATCTTCTAATACTCATGGAAGTATTTGTTAAATAGAATATATGAAGGCATAAATAAATACACAAATATATTCTGTATGTATCTCTTCTGCTTCCACATCAAACCTTAACATTTAAAAGCATCATCACTGATGAATTTGCCACATCACAATTTCAAATGCAGCGTATGAAGATGAGATCAAGTATCTAGAAATGTTCAGCCTACATTTAAAGTAAAAGATTTTTCCCTTTTTATGTAGACTTCTCAAAACTAATGGGAATGTTAAATTCTAATATGTAAAATAATTGCTTTCAAAGGCTAGCATATTTTTTAAAAGTTATGTAGCTAAAGTAATCCATAGCCTTTTTCGATAGAGTTTGCATTAATTGCTTCCAACTGGAAAAGTAGCATTATCAAAGTATCTAGTTGCTTCTGTGGTCCTTGGGTTAAATGCCAGATGTCCTGTGCCCATTACAGGCTGTGAAATATCTCTGAGTGGAGCCATGGGTGAAATGACACAATACCTTGGCCTTGCTTTAAATCCTAAAGCCAAAAAAGACTGGAATATGGGCAAGAACAGCAGTGTTGATCTTTGTTGAAGCTGGGTTTGGGGTGCAGGGGAATAGATTACACCCTTCTTTCTGCTTTTGGGTAATTTCTATAATAACATTTTGGGAAAATTTCCATAATAAAAGTTTTTAAAATATGCTTCTACCAGAACATAGTTTTTGCATAATGTAAATGACTTAACGGGCTGGAGTCTAAAGTGATAATGATGCTATCTACTTTTTTTTTTTTTTCCAGATCTGTGTGAAACTTCTGCTAATCATACTGAGCTCTAGGAGTGCCGTTCTGCTGGTCGTAGAGAGGAGTAAAGTCACACCCAAAGGTCAATGTCTGCATTTTATGTTTGCATGTTGTCTTTCATGATAAGAAAAATTTTGTCTCTTGTTTATACCGTGTTTGTCTCCGTTTATGATTCATTTTGAAAATCTGTTGGTTGACATCATGACAAACCCTGCGTTTTTTTATAGGTGAAGCTGAGGAGTACATGAAACTTAAATTAACCTTTGCAGATTTTGATAAATCAAGCTTGACAATAGAGGATTTAATTCTGTATTGAGGAAAAAAGCGAAGACATTTCATAAACAAAATAGGGATTTCATAATGTATGCTGCTTATTTTATAACAGTGTATGTGCACATATGCAAGCGCAGTGGCTGTCTGATAAGAACTGGATTTGAATCCTCAAATACTTGATTGCCTATAAATTTAAGGAAATACATGGCAACAAATTCAAAATGTGGCCTTCTGGGTGAGATATGGCTATTAGTGAAAGAAACCCACTTTTTATCAGGAATGAAATTAAAATTTTTAGAAACCACAAGTTTAAAAACCCATCTCTAAAATTTAGTGGAATGTGTAAAAACTAATGAATGCTTTAATTTATAGTAAACAATAATTATATTGGCCTCTCAAACACCATTCTGAGTTTAAGTGGCTTAGAAAGTTGATTTATTATTGCATCAGGTGTTAAAAGATGACACTAGTGATTGCGTTTTGTTTCGCTCCAAACTCTTCTGGCTTGTTTGTTTTTCTTCTAAACGTTTTTTTTTTGGCTCACATTTAGTGTGTTGAGTTTACTACTAAATAATCTACCATTCTTCTACAGGAATGGAAAAAGAGTTGGGACCTGGTGGGAAATTATCTTTTGGCCACACTTAATATACAAAGTCTAGTAACAATCACTCCCGGAAATTTCTTTATCTCTGTTACATTTGCATTCAATGGAATCTGACTTTAATGATTAAAAATGTCAGGGTATGGTCTACACCAGTTTCTAAAAAGAGATTCTCATTGTCTTTGGTGACAATCAAGTGGGTAGGATGCTACAAATCCCCCCCCCAACCCCCCCGACCCAAAACTCTTTGCCATATTGTTACTTAGTTGCTTAAAAAGCACATTATGTGTTTAAATCATTCTCCTGACTCTTCAGCAGGAAACAATTCTTAAATTTAGGAAAATTTACCAAAGCTAAGGGGAAGGGCTTTCCATGCCCCCTCCCCACCTAAACTCTGATTAAAAGTTAGTGAGTTAATGTCACTTAATTACTTGGGTGCTTCTTTTTTGTCTTGTCTGTGGCTGCTTAAGTCTGATGGCTCCTACATAACCCAGCGAACTCGCACCCGAGCTGACACACGATGGAAATAGAACTGAATAATAATTAACACTATTTTCCAGTAGGGTAGGACAATTGTTATTTAAAACATAGTCCCTATAGCTTTATTTAAACGTATCTAGTTAAGGTTAATTTGGCATTTAAAGTAGTAAATCAGGAACATTCTCCTAACTTGGATTTTCTTGGGAAATGCACTAAACAGGACAATTATTCCTGAAAACCTAGTGACCTTCACAGGAACATGGCGGGACCTGTGACACTAAGTAAGCTTCAGTGAAAACTGTTCACGGTCGTAACCGTAGAAGTGTTGCCAAATCTGTTTCCATACTCTCTTTGATCATCATCAAACATTCTCAAATGTAGGCAATGCTAACACTAATTATAGAAATTAAGAAAATGTGGGCTCCTGTTTGTAACTAAACGGACGTGGGGAGGTGCACCTCCTGTCACTGAGGGGTGCCTTTCATGGACAGTGATGCTTTGCTTTGAATGGAGAGGGCGAGGAACCTTGACTTACAGTGACTATCTAAGGTTGTGATAAATATGGCATTTCAGGTTTTTTTCTTGGATTTCCCATTAAAAATAGTCTTGTATCTTGCAAATTTTTAATATCTCATGACTTGTGTATTTTTTCTTTCCAGAATTTTTTCCAGATCAAACTTGCCAAACTCATGTAAATATTCGTAGCTTACAAAGTTACTGATTCAACCTGTATTTGAGTGATAACACCTAAACCACTGGATTTCTTCTGGCTTCAGGAAGTCTTAGGTTTCCCTGTGGGCCACTGTTAGGTTGTGCTGCTTTTGCTAATGAACAATGAGATAGAGTAGCTACTCACTTTAGCATCCTCCTAGCCACCTTGGTGCCTTGTAAGTCACATTTATTGACCAAAACCAAAATAAAACAAGTCATGGGGAGGAAACAAAAACAAAAACAAAATAAAAGAAACAAGGCAACATTATAGGGTGAGAGAACGTTTCTCAGAGTTGATGAAAAGCTGCCTAATTCTATGTCCAAAAAAAAATCCCTGGAAAAACACGGGGTGGGGTGTGTAATGCTTATTAAAATAATGAGGAGAGAAGACTTGTTTGAGGCTGCATGGTTTCAAATTGTTCTTTTATGAGATGGTTGGTTTGGGTCTCCATGAAGACACGTGAACCTGTTCTCATAAAAAAAAAAAAAAAAAAAAAAAAAAAGACCAAATTGGCTGAGATGGCCAGTTTATTTTTTGTGATGTGGATTACTATTTGCTAAGAACAAGCCAAGGACAATGAATCCATTTTACTGAGGAGTGGAGAGCGGGATTGTGCTGAAGTCCCAAACGGGAAAGATCAATACTTTATTTACTAAGACAACCCTAAAAAAATAGAGTCGATAGCTGGCTGTGCTTTTATATCTGTTTCTTGGCTTAGGTTGATATTTATTCACATACGTAATCACTATATCTAAATAAAAATGATAAACTATATATCAAGCTTAAAATTCAGATTGTCATGGAATATGAGAAAAGTCATTCTTAGATGTGATTTTGTGGTCTGTTTTAAAACTTGGTACAAATTTGTGAGCTAATGTTAAATGTGCTGAAGCTCACGCAAGAGGATATTGTATAGTTTGATACCAAGATGCAATTAACAATGATACTAAACCATCACAATATGAATGCACCTGTGACATACAAGTGTGTTATTATGATTCCCTAGCTATAATTTAATTCCCCTTTATACATTTCTTAAATTCCTCAGATTAGTTGCTTTTAGAGCAAGAAACCAAGTGGATAAAAAGATCAAATACAATAAATGAAATAGAATTATGGAAGTTGTAAAACTGTACTGCCCTTAAATGACCTAGGGAAAGATAACAGTAACTGATACTGCTCTCACGCAAAGTTTAACTTCTTGCCCCTTCCCCTAAATGTATGTTTGCTGAGGAGAGAGGCTCTGCTCTTTGTAGTCCACTTTTCACGATCTGCCCCAACGGCAGGAGGTGCTGATGATATTTAATATAATATTGGCTCATTCACTTGTGGGGCCATCACCAGAAACATGGGGCTTTGCTTCAGAAGGACAGTTTGTGGAAGAGGAGTCTTACATGTCACATACAGCTCTCTACCCTTCTGGGTTCTTCAGGAAAGTCCAAAATTAGATGGATGGATAAATAGATAAACAGATAGATAGAAACTTGGAAATGTAGATACATGCATACAAATACACAGACACGGACATACATAATAGAGAGAGGACACGGAGATCAGCTAGAGCTTCGAATTTCCAGTGTGGAGATCTCAGGGAAAAAATAGGGTCTTTATTTCTAATTCCTTAATTAAAGAAACATTCCTATGCTCCTTATCTTGGAGAATTATCTCAAGATTTTCATGAAAGAAAAAAAAATTACAGTGGACATAAAAAAGATTCTACCCTGCCACAGTAAGAAATTCGTAAAACATATTTAATCTCTTATGAAGTTGCTGGAAAACAAAAATGCCATGAGGCTGCACTGGAACTAGCTTAGAATCTTATAGTATGTGTCACTGTATGGAACATGGATTTCAGTAAACCATGGATTAGATAATTTCCCTCTAAAGCATAATAGCACAGAGTAAAAGCCCAGTACAGTAAGGTGAGCAGTTTGATAGTCCTGTTCCCTCAAAGCCACAGGGCAGGGGGAGGTTCACAAATCACAAGCTTAGTGAATCCAAGATGTGACCCAGAGGGACATGGCCTTCCCGTGGAGCTGATAAGGGCTCCAGTAACTTTCTTCTCCTTTCGGGATTGTTAACACACCAGCATCTAGGGAAGGCAAGTTACGTACTGAAGCATCGGATGCCCAATGTCCGCTGATTAAGCATGGCCAGGGCTCAGAAAGATCTGATATACTATAAGTAAAAATGTGAATAGCTATCTCAAACTTTATGAATAGCGATGTTGGCTGTGAAAAGTTAGACTGTGCTCCTGAGTTTGATATTAAGGGTTTGCCTCATAGCAGCTTTCTGAACAAGTGGGAATTTCTCTACAGCGTATTCTCTGATATTGGCTGATAAAAGGTGACTGTAATCCACGAGGTGACACCATTGTCAACAGAGACAGAGAAGATTTCAATCAGGCAATTTTCATTGTCTGATAGAAGTCATCTTCATGGCTCTGTTCTTCATCAAAGGGCACTGATGAACTACCTTCATGCCCTGTGGTTTACAGAAGAAAGCGGAGAACCAAAAAATAGACTATTTGGTCCCTATTAAAGATGGACCCTATGTAAAGCAATGTGGTATTAAAACAGAGTGAAATCTAATACAAATGTGGCTTCAACAAGTGTTATTAAATTATTAGACCTTTAGGTAAAAATATACCCTTGAATTGCTTTCATATGCAATCAAAGCCATGATGAAATATGAATGCCCTAAGATGAAAGGGTCTTGGGTGCATGCGTGTTTTGAAGCAGTGCCCCTAAGTGAGAAACAGGAAATGTTGCAGGTTAGCTCACTTTTGCATATGCTGTGGATACTGACACCTTGACCAGTTTCGAGAGTGGAAGCCACACTGGAAATCCTCACTCAATTCCAGGGATCTGGGTCAGCTGTGCCTGGTGGAGCTCGTGTGTGCCCGTGGGTGTGGTGTGGCTCTCTCTTTCCAAACCGCAAAAATCCCAACCGTTTTTGTGAGCATGCACTGGCCCTATGGCAAGATCCCACTGTAGAAAGATGGCTGTGTCAAGGTCAGAAGAGAGGGCTGATTGCAAGAAATCCCCTTCTGAAACAAAGCCCAGTAAAAAGATGCTGTTCCCCTTACTAACCAACGGGTGGACGCACAGGGGCTTCAGAGAGAAACACGTTTGAGTTTTTTGTTGTTGTTAAGAAATGCTTTCCTTTGTACCTGATGACTGAGTCTCAAGTCCAGGAAAATGATAGCATCTCTAGTTCTTGTGCTTCCCTTCTAGTAACTAGTGATTTATTAACACACCAGGGGCGTTTTCTCCCGTGCACTGACAGTGTTGAGTAAGGTACCTTCAGCCTCATACCTCAGCCCAGGCGGCAGCAGGCGCAGAGGCCCCAGCCTGGGCCCTGCATAGGCCGGCCGGGTGACCTAGCCCAGGGCCGGCTGGCCCAGGCGGAGCCCCTGGGCACAGGCAGTGAGGGCAGAAAGCCCAGGCTGGCCGCCGCGGCATCTGTGCCTCGGGGTCCCCTGGCTGTCCTGCATCCCTGCCGGGGCCCTTGAGCGTAGGCTATCCTCACCCCGCCAAGGTGGATCCCAAAGGAACAGACGCCACAGCGTAGGCTCAAACAAAGCTTTATCTCGGGGAGGAGGGTGAGCCCACTGCTTCCTTCCCTTTCATTCCCACATTGATTTGTACCTGGGAAAGGCCCCAGCCCAGCTCAGGGCCCTTCTCGCAGCTGGCAGAATGAGTCCGCGCTTCCTGTTAGTTATCAGTTACCACTGTCGGCACTGGAGAAGCGCTTCCCGCTGGGCAATGGAATGGAACCTGTGGTGCAGAATCCTGAGAAGGGGCTGGGGGAGCCTCCCGGTGATCCAATTCCGCACCCCTGGCTTGGGGGCAGTGCACCTCAGCCCCTCCAGGACTGTGGAACAGTTGGGTGGGGTCTTGCAGCTGAGCTTGGTAGCCGATGATGGTTTCCAAGTAACCACCGCTCCTCTTTGAGATTCCTCTTGGTTTAATCTTCCGCGCAGAACTCAGATGCCCGGCGGGCCCTTCTGAGCGCCCGGCCCCCTAAGACCTGCCGTGCTCACTGTTCTGAACGTACACACCCTTGCCCTTGGCCTTTTTGGGTTTGTGCTCAAATAAGCAAATACTCAGGAAGCCCTAGTGCACCTCAGGCCCCGTGCTAGGCGCCGAGAAGGATACAGGAGTGGTGCAGGCGGGGCACAGAGGTCCTCGTGGGGAGAGGGGCCCCCGAGGTCAGACCAGCACGGCGGGAGGGCGGCCTGTGCTGCGGCCTGGTGAGGACATTCAGTGTGGAGGGTGGTGCTGTGCTTAGTTGGACAGGGCCTCCACCCTGAGCTGCGGGGAGAGCAGGGACCACGAAAGACCAGGCCACTGGCTGTCTGGAAGCGCTGACACAAAACACCAAAATGGGAGAACTTTAAGGCAAAAAATGTGTTCTTTGGTTGGGTGGCCTGTGGTAGCCATGAGGGAAGGAGGCCAGGCCAAGAGCTCCAGTGATGTCGGGGATAAGGGAGCCCCTTGGAGTGTCCCGCCTGAGAACGAAGGAGTAAGATCAGTACCTGCTGGGAGGACCCGGAAGGGGACTTCCCCACACCCTCGATGGCGGCCCTGAACACCTCATCCAGTTGGAAGGACCCAGGAGGGGACTTCCCCCCACCCCACCCCCGATGTGGCCTGAATGCCTCACCCAGCTGGGAAGATCCAGAAGGGGACTTTGTACCCTCCCCCCACCCCATGGCAGCCCAGAATGCGTCACCCAGCCAGGCTTTGTCCTAGGCCAAAATCCAAGGCAAGTGTTCCCAGGCTGTGTGATAGAGAACTTTTCCTGATCTCAGGTGGGGTCTTGGTTTTGCAGGAGGACTAAGAGTGTTAGGAAGCTCCAGGCACCACCCCCTGCCCACACACCACTGCCTAGACCCCAGGGGCCATGCCTGGAACAGGATGTCCACAGGAAGTGCCCTCAGATAACCCGGAGGCCTTGGAGGACAGGTGCTGTGAAACTTCAAGCTAAACACAGACTCTGACTGTAAGGTCGCTGCACCTGTCTCAGCGCGCATGGACTTGGTGGTGGGCCTGAAGCCAATTTGCATCCTGATAGCTTCCTTTTGAAAGCCGGGCCTAGGGAGTGTGTCTCCAGCTCAGGCTGGTACCTGAGGGTCCTGGGACAGGGGATTCTCTCCTTTCAAGATGTCACTGCCACTGCGTGGAGCTCCTTACTGAGACCTGCTTCATCAGCGGGCTCAGCCTCCTGCCTGGTGCCCACGAGGGGACGTTTCTGATTCTTTCTACTGCATCCATTTCAGAGACCAACTCTTGGTCATCTGAGCCTCCTCCCCTGCTGCAGACGCACCTGGACTGTCCCAGTTGCCCTCCCCAACCTTTCAGAGGAGCAGGGTGGGCCTGTGCGGGCCTTGCTCTGGGGAGCCTTGGGACTCTGCTCCTCTGGAGGGATATTGAGACCAGAGCAGGCCCAGCCTGGACGGGGCAGGCGGCCTCTACCACTTCAGGCTGCTCAGGCAGGGAAACTACAGAGGAAAAGGGTGGCCAACCTCTTTAGCTTGGGTTTCTTATTTAAAACCAGATCAAACAAAATGAAAATTGGAAAAAAAAATATATTTTTTCTAAGAGAAATACAAATATTTAGAAAACACAGATTTTAAAAATATGAAAATAAAAAGTCTCCAAATTTCATCACCCAGATAATTGTTTACATCATATATATACACACGCATATCTGTTAATACGCGTGTGTGTATATACATACATCTGTAAATTAGATTATATCTTATCTACCATATTATGACCTGGCCTTTTCACTTGATGTATTGTGAATCTTCATGTCACTCAGATTCTTCTACAGCATAAAATTTAACGGCTGCAAAGTGTTTATTTCACGTGCAAGCCACATTTATTTAACAAATCTCCTGTATTAGGTCGTTTCGATTATTTTCACGTTTATTATTGAGAACAATGCAGAGATTAATTTTTGTAAGTGAATATTTAGCAAATTCAAGAACATTCCTGTCAGCTAAAATTGCAGAGGTGGAAGGCTCCCAGGGGAAGTCAGTGCTGGGAAGCTGGTGACGGTGGGAGAGGCTGGCTCAGGGCAGGCCAGGCTTCCACCCGTGGTGCCAGGTTTCTTGCTGCTCTAGGAAGGTCTAGGGAGACTTGGAGCCACATTTCCAGTGACGCTGAGTCCTCCAGGGAGACCTGGCATCGGGCAGGTGAGGAAGGAGAAGAGTCCTGCCCATGGGAAAGTCCCAACTTCAGTTCCAGGACAGGGAACCTGGACGGACCCGAACCCCACCCGCCCAGGCTCTGCAGCAGGATTCCCATCTTCAGTTCCAGGACAGGGAACCTGGACGGACCCGAACCCCGCCCCGAACCCGCCGCCCAGGCTCCACAGCAGGCCTGTTTGCTGAGCCTCGGCCGGGTGAGCCCAGAGGCCACGGCTCCTGCTAGCATGGCGATGGTGGTGAGCTCAGCACTGCCCTTTACAGTTTATATGTCCCTCCCGAGGGCACTATTTTATTTCATCCTTGCAACAATTTTGTAGAGAAATGCCATTTTCATCTCCAACTTGGGAAGAACAGACTAGGGTCTGGAGACTTACAAGTGGCGCAGGTCAAAGGCCAGATTCCCGGCTCTGCAGCACGTGCGTGCCTCCCTTGAGGGACCGCTCAGGCGGAGAAAGACCCCAGACCTGGGCTTCGTGCCCTCCCTGCTCTCATGGGCCGGACCCTGTAAATGCAGTGGTTGGACCACGGTGCCTGCGGCCCTCGGCTCTGACGGAGATCCAGGCTGCAGGGCTCCTCACTCGGATTTGGTGGGGTCACACATCAGCACTGAAGCATTTCCTTTGAGAAGACCGTGACTTTCTGGGCAGCCCGGCGGCTGCTTATTAGGACAGGCTGGACATGGGCTTGTCTGTGGTGACATCTCTCTTAAATATCATGGTGTGAACATGTATGCCAACAAGAGGAGGCAGGAGGGCTCCCCGAGGAACACATACCGCACGGGTGTGCTGGGCGCCCAGCGTCGTGGCTGCGGCAGAGCAGACCATGGAACCGGCACTCACTCCAAGGCCTCCGCCGCAGCACGAGGCATTCGGGGTCCCCGAGGCCCCACATGGCCTGGTCGTGGGGAACAGAAACAGCGCCCACATATTACCGCTGACCCAGAGAGGAACAGTAGGGCCAAGTGCGTCAGAAATCCTCCTTGTGGGGACTGACTCCTTTGAATACAAATAATTTTGGGGTGTGGCCACAGGGTCAAGCCCTTTTCCTGGCACAGCTATTGATTGTATGGATTCCTCAGCGTGGTAGCAGTGATTTGTTGACCTTACCTTTCCTCTGTTTTTTTGTCGTCGTTGTTGTTTTTGCTCTAGAGAGCTGACATCCTTTTAGCAAATATTCATTTTGCCTTTCCATATTCCTGTAAACCAGAGCTTCTTCACCTTTCTTAATGCCATGGATCTTTTTGGCAGCTGTGGGATGCCTATTGACACAGCCTTCTGAGATGAATATATTTAAATGCATACAGTAAGATACACAGGATTTCAAAGGAACCAGTCAGATTTAAATAGTTACAAAATATATTTTCATTGTGATGCATCTTTCTTTACTAATATCTTTAATAACAAGATCTAGCAGCAGGTCTATTGGCAAATTTTAAAGTAGTGACGAGCGGAAATGATATTCTGAGATATCTGTAGGTATAACATGACATGAAAATATCCGTGGTTTAAATCAGCCGCAATCTCACAGGCGCTGCTAAACCGTGCAAGGGTTTGATGTCTACTTCATAATGAAAAGAAAAAGTGGATTCCAGTTAGAGATGGACTAGCAAAAACAAGGATGAACTTTTCCCATCCAAGTTCACAGGATCCAGATTTAAAACTCCCGCTTTAAAGGAAACAGAAATAAGTAATCCTGTTTAGAGGAGCCCAAAGCACAGAGAGGCTGAGTGTTTGGCCCAAGACAACACAGCAAATTAGAGCTTCTGTTGAATACATTGCCTGGCCGGTGCCGTCCTCATTTTTCCTCATTAACTTTTTTGTAAGTGAATATTTAGCAAATTCAAGAACATTTCCGTCAGCTAAAATTGCAGAGGTGGAAGGCTTTTTTTCCTCATTAACTCTTGGTCTTAAAATGAACAGTAATCCAGAAGTCTCATCCTAAAATGCTTCCAAAAAGATTAATTGACTACATTTACTACTCAAATGATGAAGACTACTGGTGAATTTACAAGACTTTTAAAAGAGCATTTTAGAAAATAGGAAAAGGGTTATAATTTACAATTCAAACCCAAATCACATGCAGAATTGTTCAATTAGGGGAGGATTAGAGGATTCATTTTTATCAGGGAAAATCTTGAAAATCCAATGTCCAGTGCTCATTTTTGGTCACATGATAAAATTAGTGACAAGACTGTTTGAAGAAATCCTTCAGACCAACATCCACACTTAAAAGAAATGGACATGTATACATTAAGTTAGTTGTAAGCTCCACTTATTGTATTTTGATGGCAAAGGGGACCATGACCGTTGGATCCTCAGGTGCCAAAATAGTTCACAAAATAAAGTGCTCTGAAGGAAGTGGTCTTCCCAAATACAGATTGATTTCATAGACTTCTAGAAATGTATACCAAATAGAATGGAACAGTCTGTGGTTATTTCCTCATTTAACTAATAATCTGAATGAAAGGATGGGCAACGTGACTCTTCACTCTGTCATAAGTCAAAAGTATAATTTCCCATACAGATTTCTTTTCCATGACTACCAAGCTTATTGCATGATACCACAGAGTCATCTTTCCATAATAAAGACGTCCTAACCCATTTACAGGGAACCTTCCCAGGAGGAAGCAAACTCTTCCTCTCTGCCATTTCCGGACTGGTTTCCTCTCTCCGTCCCCTGACTTTTATCTCAGCTGTGTTTCTTTTTGCCTACCCCTTGTCCCCGGAGTCTCAGCCATGGATAACCCTGCTGCGCGGAGGCGGTTGAGAGAGGCCGCTGTGAGCTTGAGTGTGGACATTTGTCACGTACAGAGATGGCACCCAGAATGCCTGGGGTGGTCCCCGCGCCTTCAGCCCCCCACTTCACCAGGTCCCTCTCCTCTCTGCCCCGAGCCTCCTCCTCCTTCCTGCTTCCTGCTCTGCTTGTCTCTTCCCTCTTGGATTAACCCTTCCCCCCTCTCAGCATTTTCCTTTCTCCTTCCATGTTTTTTTTTAATCCCAGTATTCAAGTACATCTGGGTATTTCCAAAGCAAGCCGGGTGGGGCCAGGGAAGGAGCTGCCCACGGAGACCTAGTGTGGTGAGGACACTGCTTCAGGCCGAAGGGATGGCCCTGGGCTGTGTGCTGGACCCCTTGGCTTCAGTTTCTGTAGAAACCCGGTAAAATCTAGGGTTCGTGGGGCGGTTTCTGAGTTCCTTTGATTACTCCACGATTCCATGAACTCCCAGCGCCCACTCCGACGTGCTGGGGCGGTGGCCATCTCTCGCCCTCCCCTCTCCAGCCTGGGTCTTGTTTCTCCGCCTCAGCCCCGGAGGTCTGTCTGTCCACCTGTTTCCCACCCCGTCTCTCCCTCCCTGTCGGGTTCCTGCACCCTGGTCCCGGGAGCCCCTCTGCCGCCCCGCCCTGGCCCTCCTGCGGTCGCGACACCCGCTGCGGCCGCACCCTTCCTGCGCCTGGTCGCCTGGTAGCTGCGTCTATGTCGCTGATGCTCTTCGCTCTAATGGCCTTTGTTGGATCGTCTCCTTCTTTTCCCCTTTTGTTTCTGTGGGGTTCTCTAGACTGTTTGCTCATTTCAAAAAAAAAAAAAAATCCATCTTCCGCGTTACCCCATTCTCTCCTGCCCTAGCGAGTCCTACAAGCGTGTTTCCTGTAGGCCGAGCCGGATGCCTGAGGCCAACCATGGCAACAGCCAGGGCGCGGGGGGTGGAGCCCGGAGCCGGCCAGGGCAGCTCATCCAAGCCTCGGCTTCCCCTTCTCACGGAGGGAGGGCCGGACGGAGCAGCCCAGGACTCCCAGGGGATGAAAGAACATTCCAGAAACCCAGCCCCTGTGGCAGGCCTTTAGGCAGCCCCGGCTTGCTGGGTGCTGCAGGGGGGCAGAGGGGAGTTTCCGGTTCCTGGAGAAATCGCTCCTTGCTCCTTAGTGACACTTGCTGCTAATATTAATTGTAAGTGTGTGAAGACAGCACCAGCAGAGAAACCAAACAACCTCCTGTAGCAGTCCTGGTGTAGAGGAAGAATTTCAGCCTCGCCCGAGGCCCGGTCTATTCCTGTGAGGACTTCTTCCCTGGTTCTTTTCCTTCTGAAGCCGTAGCCTTCTCGGATTTGCCTGCAAGGGCTACCCTGGAACAGTTGAGGAGCCTCATTGTCCCCCATCCCTGCGGGCACGGGGGCAGGACACTCCCTAGCCCAGGCTCCTGATTAGAAATGTAAAAGAGTTTCTCCTGCGGGAGCAGATGCCCCGCCACTTCCTGAGAGGTCCCTCCTTTTCTCTTAAAGACGCAGGGCACACAGAAGACGCAGCCATGCGTGCAGCTGGGCGGGCCATTCAGCGCCCTGCCCTTCCTGGGCTCTGCAGTGGCCGGGGCGGCCGCGTTCAGCCTCTGCTTCTGGTAGCTTCTGAAGCATGAAGGCCTGGGCAGCGGTGCTCAGGACAGTCCTCCCTGGGCGGGGCGAGGCCGGGAGCTGGGCCCCTGTCCCCCCGGTTCTGCGTCCCCGGTTCCCTCCTGTGATGGGAGGCTGTGACTGAGGGAGCCTCCCCTCGGCGGTGTGAAAGTGACCACGCTCTGCTGTCCTTCCAGGGAAGCTTGATGGTCCCAGCCGGTGCCGCTCCCTGGTGTATGGGATGGGGTGCCTGGATGCTGCCTCTCTCCCACTGCCTGGCAAGGTGGACACAGCCTGGGCCCAAAGAGAACAGACACAGAGCCGCCCGAGGGGCCAGCCTGCCCCACCGGCACTGGGCACAGATCTGTTCCACAGCTCTGGCTTCCATGGCTCTGCGTGTGTCTGTGGTTGCCCTCATGCCCAGTGCAGGTCCTCACCCTTCTGTCCCAGCCTCAAAGTGGCGGCCTCCCTCCCACCTGCCCTTCCACCTGCTGCCAGAGAAGTCTCTAGAAGCAGGCCTGCGATCACATCTCCCTGCACACCACCACTGACTCTCAATGCACCCGAATGAGTCTGGGCCTCCACGTTGTCCCTCCAGCTTTGCCTTTGTGTACCTGGCATCACTGGGCAACAGCATGATTCTGCCCCTCCCCGGGCAGTGCCTACAGTTGCCCCTTCCTGGCCTTACCAGCTCCGGTCCCAATCCACACAAGACTTGTCTACCCATGGAGTCCAGGCCCCTGCTCGTGGGGGCCTACCCTGGAGGGGCAGGACGGGGCGGCATCCCGAGGGTCGGCCTCAAGAGCATCCCCGGGAGGCTGAGACCTGGCTGAAGTGGGGAGGTGGGCACCCAGTTTCCCTGAGGCTTCCCAGCAGGAGAGTGTGTGCGCGGTGGGGGGGTCTCACTCCCAGACCCCTATGCTCCTGACTCTGGAAGATCAGTTGTACCTGCCCCGCCCAGCACAGTGCCTTGCCTATCACGAGGGAAACTCAGCGCTGAAGTCCCCGTGGAGGCTGGAGCCTAAGCGTCTCCACTTGTAAGAAGGATGGAAGTCACAGCTGCCTCACAGAGCTGTGGTGAGGGGTTGCTGTAACTTCAAGCACACAGCACAACACCTGGTACTTGGGACGCAGCCGTGTCAGTTCTAAGACACACGTGGAGCTTATCATCCAAAGTGAGCTGCTTGAGAAGTTGCAGAGGGGTGGGTGGGGCAACAGACATGAGACGAGCCATCCGGATTTGGGGGTTTCCAGCTCCTATTGTTATAGAAAATGCTCAGCAAAGAGTATTTATAGACTGAGTAAAATTTTAAGCAGCCAGGTTTCTTACGAGACTAAATGAGAAGTGGCAGGGAGGGGCCGAGTAACAAATGTGACATGCAAGGATCTGTGGGTGGTGAGAGGGTCCCAGACAGGACTGGGGCTGGAAGATGGCTGTGGAGACAGCAAAGGCAGAACCCCTGCAGAGAGAAGAGCTCGCTGTGCAGGACGTTTCCAAAGGGTGTGGCTGGGCGTGGCTTGGGCAGTCCCCTCATCCTGCCAGTGTCCCCCACAGGGAGGTGGTGACAGCCCTTTTGTCCCTCTCAGGGTTGCAGGAGGAATGAGATGAAGGGCTTACCCTCAGAGTGCTTAGAGAATAAAATGGGAGGATGCAGCATTGCCCAGCTGAGTCCAGGCCTGGGGTGGGGTGTCCCTCCAGCTGCAGGGATGGATGTCAACAGCAGCTGAGCACCAAGGGTGGGAGGGCCTGGGCTAAGGGGGCGAGGAGCTGGCCCACGCTGGGCTGAAGGATGCAGCCAGGGTGCTGGACAGAAGGGTGATGGTCGAGGGTGGGCCAGGGGATCTCTGCCGCCTTCCTGCACACCTGGAGGGATGACTCCTGGGCAAGGGCCACCAGGATGTCTGTCTTGGGCAAAAAGTTAATTTTCAGGGAAAAGCAGACCATTTTAGCTTGGTGACCAGTTTGCCCTGCCCAAGACCAACCACCACCCAAATGCACACCCACCCTCACCCTCAGCTGGGGGCCTCCAGGGGCACAGACCTTTAAGCAGAGTGCAGTCTGACGGCTCGGTGCCCCATTAACGTGCGAGTGACCACAGCCAGCTGCTGCCTGAGTTGTTTCTTCCACCGGGCGCTGAGCACGATTGGACTGTCAGCCCCCTTGTGAGTACAGAGGTTCGGGCCAAGGTCACCCCACCCAGGTGATAGAGTTAGGAGGAAAGCCCAGTGTGAGTCTAGACGGCAACGCGGTGGGCTGGAGAGAGGGCAGGGCTGAAGGAGTGAGGGTCCTCCTGCAGCCCCCAGGCCAGATCAGGGAGCAGAAGGACGAGGATGCCCTTGGGTTTCCCACACGGGCTGGAGGACTTGGAGAGGTGTGGGGACAATAGCAGACAATGGCTTTGTAAGCAGAGATGCAGACTTGTGCAATGGTAATAACGACGGCTCATGTTTCCCCAGCCCTTCACACGCCAGGGCTGCCCTAAGCTTTTCGTGAACATGATTTCCTTTAATCTTCACAATAGCCAAAGTAGGCACCATCACCTCTCCTTTACAGAGGAGGAGACTGAGGCCCACGGGCTGATGGCTGGACTCAGCCGGGGCTAGCTGTAAGCCTGTGTCCCTCCACGGCCTGTCCTGGGCAGAGGGCCCCACACCCGCCTCCTCCTCAGAGAAGCCACTGTTCCAGCATGATCGGAGGGAGGGGCAGGACCGCTTGCAACTCCTTGCTGTCCATGGTCACTGGGCACCGATGGGCGTCTGCTGGAGACAGCATGCTGGGTGCCCAGGTGCTGAGGGAGAGAGGGAACGACGCGGGGTCTCCCGCTGCGGGGAGGACACCATGCCCTGTCTGGAGGCCCAGACCACGACTATGAAAACCAGCAAATAACAAGCACTGGTGAAGATGGGGAGGAACTGGGGCCCTTGTACCCTGTGGTGGGAGGGAAAAATGGCTCAGCCACCGTGGAATGCTAGATGACGGCTCCCCAAAAAACGAAACCTACAATTACCATATGGTCCACATTTCCACAGCTGGGTGTATATACCCCAAATAACGAAAACGCAATTTTTAAAAAGAGGGTCACACCACAGACAATGTCTTAGTGCCAGAGGCTGAAGGAGGTCAGAGGAGGGCCAGCAGTGGGGGCTGCACCATCTCCTGGGAGCTCCCCAGGGCTTCCTATACCCCAAGTGTAGCTCACGCTGGCCTGTGGCGTTGAATGAATGAGGACTTGAGTAGGAGGCTGAGCTAAGTTAAGTGTTCCCCACCCTCTCACCACAGTCCCCTGAAGGCATAGAGTCCTGATGAATGTCCTTCAGATCCAGAATAAATAGCAGGCGTTGGGTTGAGATGGCCTGGCTCAGATCCCTGAGCTCCAGGATTCCTTTCCTCTTCTCTGAGTCCTGCACTTGGAGCCAGCACGTGCTGCCTGGTCAGAGCACATTCCCAGCCTCCTCGTGCTTGAGTGTGACCATGTGGTGACATTTTCTCAAGGAAGGTCAGGCTTGGCCTCTAGACGTGGGCCTTGCCACTTCTCCACACTTCCAGCCGCGGAGTCTGGACAGTGAGGCCACTCACAGCTTTGGCCGGGCAGATGGCAGCGAGGCCCTGGGGACGAGGAGAGCCGTGCTCTCCAGTACAGTAGCCACGAGCCCCATGTGCCACTTTATTAAAACCAATTCAAATTAAACAAAATTTAAAATTTGTTTCCTCAGTTGCACTAGCTCAATTCAAATGCCCAGTAGCCACAGGGACTGGTGGCCACGGGATGGGACAGCACCTGCTCAGGTCACTTCCGTCATCACAGAAGTTCCATCAGGCAGCACCCAGGAGGAGGCTGGATTTCTTTTCTTTTCTTTTCTTTCTTTTTTATTTTTTGAGACGGAGTCTCGCTCTGTCGCCCAGGCTGGAGTGCAGTGGCACGGTCTCGGCTCACTGCAAGCTCCCCCTCCTGGGTTCATGCCATTCTCCTGCCTCAGCCTCCCGAGTAGCTGGGACTACAGGTGCCTGCCACCACGCCCGGCTACTTTTTTGTATTTTCAGTACAGATGGGGTTTCACCGTGTTAGCCAGGATGGTCTCGATTTCCTGACCTCATGATCCGGCCTCCTCGGCCTCCCAGAGTGCTGGGATTACAGGCGTGAGCCACAGCGCCCGGCCGAGCCTGGGTTTCTAAATGACCCCTAGGAACACAGCTGCCCCACAGTCTGGGGCCCGTTAACAGCAGGAGGATGTCGTGACAGAAGCAAACTCCTGCGTTCCCTAGGTCACTGTGTTTTGGGGACACTCTGTTATGGCACCCAAGCTTTACATATGTGTATCTGTGGATGTATGTATTTATACATATGTATCGCGGATGTATGTATTTCTGAACGCATACGTGTTTGTGTGTAGGCTTATTCATGTGTATATAAATCAGGCCTCAAATATATAGGTGGGTGCCATTGTGACTGACAAAATGCAGAACCTTTTAAAAGCCCCTTGGAGCCCAGAATTGTTTGTTTGACTTTGTATGTTTTCTCAGAAAGTACTAAAAATATAACTACCGTCTGGCTATAGACCTCAAAGTCTGTAGATATTAAAAAATAGATTTTTTTTTTTTTGAAATGGAGTCTCGCTCTGTCACCCAGGCTGGAGTGCAGTGGCGCAATCTCAGCTCACTGCAACCTCTGCCTCCTGGGTTCAAGCGATTCTCCTGCCTCAGCCTCCCGAGTGGCTGGGATTACAGGCACCCGCCACCATGCCCAGCTAATTTTTGTATTTTTAGTAGAGACAGGGTTTCACCATGCTGGCCAGGCTGGACTTGAGCTCCTGACCTCAAGTGATCCGCCCACCTCAGCCTCCAAAAGTGCTGGGATTACAGTCTTGAGCCACCGCGCCCAGCCAAAAAGAAATCCTTTTACCTGCAAAGGTTGGCAATCATGGAACCAGATGACAGTGACAAGTAGGGTCTGTGGAGGAGACAGAGGCCTCCTGGGTTGGCTTCTTGCAGCCTGCTGTGCCCGGAGCTGCCATGGGCACGGCTGGATTTTGCCCACTGGCCTGGGTACAAAGCAATAGGTGGAGCAGATGATTTGAAGCGGGCAAGGCACACAAGAGTCCCCAGGTGAAGAAAGGACTCAATTTCCCATCCCTGTTTACAGATGCCAAACCTGAGGCACAGAGAGGTTGAGTCCCATCCCCAGGGGCACACAGCTAGGAGAGGCACAGTCAAGCTTCAGAGCCAGGCGCCCTGGCCCCAGCCCTGCTCTGGATACCTTGGCGGTGGCTGGAGTGGCACATGGAGCTGCAGCCATGGAGGCGTGTCTTGCTTCTTTGAGGCCTCACCGCTGAACTCGCAAAAATCTCCCTTTACCCCAGTCTCCCCAGCCAGCCAGGTACCTGCTGGCCTTTGTTCAGGCTGTCAGATAACAGGCAATTGTGTGCTTAGTTCTCTCTGATGTGAACAACTCCGCTGGGAATTCTCAGCGACAGTCAAGAAATTAATTTTGTATAGGTCAACAAGCACCTTGTGCTAAGTAAGAATGATTCTCTGCCCTTCCCGGGCCTCCGCGACGGAGCCATGGTGAACAGAGTCACGTCTGTCCAGTGGGAGCTCGGCGTTGCTGTATCCCTGTATCGCCTCCCGGAGCCCTGGACCCCTGTAGGCAGTGAGGGCTGAAGGACCAAGCGAACAGCCTCTGGCCCTAGACTCCTCCTCCATGAAGAACACCCTTTTCTGACCCCCGTCTTTGGGGTTCCACTGGGCCTGACTGTAGACACAGTACAGGGACCTATGGAGGGGCGGGGGTTCGGGTCAGACATGCCTTTGGGGTTCCACTGGGCCTGACTGCAGACACAGCACGGGGACCCATGGAGGGGCCGGGGTTCAGGTCAGACATGCCCTGAACTTCCCTAAGAGCTCTGCTGGCCTTGATGATCACCAGCCCCCTTCCTGGTCTTAGAGACTGGGAGTCCCCCCAGCATCCTTTAAACAGCAGGGGATCGAAACTCAGAGGCTCTGAGTGGCCACCCAGTTAGTCCCCCAAATGCCTGTGGGAAGCTGTTTTGTCCTGTTTTTCACTGCATCACGGTTTGATTTCTGGTCCTCAAAGCAATTAACATTTGGCATCAAACAGGGAAACAGACAGAGCCTCGCCCCCGCAAACGCCTCACTCACACGCATGCATGGACATGCACACACCCACACATGTGCACACTGCTGCTCGCCCATGTGTCTGTCATGACAGGGCGCTGTGTTTCCTACTCCCGCGGTCATCCTGCTGGCAGATGACCAGGTCCCAGGCAGTAGCAATGCGGCACAGCTGCAGGAGATCCGAAGCTGCCTGGGCTGTCCACAGTGGCGTGGGCCTCAGCTGCAGCTTCCAGCACAGCTGCTTAGATAGGGCCAGCTTTTTTTTTTTTTTTTTAAACAAACCTGAAGCTCATTGTGTGGTCGAAGATGTGGTTTGCGAGTGCCCATGGCAGGATTCCCACTGCGGAGACTCCTGTACATCGGGTATGAGGCAGCACATTGCGTGCAATGCATTCTGGTCTTTTTTCCTCCCTCCAGAAGAGGCTCCATTTATGTGTTAGGCTTTAAGAGGCTGGGCGTACCAAAAGGAAGTCTCTGAAACGCAGTCCTGTCGAACACCTCTGGAGTTGATTCTTCTGATATCACAGGAGTTCTTCCTATCACTGTATATTATTGGGTGCGAGCCCCCGGTCCTTCCTCTATGAGGAGGCAGTGGAGGGAAGAGTTGAACCTCTTCTCGCACACACACCTGAGACTCCCTGGCTCTCTCTGTGGGCCACAGGATGGGCTTCAGTTATGGCGAGTAATAATTTTGTTATCGCGGTTTTTACATTGATTTGGAACATGGTGTTACACAAAATGCTGAAATTGAAAAAGACAGGATGAGTCACCTTTGCCCTGTCTCCTCTTCAAGTCTGATCCTAATTGAACGGAGAGTGCAAACTGCACGCCAAGATTTGCAGAACAAAGGCCTCCCCGCCCACGAGTTCCTCATGGCCTTGCCTCAGTCCCCGAAATCCCGCTGTTAGCCTCCCTCACTAGAATAAGGCATTAGCACAGAAGCCAACGTTGGGGGAAAAGAAAATCAATACAGCGTGGAAGAGAAAGCAGGAAGCCATGGAGGGAGGAAGAGACTGAGGCTCCGGCTGGAAGGACTTCGTTTGTGATAAGAGCAGAGAGGAAAAGCAGCAAGAAAGAAAAGTCGCTGTACACTTTGGGTCTGGACATCAAAGAAACAAAGGAAATGCTTAGATTCAGAGTGGCACGTGTGTAGAAAAAAGTCCTGCTTTCCTGTCTTGGGGGACACCACTATCATCCCATGTAAGTGACCAGTGCTCCCCAAGTGGCCCTCTCCTGGCATTTCACTGAGACACAAGCTCCCTGAAAGCTGGGGCTTACCTGACCATGTGCCCCCTGCACTCCCAGGGCTGAGACCTGCGTCTGGTCCCTGCTAGACACCCAGCGAGGGTTGACAGCATGAGCGAATGAGCTTCTCCGTCTGCCCGTAAGTGTGATGGACACCTTCTCCTACAGCCACCCGTTTCACACATCAGGCAAACGTCTGTCAAGTCCACTCCTGAAAATCCTGGTATTTTCTCTACTTCTCTATGATAATTTTAATGTTTCCTTGAGGCAGTATTCTTGCACCGGAAAGCAGCATGAATGAGGACTTGGAAAGCCCCCGCTTGCCTACGAAGGCGTCATGGGTGGGGCTACTCAGGAAGCTGACACAGAGCAGAGCTGAGCGTGTTCTGAGCATGCTCTGAGCATGTTCTGAGCGTGTTCTGAATGTGTTCTGAATGTGTTCCGAGCCTGTTCTGAGCGTGTTGAGTGTGTTCTGAGCATGTTCCAAGCATGTTCTGAGTGTGTTCTGAGCCTGTTCTGAGCGTGTTCTGAGCATGTTCCAAGCATGTTCTGAGTGTGCTCTGAGCATGTTCCAAGCATGTTCCAAGTGTGTTCTGAGCCTGTTGTGAGCATGTTATAAACATGTTCTGAGTGTGTTCTGAGCATGTTCCAAACATGTTCCGAGCAAGTTGTTTCTAAGCATGAGCATGTTCTGAGCATGTTCTGCGTGTGTTCTGAGCATGTTCTGAGCGTGTTTCGAGCATGTTCTGAGCATGTTCTGGGTATGTTCTGAGTGTATTCTGAGTCGGTTCTGAGCGTGTTATAAACATGTTCTCAGTGTGTTCTGAGCATGTTCTGAGCATGTTCTGTGTTCTGAGCCTATTCTGAGCATGTCCTGAGTATGTTCTGAGTGTATTCCGAGTCTGTTCTGAGCGTGTTCTGAGCATGTTCTGAGCATGGTCTGAGCGTGTTCTAAGTGTGTTCTGAGTGTGTTCTGAGCATGTTCCAAGTGTGCTCTGAGCATGTTCTGAGCGTGTTCTGAGCATATTCTGATCATGTTCTGGCTTTCATGGGCCATGTGCGTGAGGAAGAAGGATGTGGCATTGGACAGGTGATGCAGTCACAGCCTCGCCCTAGGCCACTCCGGGTCTCTGCTGCCAGGCTACGAGGAGCAGAGAAACACAGGTCCTCTAGCGCAGGTGAGGAACTTTGGGAAATTATTTGATCTTGTCTTAGGGAATACCACGAGCAAAGCTTATTACACGGCTTGGGACAAATATATGGGTCAAAAAATCACCCCAAAACATGAAAGAACTTTATACAAAGGGGATCCACTTGGGAGGGCTTAGACCCAGCACCACGAGGTTTCCAGTTGTGTTCAGCCTCATTTCACATCTAATGACTGTTCTGAGACTGCATGTTGGCCTTACCATTGGAAGAGAACAATGGGAGTCAGCACTTAATCATTTTGTAGTGGTGAATGGAATTGGGGAGATTTACAGGTAACTCTCAATGAGCAGTGAGTAGATACCACTGAGAGCCAAGAAGTTAAATAGAAATCAGAAACTTTGAAATGTCAAGCTTAAACTTTACATGGAATTTAAAATTAAAGCTGGGTCAGGATGATTCTTTTAAACCCTCCAAAAATCAGTTCCCAAGTTCTATATGTGGACAAGGAATTAATTTTGATAGAGGCCATTTGAGTCAGCTACCACCATCATCATCCTGCATCAACAAATCAGGACAGGATTCAGTGGCTGCTAAGAGCAGGCATTTCCCCCTACGCTCATGGGTCTGTAGGTCCACTGCAGTTCGGCTGACCTAAGCGTGAGCTCAGTGGGGCGGTTTTGCTGCAGGGGTGCAGGGTGGGTTCAGGTCTGCATTACGTGTGTTCATCCTGGAGTCCAGGATACCTGGAGCATGCTCTCTTCATAGCCAATCACCACAGCATGAAAGTAAAGCCAAAGACATCTGCAAATATTTCATTGACCAAAGCAAGTCACATAGCCAAGCTCAACATCAAAGAGCATGGGAAAGCATACTTCATCACAAAGAAGGGGTCAAGGGGAGGAGAGAAGTGATTACCGGCTGAGAAATAGATACCCTATATATAAATATATATAGTTATATCTCAAAGATATTGTGAGTTCAGTTCCAGGTCACTACAATAAAATGAATATTGCAGTAAATTGAGTCACTTGAATTTTTTAGTTTCTTAAACTATGTTTACACTATATTGCAGTCTATTAGGTATGCAATAACATTATTCTTTTTTTTTTTTTTTTTTTTTTTGAGACAAGATCTTACCCTGTCGCCCAGGCTGGAGTGCAGTGGTATGCTCTCAGCTCACTGCAACCTCCACCTCCCGGGTTCAAGCAATTCTCATGCCTCAGCCTCCCGAGTAGCTGGGACTACAGGTATGCACCACCACGCCTGGCTAATTTTTGTATTTTTTTTTTTTTTGGTAGAGATGGGGTTTCACCATGTTGGCCAGGCTGGTCTCAAACTCCTGACCTCAAGTGATCCACCTTCCGGGGCCTCCCAAATTGCTGGGATTACAGGCATGAGCCACCGCGTTCGGCCTGCAATAACATTATTCTAAAAAAATACAATAATGTTATTGCATGCTTAATAGACTACCGTATAGTGTAAACAACTCTAAAAAACTTAATTAAAAATATGTTATTGCTAAAAAATGCTAACAATCATATGAATCTTCAACAAATCATAATCTTTTTGCTGGTCGAGGGTCTTGTTGATGTTGATGGCTAGTGACTGATCAGGGTGCTGAAGGTTGGGGTGGTCGTGGCAATTTCTTAAAATAAGACAATGAATTTTGCCACATCAATTGACTTTTCCTTTCATGAAAGACTTCTCTAGCATGTGATGCTGTTTGATAGCATTTTACCTGCAGTAGAACTTCTTCCAATATTAGAGACAATTCTCTCAAACCCTGCTGCTTTATCAGCTAAGTTGATGTGATATTCTAAGTCCTTTGTTGTCATTCCAACAATGTTCACAACCTCTTCACCAGTAATAGTAGATTCCATCTCAAGAAACCGCCCCCCCCCCACTTTTTTTTTTTTTTGAGATGAAGCCTCACTGTGTCACCCAGGCTGGAGTGCAGTGGCGCGATCTCGGCTCACTGCAACCTTCGCCTCCTGGGTTGAAGCAATTCTCCCACCTCAGCTTCCCAAGTAGCTGTGACTACAGGCATGTGCCACCACGAATGGCTAATTTTTGTATTTTTAGTAGAGATGGGGTTTCGCTACATTGGCCAGACTGCTCTCGAACTCCTGACCACAAGTGATCCACCTGTCTCGACCTCCCAAAGTGCTGGGATTACAGGCATGAACCACCACGCCCGGCCTTTTTAAAAAAAAAAAAAAAAAAAAGACAGGGTTTCACTGTATTGCCCAGGCTGGAGTGCAGCAGCATGGTCTTGGCTTACTGCAATCCTGACTTCCCAGACTCAAGTGATCCTCCTGCCTCAGCCTCCTGAGTAGCTACAGGTGTGCAACACCACGCCCGACTAATTTTTTTATTTTTTGTAGAGATGGGGTCTCGCCATGTTGCCCAAGCTGGTCTCAAACTCTTAGGTTCAAGTTGTCTGTGCGCCTCAGCCTCCCAAGTTGCTGGGATTTCAGGGGTGAGCCTGTAATCTGTGCCTGGCCAAGAAACCAGTTTCTTTGTTCATCCACGAGAAACAACTCCTTATCTGTTCAAGTCTGATTATGAGATTGCAGCAATTCAGTCCCATCTTCAGGCTTCACTTCTAATCCCATTTCTCTTTTTGTTTCCACCACATCTACAGATACTTTCTCCATGCAAGTCTTGAACTTCTGAAAGTCATCCATGTGGGTTAAAATAAACTTCTTCCAAACTCCTGTGAATATTGATAATTGATCTTCTCTTATGAATTATGAATGTTCTTAATGACATCTCAAATGGTAAATCCTTTCCAAAAGGCTTTCAGTTTACCTCACCCAGCTCCATCAGAGGACTCACTATCTATGGCAGCTATGGCCTTATGAAATGTATTTCTCAAATAATAAGACTTGAAAGTAGAAATGACTCCATGATCTATGGGCTGCAGAATGGATGTTGTGTGAGCAGGCATGAAAACAACATTCAGGCCAGGCATGGTGCCTCACGCCTGTAGTCCCAGTACTTTGGGAGTCCGAGGCGGGAGGATCACTTGAGGTCAGGAGTTCGAGACCAGCCTGGCCAACATGGTGAAACCCTGTCTCTACTAAAACTACAAAGTTAGCTGGGCGTGGTGGCGGGTGCCTGTAATCCTAGCTACTTGGGAGGTTGAGGCAGGAGAATTGCTTGACCCTGGGAGGCAGAGGTTGCAGTGAGCCAAGATCACTCCATGCCACTGCACTCCAGCCTGGGGGAGAGAACAAGACTCTGTCTCAAAACAAACAAACAAACAAACAAACAACAACATTAATCTCCTTGTACATCTCCAGTAGAGATCTTGGGTGACCAGGTGCACTGTCAATAAGTAGCAATATTTTGGAAAGAATCATTTTCCTAAGAAGTAAGTCTTAACAGTGGGCTTAAAGTATTCAGCAAACCATACTGTACACAGATGTGCCGTTATCCAGGCTTTGCTGGTCCATTTATAGAGCACAGGCAGAGTAGATTTAACGTAATCCTTAAGAGCCCTAGGATGTTTGGATTGGTAAAATTGGCTTCAACTTAAAGTCACCAGCTGCATTATCTCTCCACAAGAGAGTGAGCCTGACCTTTGAAGATTTGAAGCCAGTTATTGACTTCTCTCCAGCCATGAAAGTCCTAGAAGGCATCTTCTTCCAATAGAAGGCTGTTTGGTCTACACTGAAAGTCTGTTGTTTAGTGGAGCCATCTTCATTGACGGTCTTAGCTAGATCTTCTAAAGAACTTGCTGCAGCTTCTCCATGAGCACTTGTTATTTCACCTTACACTTTTATGTTATGGAGACGGCTTCCTTCCTTAAACCTCATGAACCAACCTCTGCCAGCTTCAAACTTTTCTTTTGCAGCTTCCTTACCTCCCTTGGCCTTCACAGAATTGAAGAGAGTTAGGGCCTTGCTCTGGATTAGGCTGTGGCTGCAGGGAATGTTGTGGCTGGCTTGATCTTCTATCCAAAGCACTAAATCTCGCTCCATATCAGCAAGGAGCTTGTGTCACTTTCTTAGCAGTTGTGTGTTCACTGGCATAGCACTTTTAATTTCCTTCAAAAACTTTTCCTTTTTATTCACAACTTGGCTAACTGGCACAAGAGGCCCAGCTTTCAGCCTATCTTGGCTTTCACCATGGCTTCCTCACTAAGCTTAATCATTTCTAGCTTTTGATTGAAACTGAAAGATAATGTGACCCTTCTTTTACTTGAACACTTACAGGCTGTGGTTGGGTTTCAATGTTGTTGAAACCCAACATTGTTTTTGTGTCTCAGGGAATGGGGAGGCCCCAGGAGAGGGAGGGAGACCAGAAACGGCCAATCAGTGGAGCAGTCAGAACACACACAACGTTTATCCATTAAGTTCATCATCTTATATGGTGCCGTTCATGGCACCCCACGACAATTCCAAGAATAACATCAAAGATCACTGATCACAGATCACCATGAGAGATATCATAATAATGACAAGGTTTGAAATATTGTGAAAATTACCAAAGCGTGACACAGGACAAAAGCGAGCATGTGCTATTGGGAAAATGGTGCTGATAGACTTGCTTGACACAGGGTTGCCACAAACCTTCAATTTGCAAAAACGCACTCTCTGTGAAGCACGATAAAGTGGGCTACAAGAAAATGAGGTCTGCCTGCCTCTGTGCGCTGTACATGAAAACAAGCCTAATTTTCAAGAGACCTTGGCAGTGGCTGTTTGTTTTTGTGACTGTTGAGGTTTTTTTGTTTTTGAGTTTCATCTTGTTTTTAAATAAAAATAAGGTGCTGGCACTCCTGTCTTGATACTGTAGTCACTGCCTCTTCTCCACCCCCTTTTTCTGTACTCCCTTGGCCCCTCTCTACCAGGCTACTGGAACCCACTCATGTCTTTGTACAAATTAGGGGAATTCTCCCTCTTTTGGCAGTAACACCTTGGTGAGTGGGTGGTGCCTTTGTGCTTCCTGAAGTGGATGCCACCCTATGCCAGAACACAAAGCTTAGCAAACAGAATCTAAGCTGGGTTTTAACTCAACCACCTCAGCGGGCTGCTCTGTGCAGTGAACAACCTGCTCAACTGTGCAGGGCAGCCTGTTTCTCCACCACCTTCTATCTCTATACTAGCAAATATGAAACTCCAAATGTAGGTCAATGAACACTGAAAAACAAGGAAAAAAACATCTCACTGCTTATGGTATACCGTAGTGTGTGCACACTTTATATTTTTGAGTGGAGGGGTCATACAAGTCCGCACAAATATAGGACTTTCTCCTACTAAGTGAGTAGAGATGAAGATATAAATGTATTTGAGTTAGGCAAGTGTCACCCAGAATCACCACCTTCCATGGGCAGTGGAGGGAGGCACTGGAAAAGCACTGAACTGCATGAGCGTTTGCTTTTTACGATATCAAGGACATTGCAAGAATGGTGCTAAAGTCAACATGTTCAAACAGTGTCACATCAGAACCCTGAGTGAGGGAAGGGTGTGTGGAATCACTCAAACGGCTTTAACGCAGCAGCAGATGTAACACATACCAGGAAAACGTGATGTAGCATTTAACTCATTCTCAGCTTTACATTCTCAGCCCTCAAGAAAAATTTTCAGATGAGCCATCTCGCCATTTCCTAATTGAACATTGAGTAGTTATAACAATGGGAACCAGTCATTATCATAAAGGGAACAATTTGGGCATGATGTCCAAAACATAATCTTCCCCCTCTGGTCTAGGTTTAGGCACATAGAGCAAGAAGTGGGAAAGAATAAGAATATAAATATAAAGAGTCAGGACAAGGAGGCCATCTCTCTTCTCTCAGGACAGGGGCTGGCCCTAGTGTCAGGAGGGCCAGGCTGTTGTCACCTTGTCGTGTTGTGCAGGGTTCCAGGTAGGTCATGTATGGCCAGAGTGAGCTGGCCTTTGGTGCTCTAAGTTAACTGCAACATCTCATTGACCTAGCTGTATGTGTCCAAAGTGAGTTGGAGGCACTCTGCTCCACACAGTCATGCAAGGATCAAGGAAATGTGCACTTCAGTGTCCTGACCGCATCATCTAACTTGAGGCATCCAGAGTTGTAAAGGCAGGGAAAGAAAAAGGACATGGAGAACCACATCCACTCTTAAGAGCTTTGGACCAAAGGGTGCTATGGGGTCACTTTTGCTCCCAGACCATTGGTCAGTACTAAGCTGATGTCCTCAACCTAACGACAAAGGAGGCTGGGAAACAGGCAGGTGCAGATGGAATGTCTGGGGAGCACACTCCATGCCACAGTCCTCTTCACCAAATACTTGTCCTTGTGTGCCGATGCCTGCGTTTCCATCGTGGACTAGCTACTCCTTGGGATTAGTGCCTCCCCTGCCCACTCAGTGACTCTCTCTAAAATGCAGTGACTTGGGGAGGGATAGATCTCAGCTCTGTGGGTTTGGATGGCTGGCTCACCCTCTCAATACCTCCCTAGGACTGTCCTGTACTAGTCCCAGGACTCACCTCACCGGATTTTGTGAGCGGCAAGTGAGGTGACCTGTGAAGTGCCTGGCACAGCGCATCCTGCTCCTGAGCACCTGGCAGATGCACACGATTGTTGTTATTGGTGCCCCTTTGATGGAGGCAAGCGTATTGCATCCCTGGTCTCTCAGCACCCTGAGGCCAAGGCTTGGTGGAGCCCAGAAAGAGATGAAGACAGAGGCCAGGCAAAGCCCCAGACAAGGGAGGGCCCTGCAGCTTGTCTCCACTACAGATGTGCTCCTGGGGCCACTGAAGAAGCTGGGAAAGGGAGGGCTCCATCCTTAGCTTTTCCCCAAATATTATAATCGAACACCTGCCTTGGCTCTCCGCTGAAAACAACACGATGTTTGATTTGATGCAAGATTATGTGTCCAGTCATTTTCAGTTTTATGTTCCTGTATTTCCCAGCCTCATAAAAAGTTCTTTAGCTTCCACTTTGAGAAGTTCAGCTCTAGACCTTATGGGTCTGCTCTATGGGAACCAGATTCCCTCGCATGAGAAGTCAGCCAAGCAGTAATACTAGCAGCAACAGTAACGGCTCCGTGCTAATGAGTGCGTGAGTGCTCTCCATGGTCTCAGCACCTTACTGGGCACGTGCAATGCAGAGCACCCAAGGGAACCCTGAGATGGCATGACCTGCAGTGGGCAAGGAGGATCCCCGTTGGCTCCTGCCTCCGTAAGAACGGTCACTGCCTTTGACTGAGCATTTATTCTGTGCCGGGCTTGTTACGTGTCTAAGTTCAACAGTCCTCTGAGGCAGATTAATTCCCCCATCTAGCATAGAGGAAACCAAGGCACAGCAGGTAAGGAGCGGTGGCAGGCTGCGTGGTGTCTCCCTCTGGCCTGCTGGTTCCAGAGCCCTGAGGGTGGCATCAGGCTGCTGCAGAGCCTCAGATCTCCAGGAGAGAGGAGGAGGGAGCCGGGACTTACAGGGAACTGAAACAACCAAAGGATAGCACATACGAGTTCATTATTTGCTATGTCTGCAGTTGGAAAATCACAGCCAGCCCTGGCAGACACTTACTGAGTGCTCACTGTACACCAGGCGGGATCCCAGTGCCCATGGGCACTCTCTCATGTGATTGTCACTGCAGGCTTTCAAGTTAATTCTATTATCTGCAGGTTTCAGATGAGGAAACCAAGGCCCAGAGAGGAAAAGGCACAGCAGGCATGACACCAGTGCCATCGGTGTTTGCTTCACCCTTGCAGATTACGAGGCAAGTTCACATGCATGTCGTCGGTGCTGGGGGACAGCGTCTCCCTGGGGACACACACATGCAGTCTGGCCAGGCCTAAACCAAGTCAGGATTATGTTGCTGGTGATGTAAACCAGCCAAGGTCGCGGAGAGCAATGCCACACAGCAAATAAGAGCTCACACAGCCCCACACACCCTGGCCAGCCCGGATAGCTTCCCTTCCCTGACCTCAGTCCTCTCCCCCGTAAAACGGTGTTAAGACCAGTAGCCACCTGGTGGGGTGCATTATGAGAGTGACTGAAGATAACCCACATACAATGGTGAGTATTGGCTGTCCTGGGTAGAACAGTGTACTCCCACATTAATGTCCTGGGAATATGTGAACGGAACCTTATTTGGAAATAGGGCCATACAGATGTGATCAGAGGAGGTCACACAGAATTAAGGGGGGCCCAAATCTAATGTAACTGGTGTCCTTATAAGCAAAGGGAAATTTGGGTACAGACACAGGGCAGAAGGCCGTGTGACAGCAAAGACAGAGATTGGAGTGAGGGGTTGCCAGCCTTCACAAAAAGCCAGGAAGAGGCGAGAAGGGTCTCCCCTGCAGCCTTCAGAGAGAGCCCAGCTGACACCTTGATTTTGGCCTTCTAGCCTCCAGGACTCGGAGAATAGACTTCTGTCGTGTGAACCTCTCAGTGTGTGCTACTGTTACGGCCGCCCTCAGAAACTCCTACACTGAGACCTAGTAGGAACTCAATCAACATTGGGTGTTATTATTATTTGAGACAGGAAGAGACATTACACCAATGCCTGGGAAATGTGACTTCCAGAACACGAACTGCAACGGAAGTGCTAGAGTGTGCACTAAGCTGGCTACAGCTAAAGGGCAGAACACTGAAGGGATTAGGAGAAACACGAATATGGGAGACACTTCCCTTCTAGGGTCTTTGTCCAGCTTTTCTTCCCGGGAATTTGGAAACTCACCGTTTATCAATTGTGTGCTTACAGTAGTGACAGTGTGTCTGCTTCCCACACAGACAAAAATATGGCAGGGATGGACATTCCCGAGTCCTGGAAACCAGGGACAGTCAGGGGTGGGTGGATTCCTCCCAACCTTCCAAGCTCTCTGTGGGGGAGGGGGATACTGCTGCCAGCTGCCCCTCCCCTCGGGCTGCCAGTTGCCTGGCCTGCCTGGGGGACTGTGTGTGCGCGCATAGCCTCCTGCACCCGCCCCCCCTGCTGAGGCCAGGGAGCCGGAAGGGCACAGACAGGCTTTGGAATGCAGGGCTGTGCAGCACACTTTAGTGGGAGTCAGGTTTTCTGCCTGAGGCAGAGGGAATTCTAACACACGCTAGAGCAGAAAGACAGAAATTGCCTTTTAGACGCGGCTGCCATCAGCAATATTTAGCAGGCAGGCTCTGCAGGGCCGTTTAACCTTCTGTAACCTTACAGTTAAGTGCTGGCTCGCTGGCTGGCTCGCTCTCTCTCTCTCTCTCTCTCTCTCTCTCTCTCTCTCTCACACACACACACACACACACACACATTCCTCTGTGCAGATATATCCGTGGTTCTGCTTAATATTTTACCACAGTGGTTTTATTTCAAGGGGAGCTCTACAGGCTGACATTTCTTCTTCTATGTGTGCCCAATATTTTACATGTACACACACGCAGAAACTTGCATATTCATATCTTCCAGGAATCGACACTTAAAGAGGGAGGAACCTGAGAGCTTCTTGCTCATCAGAGCAATGCCAAATGTACAGTTGGAGCTTGGCAAATAATTAATAGTAATGAAAATTGACATTGCAAAAATTAAAGTGAGAGGGCTGACAGAAAGGAATTGGTTTGGTTGTCAAACCACAAGCCTAAAGGGAAACAGATTGCTTTGGAGAATCTTTTAATTAATTTTTGAGTTTCCCTGTTTCTTCTCTGCTGCGTGAGCAGAGTTCCTTCCTCGGCCATCAGGATGCTCTACAGAAGGGGACAGGTCGGAGAAGGATGGATGGTGTTAGGGATGCTCCCATCTTGGAAGCCTCTGGAATTCCCCAGTCCCCAGTAAGGAGAGCTCAAGGTGGGGGTGACACAGCCCAAAGAGGGGTTCGTTTTGTAAATTTACTTTTATTACCGATGAATAAACCAAGAGGTCTAGCTCATTCATAGCTAAAATAAAAATGGATCTCTACAGTCTGACCAAGTTCAGCCACTGAGCTGCAGCATTAACTTGTATTCTAACAAGATTAAAATATATTTGTCCTGGGGATTAGCATACTTAAGTCCCCTTTTGCCTTTTTAGCGGTGGCAGGGCACTTTGATCTGCCTTGCGTGGCAAGAGCGCGGCTTGGGCCCAGCGATCCGACTGCCGAGTGTGAAATCAGCCTGATGTCATCCCATTCTTCAGCTTTTACATCTTTCCCCAGTTTAATTATATTTCCGCCACAAAGCTCCCGCGTCTCATTGCATATTCAAGTTTGACTAGGAAGCATTTAAAAAACAGTGTGGATGAAATACCCTTGTGGGGGGAAGGGATGGGGTGGGTTGGCTGGGGGGGGCTGCAAATCTTCATGGAGCGAAAGCAGCGAGCCCCAACACCCGCATCACCCCATGGATGGCCTCACCTGCGTGGAAATGTGTCCAACTTCCGCCTGCCCCACCCGCTAGGCGCCCAGCTCCCCCCGACGGCGCCAGGCACAAAGGCCATTGTCACGCCGGGCGTTTAGGTATGGGGGCTGTTTTGCCTTGTGACTCCAGCGGGTTTGTATGACATTCTTCCTCTGACGTGCTGTTTTTGTTTCCTTGGGGCTCTGAATCCACAGGGCGCGTTCCCGTCTCTACATATAAAAGATGTTTTTCTCTCTGCGAGTGATGAGTCACTGGTGGAATCGCCTACTCTGAGGCAGTATGCAGTCACTAAAATAAATTCTAAGGCTCACTGAGTTCCCAGGGGCAATGGGCCCGGCTGGTCTTTGATCACCTTTAAAAGAATCAGAACATTTAACTCTCCATCCAGACCTGATGTTCTGGCCTTCATTCAGAAAGGAAGGCCCGTCATGGCAATAGGCCTAGAGTGGCCCCGGAGTAGCACCTGCTAAAGCTACCTCACCTGAGGGGGCCACCAAAAGCCTCTTCCTTTATAGCTTAGTGGGTGGGGGTGGGGGACACTACGACAGAGAGTTGCAGGTACAAATTGATTACCAGTCCTGGTCCTGCTAGATGTAGTGGCCACTCCCATCCAAGGGCACTAATATTTGGGACAGGAAGTGAGCCACCTGTAGAGGTGGTTGGGGCTTTGACCTTCACCCCAGCTCCTGGCCACAGACTCCATTCATACCTGATGAGAGACCAGAGCATCCTGCCTGGGGCTCCTGGAGTCAGGGACCCTAGGACATTACTTCCACATACAAGCTGGGCAGCACAGAAATGCAGATTGGCTACTCCAGTGGATGAGGGCAGGTTGATGCTGGGAAATGCTCTCCGCAGACAGCCCCTTTCCTCTGGGAGTTTCCAGTGTTTTCACTTTTTCGGAGGGAGGACTTGCAGGTAGGGGACGGACGATGGATGGCTGAGTGATGCGCGTTCTCTGCCACTTGAGGGAAAGGAGAAGATGGCTCTGCTGGGTCCTTCAAAAGGTTCAGATTTGTGACTGTTTTTATTTTGAATAATCACTCCTGTTAAAGTTGGAGGTTAGCAACACATTGGTTCTTAAATTGAATGATATAATTATAAAATTATCTCCATGTAATTAACTCAGGATTATGTTTCATTCTATTTAGCATGTAATCAAAGCCTGTTATGCTTTTAGCTATAGGAACAGCAATTAATTTAAAAGGGTTACTGAGACTCTTCGCTATTTAGACAAAATAGATCGTCCCACCATTAGGACGCCCACTCGTTCTTGGAGGAAGAGCTGGGTTGGGGTGGCAAGGTGCGTGGGGCGTGCACTGACCGACACACAGGCAAGGCTGGCTTTGCCCGTTGCCCTCTTGCCTAGTTTGGTGCCTGGAGATGGGAAGCACTCCTGTCTGTGCTTTGAGCCAGATCCTTCTCATCATGATGGGATTCTGCTTAGCGTGGCCATTATAACTTGCAATGGAAAAGAGAGTGGTGTGTAAAGTACTGGGTGTCTATAGAAACCCATGGCAGAACACCTTGCTTATTTGGGGGTCAAGACAAGTGTGGAGAAAAAAATCTTGAAATGAAGATTTTGCGTGTTTGAGCCCTGCAACAAACAAGCACTCACACAGCAGTTTCCAAAGAGCAGGAAGGTTCTGTTCCTGGAAGTGCTGGCCAGCATCCTCCAGCATCCTGGGCTTCATGGGCAGAATCCTGTCCCACTCTCCCGCACCTCCTGCCACCGTCCCACTTTTTTCTCACGGTGTGGACACTGCCTCTCGCGTGCATTACATCCTTTCCCCTACTCCTAAGCAGCAGCGTGGATGCCTCATTGGCTGGGAAAAGCAAGAAGGTGTAAGGGCCCTACTGAAAACCGCACCTGGGCTGTGGAGGGTGCCACTGCTGGGGGGTGCAGAGGCTCACCTGGGAGAGTTTCGCCTCCCCATCCCCTCTCTGTTCTATGCCAGGTGCTGCGTTCATCACCTCCCAAAACAATCTCACCAGAAACTCATTAGGTAGATGAACTTTCTGAGAAAGAGGAGAATGGCTGGACTCTGGAGGACTTAGTGAACAGTCAAGCTGTGATTTGAACACAGGGCTGTGTCATTTCAAAATTCTATGCTTTCCACCGAACCACACTTCTTTCAGTGCTAAGTGATGCTACAGAAGTATTTGCATGAAAAACACAGAACCCAAACTGTCCTAAGCCTGTGTGCCACAGCAAATCCCTGGGCATCTGAAGAGCTCAACCTAAAGCTTTCTTTGCAGGCAGGCTCCTGTCTTTCCACCATTCATTTGGGTGACTGGGAGTTTCTCAACTTTCACGAGCATTAGAAGGCATGGTGAGGCTGACCGTGGCAGCCTCTGTGTTATAATGGACATGACTTACTGGGGAACCTTACTTGCAGTCACATAGTAAGAGCTTTGTATGAGGCACTCAGAACAGTCAGTTATAGAGAAGGAATGTGGAATGGTGGGTGGCAGGGGCTGGGTGGGGAGATGGGGACGTAGTGTTCATGGGTACAGAGCTTCAGTTTTACAATATAAAACGAGTTCTGGAAATGCATGGTGGCGATGTTGCACAGCACTGTGGGTTTATTTAATGCCACTGAAGTGTACACTTAAAATGGTTAAGAGGGCAAATTTTGTCATGTGTATTTTACAACGAAAACGTTGGGAGAAAATATACTAATAGTACTTGCCTTGGCGAGCGTAGAATTCTGCAAACGGCTGGTGATTCTGCCATTTCCCTGACTGCCTGAATCGAAATAAATACTAGTTTTAAGAATTCGCATGTTGTTGTTGCTGTTGGAGAATAAAACCCTCTCAGAAAAACCTCGGGACAAAGTTTTGGCCTAAAGGAAAAACTCAGATGCAACATCCCACGGCCACTGAATGAAACTGAGCGCGCGGGTCAGGGACGTCCTAGGCAGGCTGGGCGGACTCGGCCAGGCTGCCGCGGGGAGGGGCACCGACGGGAACGGGCAGCGGCTCCTCGCAGCGCGCTTGGCAGCGGAGCCTGTGATTACCCATCCAGAGAGGGAAGAAAAGAGAAGGGAAGAAAGGAAAGTTAGTTGGAGGGGGTAGAGGCTGGGGAAAGGAGGGGGGCACACGGCGACGACAGAGCCTGCCAGTCCCCTTCCAGACAAAGGACTTGGCGGGAGGGGGGAACCCCGAATGCGTTCGCTGAAAGGAGGGAGGCGGCTCCTTCCGCGCAGGCAGCGCGCGCCCGGACCGCGCGGCCAAGTTTCACATCTCGACAGATGGGGTCGAGCGGCTGGCCGCCCGGTTTCTTCCAGACGGTTGGTGCAAACAGTGATCCTCACCATTCCTCGACCCCACAGAGGACTCTCGGCTGGGACAGGGTCCTTCCCGCCTGCGTCTCCCACCCAACCCCTCTGCGGCGGAGAAAGCGCCGCAGGCCCGGCAGCCCCTCAGGGCTACCGGGTCCCGGCTCTTCTTCCCTCCTGGGTCTCCGTGGAGGCTGGGGGTGGGGCCTCTCTGGGACGCCTTCCAGGCTGAGGGGGTGAAAAGGCGGCCCAGGAGGCAGATCTCGGCGACTCTTTGTTTCTGCTTCGGGCATTGCGCGGGGCTCAGCCCTGGAGGGGGCGGAACAGCCAACGGGGCGGGGCCCGGGCTCAGGACCCGGAGTTCCCCCTCCTAGAAAGCCGGGTCGGGCGTCCCCAGGGGACACAGAGGGCCCCAAGGGTCTGGAGAAAGTCCTGCCCTCGGCCTGGAAGAGTTTGCCCGGGGCTGGGGCTGGGGCTGGGGCTGGGGCTGGAGAAGGGCAGAGGGCCTGGGCCGCGCCTGGTCTCCGGGACTTCGGAGTCGTTCCGGGGAACCCCATCCCTCAAAGTGGGGCTCCCCGAGTCTCTCTGAGGAAACTGGGCCTGGACTGAAGAGCTGGCCGGCTGCTATCACGAGGCCACTAACAACAGCAGTAATAATAACCGTCATCGCCAGCCTTTCCAGCGAGAGCCGAGAGCGCGGGCGCACCACGCTTGATTAAATCACATAATTAGGAGGCGCTTTAATGAATATTATTACATTTCAGGCGATTTCAAGAATGGCCTTTTATTTTCTCTGGGCAGGCAGCATAAATATAATGAAGTGTTTGAGATTATTAATAAAAACATGAATGGTCTACTTGGGGTTCGCGCCGCGCGGCAATGCGGCCACCAGCATCGCTCACAAATCTGTGCAACAGAGCTGCCAGCGCCAGGCCTGCCCGACCCAGGGTCCGGGGGACCCCACTCTCCGTCCCGCCGGCGGCTTCCCTTCCCCACCACCCACGTCCGCTCCCTACTTGGAGGCCTGGAGAGGGCCTAGCTCTCCGCCGAATGGGGCCGCGATGCCCGGAAGAGGGGTCCCCGCCCGGAGGCCCGGCGCCGGGGCAGCAGTGTGTGCAGGGGCGCGTCGGGAAGGGGGGACCCATCTCCCCGGAGGCTGATTTCTGCCTCACCCGGCGAATCCCCGCTTTAGGAATTGCACCTTGGCCCTTTGTCGTCAGTCGCTATTAACCTCCCAGCGCGCGGCGGCTCAGCCTGGCAGGCTGCAGTTTTCGGCGGAGCCGGGACCCTCCCGGGGGCGCTTCGGGAGCCGCCGAGGCGAGCGGAGACCGCAGAGGGCGGATATTAAACCAGCGGGAGACAGAATGACTTCTAGCAGAACCCCAGCGAACAAACGCTGCCTCCCGGCCGGCTCCGCGGCGGCAGGCATATTTGCATATAGAGTGTCTGGGCGTGTGTTGCGCGCACTGGACGCCCGGGCGCACCTGTGTCCAGCGGTGTAGGAGCCCCCATCGATTTGACCTTTTCACTCTAGGAAAACAGAAATGCTGGCGCCCTCTTGGTGGTCAGGCTGGGGTCATTCACATGGCTCCTTCCCTCCGCTCCTTAGGAGAAAGGCAGGGCGGGTCGGCATTGCTGCTGTCGGCGGGTGTAGACCCTGGGATTCTGACTCCAGCCCCCACTCATCCAGCCCCGTTGGCAGAGCTGGGTGCAGCGGAGAAGGAGGGCTCTCAGCGCCAAGGAGCCCCGCCAGGCCCTCTCTGTCCCGCACTCTCGCGGGGGCGCCTGCTTGGGCAGGCCTGCAGGGCGGCGGGTCCTCCGAGGCCAGGACTCCCAGACCCTCGCGGAGTCTCTGCCCGGCTATGGAGCAGTGTGGAGTAAGCTCAGCCTGGGCCCGGCGGGGACACAGCTAGGCCTCGGGCGCGGGGGTCGTTCAGCTCGAAGGAGCAAGGACTTTATAAATGAGCTTTCCTCTTCTGCACACTTAGGGAACCCTCCTCCTGTGGGGTAACAGTCTGGCCGGGGGCCCAGTCGTGGGGCGGTGTCTGCAGTCCGGGTCCAGATCCGCGGCACGCAGAGCCCGGGAGGCCCGAGAGGAACCAGCGGGCAGAGGACTTGGGAAAGGCGCACCGACTTCCCTGCAGGCCTGACTCCGGTCTCCATGGCGAAAGCAGGCAGGTGGCACAGCCGCGGCTCTCCATGAGGGAGCAGCTTAGATTATATGCTGTTGGATTAAAATGTAATAAACATAGGAGTAAAAAAAAAAAAAAAAACTCAGCGTTTCAAGGGTCTGAGGACTCATCCAGTTCCAAAGAGAAAGAACACTCTCCATGCCACTGTAAGCCTAGCGTCTGCTTGAACACCTCTGAGGACGGGGAACTCATTACCTTACAAAGCTGTGCCTTGCCCCTTTTCAGTGTTATACTTTGAAAACAGATTTTTAAAAAAATGATCGCTTCATGTTACCGTATTTTTATTAAAATAAGAGAGAGGCCAATACGGCAATAGAAGTTGTGCCAGTATTTTTTGTTTGGTTTTTAATCTACGAACTTTCTGAACTGTTCAGAAGTCGGGGTTCGCGGGGAATGCGTGGTCTCGCGCCATCAGCGATGACCCTGGGGCGCAGCTCGGGCCCAGGCAACGAGAACTCGGGAGTCTCCGCGGTGAGACCCCAGCTCTCTCCTTCCAGGGTTCTGAAAATCCCGAGGGGCAGCCCCCAGACCGCTTCCTGGCAGGGCAGAGGCCCAGCCCAGAGGCCCCGCTTCCGCCTGGGAACGCCAACGGCCCAGCTGCCTGGGGAAACAGAAAACGCCTAAAAAGTCGTCTTCGGTAACAGATCACCAGTCTCTGAGTTTCTTTTACAGGGAGAAGAAAAAAAATTTTTAAGCCATGAAAGTTTGGAAAAACAGCAATTCAACGCGTAGATCACTCGCTCAAAGACCCCAAACACTTCCTGATGAGCGGAATCCAGAGGCGCGGTCAGCACAGGCGAAGCTGATCCCTCCCCCAATCCTGCTTAGGAAGTTGTACAAAGTCTTTTGTTTTGGGGGGGAAACAACAAAAGGTAAACAAAAATGACACTTTGAAAAGGAGAGTCTCTTTGTCTCAGTGGAGTAAAAAGTTCCTGTCCCCAGGGGAAAGCGCCTCGGTCCAGCACGGGTGGCAGGGCCAGTGAGCACCCAGCCGGAGGGAGACCTGTTGAACTTCGCAAAATTTAAAAAAATGTAGTCACTGGAATAGCACCGTAGTTTTGAACACTTCCTCCTGGTAACAAAATGTGTACTTCTTTTGGTTATTCTGTGCTCACATGTGACATATCCAAACTGTCTTATTTAAAAAAAAATAATAATCACCTCTCGCTACAAAGGCACCTGGCACCTGCTCCCAGGCGGGGCGAAGGCCATGAGCACCTGAGTACTGGGGAGGATGCCCAGGCAGTTCCTCTGGACTCAGACATGCTTAGAAAACTCATCATTCCACCTGGGACCTTCAGTATTTTATAATAAAGAGATTTTGTTTTATTTAATGTAACCTTCAAGAATTTCAACACACAAAAATGCGGGGGTGGGGGTGTTCACAATTTTGATAAGCACAGTTGTAAATAGAAACATTCATTCATTTCTCATAAGATTATAAATATTTGATACTGGAACTGTAAAATGCACATGTTTTATAAACTAAAACAACAAAGAAAACAAAAAACAGAAACCAACTTTGCTTCCTGCTAAAAAGGCATGTCATTTCATTGAGTTTCCTAAGCAGCAGATGGTTATTCAGACTTTTAAATTACAACTTTTGTTTTTATACTTTCCTTTTTAAAAAGGTTTACACTATTATGTACAACGTAAAACTATTACTGCAATGAAATAAAGAGGTTTAAGGCAAAGAGCGAAGTTCACCCTCAGTCCTCAGGGAGACCAGCGGGACTCCCAGCTCAGCCGTGTGCACACCCCTGGGTCAGCCGTGGGCACACCCCCTGGGCTGTCCCAGCCACAGATGGACAGTTGGATTGGTCTTTCCCCATACACTAAACAGAAGACAGTGTGGCGTTATATATAGATAATGTGTTTGTTTATATACATATATAGGTACTTGGTGGGAAATATATTGAATATATTTAATTTACACTGTACCACACCTTCAAAAATAAAATGTATATTTTAAAAAACAAGAAAAGACAAAAAGTGATGATAAGAAATGATTATTTACACACTTTCTTCCTTCTTCTAGATCCTGGAGGATTCTGAGTTCTTTTGAAAGACAAGGTAGCCACATGTTTCAGAACTGTGGACTCAAACACGCCTGGTGTGTGTGTGTGTGTGTGTGTGTTCACATGCATGCAGACATATGTGTAAACACACATATTTATCTTGGAAGAATGTTCTCTATAGCAGAAGCAGCCACTCCAAGAAAAGAAAAAAATAAAGGAAAAAAAGAAAAAAATAGGGAAGAAAAGAAAAAGGAAAGGAAGATAGATGATGCCATCTCCCTCTACAGAGCCTTCTGCCCGCCCAGAAACAGTGAGCCATGGCCTCATTTCTGGGACCCTGGCTGGCACCCATGATGGCTGGTGGAGTCACAGGAAATTCCTGGGGCCAAGCCAAAAGGAGGGTCGCCCCACCGCTCTTGGGCTTTAGGCCACACACCCCAGGCCTTTAGCCCCAGAACCTCGAAGCGCTTCTGCATGGAGGCAGTGCCCAGGGCAGGAGGGTTAGGCCTGCGGCAGGACTGCGGTGGGACTGGGGACAGCGACACAGACCACAGACGCAGACGATGTATGCACACGGTTGGGCCCTTGGTGAGGAGGAGGAGGAAAGAGAAGGAGGAGGAGGAAGGAAGGAGGAGGAGGAGAAGAAAAAGAAGAAGAAAGGAGGAGCAGGAGGAAGGAGGAAGGAGGAAGAGGAGGAAAAAGGAGAAGGAGGAGGGAGTTAGGTGCAGGAGGGTGAGGAGAGGGAGCCGGGTGAGGCTGCGGGCCTGGGCGGCTGCTGGTGAGCATGGAGCCGACTTCCCAGAGCAGGCCTGGGGTACGCTGGGCTGCTTCCCAGGGCCAAATCCCAGAACTGGCCCAAGGACCCTGGAAGTCCCCTCTCTCCCACCAGGTCCCCTAAGCTCCCCAAGGCCTTGAGGTGGCTGGTCCAGGCTTGAGGTGTGGGCCCCTCCTGCTGTCCTCACCAAGCCAACACAAACAAAGTGGCAGAAGTCATAGACCAAATAGGAGCTATTTATTCGGTTCACAGTTGTGTGAAATGCAGCAATAAAAAATCTTTGGACTTCAGCAAGTTGTTTTAATTTTTTCTTCTTTTGGAATAATAAAAAAGTGTCCAATGTCATATAATGGAGCTTAGGGGATTAAAAAAAGGTGAAACCCTAAGCAGCCCCCTTCGCAAAAAAGAAAAAAACCCATAAAATTAGCATAATCTCATAAACACAAAAAACTCAAAAAAATATTTTATAGTCAGATATTTTGGATTTTATACCACCTGTAAATGATATATACATAGAATATTTCAGAACCTTAGCTAATACACAATATTTTCACTATTAATGCTGGTATAATCTTTATACACTGGCCCTTTATGATTTTAAATTATTGCATTGTTTAGCGCGGACTGAGACCTGGCCTCCATGCCCCCCGCCCTACTCGCTGTCCGACTTGCCCTCCTTGGCTGTGGTGGAGTGGTTGTACAAGCCCTGTGCCATGAGGTGCACGGCCAGCGTGTTCTTGTTGCCCGTGGCCTTCTTGATCTTGGCGCGCTTGTTCTGGAACCAAATCTTGATCTGTGACTCGTTGAGGCTCAGCTCCTGCGCCAGGCTCTGGCGCCGCTGCTCCGTCAGGTACCTGTTGGTCTGGAACTCGGCCTTGAGCCTCTGCAGCTGCTCGGCGGTAAAGGCCGTGCGCGGCCGCTTGTCCTCTTTGTTCGGGTTCTTCTTCTTTGGTTTTCGAGACCTGGGACCTGGGTAGATACGGTGGACAGAGAGAAGTCAGGTTACCCAGAGGTGTGCCACCCAATAGGCACCGGGTAAGGATTCTGGGGCCCCAAGAGGGAAGTGACTCGCCCAAGGCCACTCGAGGCTGAACCGCCAGATGTGGGGCTAGACTTCGGACTGGGCATGGGCTCAACGCGGACCTCCACCACTTGGTGAGGGAGGACTGCGTGTGATGTAAGTGGGACTATGGGGCAGGCCTAGTGGGCAGGCTGACCACAAATGAGGGGTCTCTAGATAAAAGTAAAACTCCTGGATGTAAGCAAAACTCCCCACACTTTCTGGCCTGGTTTTTCCTAGTCCTTTCTGAGGCTCTCTGTTCAGGAACAGGGATGGCGGTAGGTGCTGAGAGAGAGGGGAGGAGAGAAGACTGGGAAAGGCTGCAGGGCGGTCACAGAAGCAGGAGGCGCCCTGAGGGCTATGATGGGGACCCTCATGGGGATACCCCACAGGGTGCCAAGGGCTGTGGGAATCAGGGGCAGGTGGGCCCTGAGGACAGGAGGGGCCCAGAGTGTCTGCCTCCACCCAAGCTCCTCTATGACTCCCAGCCAAGGGCTCTGTGGACCCAAGTTCATTCCTTTAAGGAAGAGTCAGTGCATGTACTTCCCTCCTTGGTGGGGAGGGGCACTGAGCTACTCACAGTGGGTGAGTCCTTCACCCACTGGAAATCTCCCAGGTTTCCTGTCCAGGAGAGGGGACCTGGCTCTACAAGGGTGTTGACTGCACCACCCTTTCCCCAGACATGGGACTGCTTCACTGTGGGCAGCAGGGTAGCCCAGCTGACCTTGTCCAGGTCCACTTCTGACCCTCCCCACTGTGCCTCCCAACTGGGATTCAGACTTATGAACCTGACCTGGCCTTCTCCCTGTGGACCTGCCCCAGGTTTTGGACAGGGTCGCTGTAAGGCTTCTAGGACCTGCTATCCATGGGGAAAGGGCAGAGGGAGGAGAGCAGAAGGAGGGAAGTGTCATCAGTTTCTTTTTGGTGATAAGAGGCTCAACCCCCTGGCGTTCCCTGTGGGGGAAGAAGGGGGCAAGGCCACTGGCAGGGAGTGGTGACCTCGCCTCTGGGTTTCAATTTGTGCGGTGTATGAATCGGCTTTAGGGAGCATCTGGCCCCAGCTTCATCACAGGTCCCTGTGGCTGGAGAAGGCTGGGGGCCCCCCACCCTTCAGGGCCGGAGAGCTGCCGGGCACACTGAGGAGAAGAGGAATGTGGATCTCCTTGGAGGCCCTGGGACTGCACCCTGCCCAGGTCAGGAGAGTCAACTAGGGTGCTGGGGCTGTGCCCAGCAAGAGGTGGGGGACGAACTGGAGGCCCAGGGTGAATGCCAAGCACTCCCTCATGGCCAAGTGAGTCTTGTGCTCTCTCCAGGAGACAGGCCTGGAGAAAGAGGATCTGTGGGCACCACCTCAGGAGCACCAAGGGCAGCTTTTAAAGCAACCCATAGGCAGGCTCACCACCCATGAGAGCACACACCCTATACTTGGGCACCCACCCCATGCACACGTACACACTCAGTGCCTGTCTTGCTCACGCCCAGGGCTCCAGGCCAGTGGGCCTGGCTTTGGTAGGGGTAGGTGCAGATTTGGAGATGGGGTTGGCCCTCCGGAACGGTGGTGGGGGATGGGGCACAAGGCTCCAGGAGAGGCCCCAGCCTCCTGCTCCCAGAGCCCATCTCTGTCTGGGTTTCCAACCACTCCCTTCCCCAGAACTCTACCCCCAAACTCTTCTGGTCCTGGGGCTCTTGTTAATGCACTCATGAAGCAGCCCGCAAAAGGACACCATTTTATGGCAATAAATTTCCCTAAAATAATAATTTTTAGGTTTTTTTCTTGATTTTCTTTCAAAAGACAAATACTTAGGAGTCTCAGAAACAGAATCAAACCTCCCCAAGAAAACTCTCTCTCCCCTTTCTTTCGGAGAAACCAAAGAACAGAAACATTATCTTGCAGGGATATTTTAAAGCCCATGAAGATAGGCGACTTGGGCTGGGCTGAGCTGGGCCGGGCCAGGCCGGGCCGGGCGGTGCTGCCCAGCTCCCGGGCCGTTGGGGGCTGGCTCAGCGAACTCCCGCGCCGCACAAAGCCCGGCCGAGTCTCCTCGCCCGGCATTGTGAGCCTGTATGTTAATTAAATATTAACAAAGGAGGAAGACGAGAACAATGGAGCAAATTTCAGATCTAGCTGAGAAATCTGAATTTCATCAGAAATATGCACGCATAGTTCTGCGGGATGGCGGCCCAAGGGTTGGCTCACTCCTGCTGTGATCTGGGCAAATGACCCCCGCAAAATAGTTGAGGGTTTGGGGGCAGCGGGGATCCGCTGCCAGCTCGGGGTCAAACAGTCCACTTCTAATGGCGGTTCCCAGCCGCAGACCCGCATGGAATGCAGTTGATGATTTCTACAAGGACATGGACTTAGTTTTTTAAAATCGCAGATCTATGAAAAAATATATCCAGCATCTCTGCAGGGCCCCTGCGAATGCTGCCTCTTTCCCATCAGCAGCCCCCAGGAAACCCTGAGAGAAGGTCCTTTCTATTTGGGGATGGCAGGTGCCGGGAGGGACGGCTGCCTCCCTTGTCCTCGCTGTGTGCAGGAAGGGGGCTGAGCCCCACCACTGCGGGCTGGCGCTGGCAAACAAAGTGGAGCCAAGGGGAAAGGGCGCCTTTATTTTCCTCCTTCCCTGTGTGCATCCTCCTGAGTCCCACCGGTCAGCGCAGGCCCGAGGGGCAGAAGGCAGAGCGGCAAAGGGCCTCGCCTTTTCTTCCCCGAGCACAGCCGGGATAACCGGATGGTAGGACAAGTCTGGGGTGGGCTGGGGCATGCGTCCCCGGCCTGGCCTGAGTTGGAAGATCGTAGGGAAGGGGATGAGAGTGTGCACTTCCGGGCCCATCTTCCAGCCACCACGTTCCCACCAAAAAAAACTACAGTGGGGGAGACATGGGCTAGGGGCTGGGAAGAGATGCGCCAAGGCGGGGTGGAAGACAGAGAGGGGAGACAGGGAGAGAGGAAGGAGAGAGAGAGACAGAGAAAGAAAGAAGGTCCCTTCTGCGGTCCTAAGAAGTCTGTACCCCCTAGCGAATCAGTCCTGCCGCTGGACTCCTGGCCGCTGCCCGGGCCGGCGTCAGCTTCACACAATGTCGCGTGAGTCTTTGTGCGTGTGCGCGGGGGAGGTTCGAGATGTTTTCCTCCCGGTAAGTTCCCGCGCCAGCACCGCCCCCCAGCTCCGCGGGCCTCCCCGCGGCGAGCCGGGACGCGTGGTCCCCGCGGGCTCACCTGAAGAAGGCCGGTCCGAGTAGCGCGTACAGTAGACCCACGCCGGCCAGAGCATGGGCTGCGCGCCCAGGTTGGCGCCGGCTTGCGAGCTGTCCGAGTCCGAGCTCACCGACAGGTCGCCGCCGCCCAAGCCGCGGGCCTTGAGCGACCCGTCCAGGGGGCCGCCGGGGTCGCCGCCTTTCTTGGCGCCACCGTGCAGCGAGAGCGTCTTGGAGCCGCCTTCCCCGTCACCCGGAGAGTCGCTGCCGGCGGCTGGGAGCGGCCCGCCCGCGCCGGGCGCACATGGCGGGTTCTGCCGGGGCTCTCGGGAGCCCGAGCCCAAGAGCTGCTCCGAGCCGCCCGCGCCGCCGCCTCCCTCCGCACCGCTCGCGCCGCCTTCGCCGCCGGCTCCGCCGCCCCTTCCTCCTCCCGCGCCCGCACAGCAGGTCCCCGCGTCCTTTCGCCGGCCGAACTCGGGCCGCAGGATGTTGTCGATGAAGAAGTTGGTGATGCGGTGCGGGTGCTGGTGGTTGCCGGGCGCCTGCAGGACCGCGGGCAGCATCAGAGCCCGCCGGCGCCCGGTGTCCGCTTCGCCCGGGCTGCTACCGCCGCCGCCGCCCGAGCCGCCGCCGGGGCTGGATTCCGGCTGCCGCTGTCCCTCCACCGCCGCCGCTGCTTCGCCAGGCTTGGGGTCATTCTCCTCCATGCTGTTCACAGTAAATCCCACACTGGTTCTCCGGGGACGCCCTTCCAAATCAGCCTTCGGCCCTCCCGCGGCGCACACGGAGACCCCCGCGCCCCCACCCCGCCGAGTCTTCCGAGGGCGTGCGCGGCGGCCGCGGCCAGGGCTGAGGTCCTACAAGTCGCCGGCCGCGCTCGGCGCGGAGCCACCTTTGAATCCACGAACTGGGTTAGAAACACCACGAGCCGCCCCGCTCGCCCAGACGATGAGAGATTCAACAGAGCCAAGTCCTCGACTTCGCCGCGCAGCCGGGGTCTAGACAGTCGCAGTGGTCCGGCGGGGACGCGGGCCGCCTCCCGGGCTCCCCGCTCCTCTCCGCGTCCGGCCGCCTCGGGCTCCGGCGCCGCCGCCTGGGCCGCCCGGGGCGAGAGCTGCGCGCATGCAGGCAGCGCGTTCCCCGGCGCTCACGCCCGCCCGGGCCGGCTCCGGCCGCCGCCGCCGCCCGGCCGTCCCCGCCCGCACGCCCTAGCCGGCCCTCGAGGGTGCCGGGCGCCCGCGGTCAGCGCGCCCGCCACCGCCCGCACGCACATGGAGGCCCCCTCCTCGCGGCCGCCGCCCCGCTGCGGGCCGGGGCGCCCCACCGGCGTGCGGCCGCGCCCCCGCCGAGCCCCGCAGAGCTCCGCGGCCCGAGTCGCATGGGTGAGAGACGCGAGGCCAGGGCCCGGCCGGGCCGGGCTGGGCCGCCCGCGCTCCCCGGCCGTCCGCCGCCCTCGCCGCCTCGGCCTCCGCGCGGGCTCGGAAATTTCCAGGCCACTCGGCGCAACCTGAGACACTTTCACTCTGGATTTTTGTTCTTATTTTTAACAGAGCCCCCTCGAGTGACGTCGCAGGCCGGTCTCCTGGACACGTGCCTCGGGCCAATGGCCGCGGCGCCGCGCGCCCACGTGACGCTCCGGCCGCCGCTGGGTGACAGGAGCAGCCCGCCGCCCCTCCTCCCCTTAAAGCGGCCGCGTCCCCCGCTCCGGGTGCGGGAGCCCAGGAACCCGGAGAGACCCCCGACCGCGTCTCCTGCGCTCGCCCGCGCTTTCCCTGTCGCTTCGCGGTTCAGGGGTGTGAGTCACCCGGCGACAGCCCCGCCAGGTCACCCCGGGGCGCGTAGGTGGACACGCACAGGAAGATCGCTATTTTTAAGATTTCCATATTGTTTACCGTGGGGCGAAATCCCACAATTCCTTGCACAAAATGCATAAATAATATTAAATGAGCTGCCGAGATACAAAGGGACTTTTGTGGTCCGCTTTCCTTGCTGATGGAGAGGAATAGTGTCACTCCCATTTGACTCGGTAACCCGGCAGCTTCCTGTCTTAAACGCAGAGCTGGCGCGCAGGACACTCCTCCTGCAGACACTTATTGTAAGTGTGCGTGTGTGTGCGTGTGCAGGGAGGCGCGTGCATACGGCCGCATTCCACCCGGGGACAGCGACCCTCATGAAACATGCTTAGCGATCCGAAAGAGCGGGGGAATGCAGTATGCGGCTCCATTTGCGAAGGGAGAAATCCAGGAGCCTCGGAGGTTCTAAAGGAATCCTTTTTGCCAAGGAGAGGAGGGGTGACTGTTCAGCTAAGACTTCAAAACCAAGTCGCCCGCCCCCCTCTAACTTCTCTACTCTGATTGAGGAGCTCCCAGACCGGTCATCTCGTTTTCTTTGTTTTAAAATCCTTTAAACTAATTTTGCCGGAGAGCAGGGCCCATTTGAAACGAGAATTAGGAATCCAACGGCAAGGGTGGGAGCCCCAGTTGGTTTCTCCCCTCCTCTCTCTTCATCTTTTCTAGACTTTCCTTCCAGCTGTTGTCAGAATGTCCAACTGGAAGTTCTGTTTCCTCTTCTCTTCCCCCTCCTCCCTCGGGCTCCTTCCCATTTGCTCTTGTCTACCCACCAAACACCCGTTGTTACCCCAGGCTCGCCTGTCCATCATTTAAAATGCATTTTTATGGAAATGTGTGAATTCCTGGAAACATCCGATAGGGCAGCTCTGGGGGTGCGGGAGCATTTGCACGCCATGAGTACCCTCAGTGCGGGGGAGGCGGGGAGGCCGCAGCCTGGCACGGACACCCTAGGGCTGATTGGCCCTGGGCAGCTGCACCGTGCTCAGCAACCCAGACCCCCGCAGAGGCAGCCAGCAGGTTGCTGCCAGGCCCTGAGTGAACTTGGGGAGTCTGGCAAGCATCTCCGAGGCAGCGTGGCCTGCCAGGCCACCTGGGGCCTGAAGGTTGCACCCTGGCCTTGCGAAGCTCCTTCCCCAGTGTCCATCCCACGTGCTGTCCTTCCCCTGCAGGCTTCAGAGTGCTGGCTGGGCTGGGATGAGAAACGACAGTTCCCACAGCTGCTCCCAGGAAAATTACCCCCCCACCCAGGACGGGAATGGTGGGGGAGGAGGTGCTGGGCTGGCCTCCTGGCCACTGGACGTGGCTCTGGTCAGAGTGTGCCCTCTGTCCGGTGTGTCTAGGGCAGGGTGGGGAAGCCTCTTCTCGCTGGGGCTGGATTCCTCCACTTTTTCTTCATTGGAGGAGTCCTTACCAAATGTTCTGGCTAGGCACACATCTGCCAGGGGTCCTCCCCGAGTCTCAAAAAATCAAACCCCACAGTCTACCTGCCCCCCGGGAAAATAGGGCTGGTGAGAGTTTGTGGGAAGTCTTATTGACGCTTACTTGGTTTTTTGGGGGGAGAATTTTCTGCAACTCTGGAAACTCTGATGATCACCAGTCAGGAAAGGGAGGGTCCAACGACTCTGGGTCTCCTGAACATGATATTGGGGGGAGGAGGGGCCCTGAGCTCTTTGGTTCCTGCAAAACCATCCCAGGTTAATGGCTCCACCTGTCCCATGAAAGCCAATTAGGCGGCTTCCTGAGAAGTATTTTCTGAATTCTTGGGACTCTTTGCCTCTGACTGCCTCAGTATAAATGGCCCCAAGACGCTGGGCTTCAGCCCTGTGCTTTCCTGCGACCCAGACCCCAATTCGTGGCTGCAACAGAGACTCTGGGAAGCAGAGCGTCACCTCCAGGGCGCCTGGCGGGCCGGTGGGCAGAGACCTGCCCTCGCAGGGTCTGCGGGCTGGGCCCTGGGGTTGGCTGGAGGAAGAGGAATTCGTGGGTCGCTCTCCTGGAAAGGAGGAAGGTGAGAGGTGGAGGGAGGAATAGGAGAAAGAGAAATAAATGAAGAGAGAGATAACTAGAGGGTACCGGGCCCCCCAGAGTGGACCCAAACACGAAACAACTCTGGGAAAGCGGTAAGAGGGGTCACCGTTCAAAGGGCCGGGGAAGCTGGGATGGGGCTGCAGAAAGTTGAGCTGCCCAGGGGCTGGGCGGTGCTGAGTTCTATACACACGGAACTCCGCAAGGTGTTTCAGGAAGCTTCGAGAAGCGCGCATGAGGACCGGCCTCGGCCGCCTGCCCCAGCTGGGACGGCGCCTCGCGCTTTCTGGGGATGCGGGGCAGTGGCGTGTCTCTCCTCTGCGATGCCAGCCCCGGCTGCCGCGCTCCCGCGAGCCCAGAGCCTCCGCTTTCTCCCCCGAACGACCGCCGCCCTCAAGGTCGGCCTTTCTGTGCGGATCAGACGAGCCCTCTCCGGACATTAGTTTCTCCCGGGATGGAAAGTGGGGCACTGACCCGGGAACCCCGTTTTCCCTCTAGCTTCACCCAGGAATCGGAGAGCGCCCGCGACCACCCGCTTGCGGAGGACGGTCCTCCATATTTCTCAGGCTCGCTGCACAAAGAGGGGCCTCGGAGAGGGCGAGCAGGAAAGCAGCTTCCAGACGCCGTGCGCTTCAGGACACGGACGCTAGTTTTGCAAACAAAACCTCAGTGAAGCGCCCCGGAGACACCGGGCGCCCGGATGCCGAGCCAGGCTCCCGTTTTTATCTGAAAACGAGGCCAGAGAAGGGTGACTTTTCCGGCCCCTCTGCGTCCCCTCCACTCGCCTCGCTTCTCTAGCTTGACGTGGTGACACTTGGAAAAATGGACTCAATGAAAGCCGTTCGCTCGCGGCGGTCTCGTTACTCGCGGGGCAGAGACGCCCAACAATCCCTGAGAGCGAGATCTCCACCTCAGCCAAAGCAGGCCTGGCCAGCCCTGCGCCCTCGGCTGGGAGCCGAGCCCCGCAGCCAAGCCCCAGGCGCCGGGCGGGGAATTGGGGCCGATAGGAGAGCAACACCTTCCCCGGGGCGAGCAGAGAGCCACCGTCGGCTCCTGGGGCTGACGTTCCGACCCGGCCTGTAGACAAAGGCCGAAACGAAGGGGCGCGGGGAGCAGGGGTGGGGCGGGCGGGGCCAACGGGCGGACATTGCGTGTCTGCGCTCTCCTCTGGGCGAAGGAGGACCGGCCTACAGGCCCACCGGGCGAGCTCGGGGACGGGGTCTGGGAGGCTGGGTCTAGGGTCTGAGACTTCTTCAGAATAACCCCCGGAAGGAGGGGGTTAAATGCGGCAGCGGCGGGCCTGAAAAGGGCCAGGAGCGTCGTAGGAACTGGGGTGCACAGGCCCTCGCGTGCCCAGCGCTTCGCCTTTCCCCGCCCCAGGCCTGCCAGGGGCGCGCGTGGCGCGGGCAGAGCCTGGTGGGTGGGTTGGCGCGGACAGAAGCTCTGCCGGGGAGCGGGGAGGGGGGGGCAGTCGCATTGCACGTCCTGGTTCTGCCCCGATCGCTGGAGAAGCGCCTGTGCTGAGCCCAAGCTCCCTAGGTGTTGGGGAAGCAGAGTGGGCCAGGAGCCGACTGGGGACCGCCCTTCTGTCCTGACTTGATACTTAGCCCAGGCTCGCCCGGGGAGGGGGGCGGCTGGGGGCAGGTGGGCAGATCTCCAGAGCTGGCGTGTAAAGATGCAGAAACTGTCCCTCACCTGGTTTCTCTGGAAAGCAGCTGCTTCTGAAGGAGAATCTGAAGGATGGCTCTACTTGTGCTAGTAACCCCCACACCTAAACCAGGTCCTCTGTGCCCGCTCCCCCTTCCGGCTCTCCAGCGCCAGGGGAGCCTTATTCTGGGTGACCTGCCTTCCCAAGAATCGCCTTTCCTTGGCAGCTCCCTGCCTGCTCTCTTGTCCTGTTTTACTGCTGTTCTTATTCCTATAAAATTTGGACTCCTGTGGAAGGTGGGCCCACTTCCACTCAAGGCCCACCCCTGAGACTCCCCAGACAGACCTGCACTCTGGAGTCTCCCGGGAGCCCTGGGAGGGGCAGGTTTGGGAGCACAGACTGTTTCACCACCTAATGCCTGGACTCTTATGAAAATGCCCCCTCAAAATCACAGCAACCCAGAAGAAAGTGGCACCTCTCAAATAATCCAGTCAAATAAGTAAAATTAGTTTGGCAAAGGAATTTGAAGAATGGCACCCAAGGCTTGAGCTGGCTAAGCCTACCAAAACAGGAAGGAAAACACAGAAAAGGATAATGAGCCTTGAAGTACACTAGCCACCTTCTCCAGCCTTGCGACCATTCACAGATGGAAGAAATTCTAGTATGTATCCACTGCCTTCCTTTTGACCTTTGGAAAGAAAACAAGATGTTCAAAAGGAACCCCTGAAACACCAGCCCCACCTCACAGAGGCTGACATTTTCTTTTCTTCTATTCTTTCCCCAAAGGCTACAAGTAATCACAGAGAGGCTAGTGTAGCTTAAACTCTTATACAGTGACTTCCCAGCATTTTTGGAAATAGGATTTGCGTAGCTAGAGGTTTACAGAATTTTAGGCAAGTACAATCTAGATTTAACTCAAACCATCTGGATCCAGCCCAGCCAAACTACCTACAGCTTGTTAGATGATAACTCATTAGTCTAGGTTTCACGTGAGGAAGAAAATATCTAAACAACCACTCCCGCTCTTAAATATCACAACTGAATCATGCTTAACCAGGAGAACTCAATTAGTTTATATACTGGCTAAGCTGGGGGAAATATATTTTTAAAAACATATGTTTAAGTTAAAGTCATGAACTGATTTCTTTTTTCATTCATCAAATATAAATAAAGATATATAGTTTTATATAAAAAGGCAACTAAATTGCGAATTAAATTCAAACATTTCCTCTACTTAGTTAAATGATTGATCAGTTCCTCTGAGTTCAACAAAGTTGGCCGTTTCTTTAGCACGAGCATCTTTAATTGACATACATGCTTACATGTATGGTATGGGGGGATCCCTGTACCCAATCAATCCCTGTGTTGAGTATAGAAGCTTGTGTGAAGCGTGGCGACCTTTTACAAGCACAAAGCCTCAGTAGTGACCTTCGTGGACTCACACGCGGAGGGGCACTGTGTCATCTCTGCATCATGGACTCCTGCCTCTAGCCTTGTCCAAGGCCCAAACCACCTTTCCGGGGGATGCCGTCCAGTCTCACTCCCACCAGGGATGGGGACCTGCTGTCCACCTTTGGACGCACTCCCATCCTTTCCCTCTCATCCCAGCACTTCTGGTTCCACTTAAAGAAAAGCTCAGTAGAACAAGATTTCTCAGTTAGGGCACATTATAGAAGTGCTCTGTTTCTCCTCTAAAAAACTCCTCTTTTCCTCTCGGAAACTCACTCAAATATTCCAGCCCTCTCCAGAAAGGCTGTGCTATAGTTTATGTTATGGAGTTGCAGGGTTTTGTGTGTCTCACATCAGTTAATCCCCTAAGACACAACAGCCTCTGTGATGACGGCAAAGTTGAGCAACTCGACACCATTTGGAGCATTAACACAGGCTGGGAGGAAGAAACGGGATACGCGCGAAGATTTCCCACGTTTGGAGCGAATGCCCTAGAATTCCTCGGGATTTACACCTCCCCGTCTACCAGGAAGGAGAAATGCGAGCTGTTCTCATTCACTGCCTGCTTTTAGTTCTCTGTTCGCACTGCCAGGGCTAATTTTGGCCGCGGCGCAACATTTGGGTTACAGATGTTAGGGGGCCGCGCCTAGGGGGAAGCGGGACTCTGAGCTCTGCCAGCCCCGGCCAGAAAGTTTGGTACTAAGGCGCTGGGCACGCTCCCAGGACAAAGTGCGGGTTCCCCAAAAGAGGAAGGTCGGGCGGCACTTAGGGTTTTCTGTCTTGTTTGCAGACACAAGTTCATCTGCACCTCGTGCAAAGCAGCCCTGAAAGCTCAGGCTTGAAGACAAAATGTGGAGCCCAGGCTCCTTCGATTGAAAACCTCTCTACGAGGACACTCTCCGCAGTGGGCGGCCAGAAAGGATTTCGGATCAAGATCCGCAGAGTGGTGAGCATCTCCCAGGGTCCGGGGCTGAACTGACTGCAGGCTGGTAGCCCTTCGGCCCGGAGGAGAATCTCCTTTCTGCAGAAACTACCCCTGGAAAACAAAACCGAGCGAAAAGAAGGGCAATGCGGGTCTGCGCGGAAGGGAGCTCCCTTCCCGGGGAAGGAGGCGCCTCGCGGTGGCACACTCGCCGGCGGGATGTAGGTAGGGGCAGACTAGGGTGAGAAGGGGGACTTGCGGAACACGGGTCTCCCGCGGGTCCGAGGGACAGGGTGCAGGCGCATTCCAGGCACCTAGGGCAGTCCAGTCTGCTCTGCGGAGCGGGAGCCGGCCCCAGGCTCTCCACATCTCCCAGGAATCCAGAAGCTCGACTGCGGGACAGTTGTGTCGATGGGGACCCCCCCAGCTGGATTTTCATTCCACTTGCTCCCTTGATCGAGTGCTCACGCCCGGCAGGAGCTGGCTGTGCGCCGCCCCGGGTGGGTGGAGGTGCGTGGGGCTCGGGCCTTGGCTCGCTTGGGTGTGTCCCAGTCTTTTTCCTCCAGAATTAAAGGCCTCTGCAGGGCGCAGAGCCCCTCTCCCCCTCTCCTAACTCTCCTCCCCACCTCGCCGCGGCCTAAGCTAAGATGAGGTGAGCTTCCAGGGCTGTGTCCCTAGGAGGCCCCGAGCACTTTTCCTCCGAGGGTCGAAGAAATCAGGTCCCCTCTCTTTCCCCAGCGCCCTCTGAGGAAGCCGCGAACCTCTGAGCGAGCGTGGTTTTACTGGGGATTCCTAGCGACCTGCCCTGTGCCCAGCGACGCCCCAAGGGGAGAGGAGCTCTGTGGAGGGGCGGTGTGGGGGTGGGTGTCTACACTACATCCTCTGGCTCGGAGCAGGACCCGGTGATGCGCCCTGGCCGAGCTCCTGTCTCCTAGGAATGCGGGTGCCTCGGGCCCTGTCGGGACCCTTGGTTCGACCGGAGGGCCCGGGAGTGGGAGCCTGGATCCAACAGGCACCCGGATCCAGGAGTCAGACTCCTTGGTTCCGAACGTTTCTTCCGGAGCGAAAGCTTGCTCCCCCTTCCCCCAAGTCCCTCGCGGGCTGGGAGGTGAAGGGAGCGACAGAAGCCGGGCCTCCTCCGCAGCGCCCAACGCCCCGGGCTCTCCGGGTCCCGGGACGTGGCTCGGGTGCGTGGAGGGACGGCTGGGGGCGCAGATTTGTGAATGAACCTCGGAGCTCTTTGCAGCTCACAGATCAGAGGCTGCGATCGCCCCACCGACGTGGTCCAATGAGCCGCCGCAATAAGCTCTGAGCGACGAAACGGAGGCACGGCCTGGACTCTGCGGCACCGCGCTGCGCAGGGCCGGACGGGGGAGGGGCTGAGCCACTGCAGCAACTTCAAAGCCTGTGTCGGGGCTCAGCAATGGGTGGGCTCTCCCCGGGCCGCACGGTTCTCAAGGGCCTCCCCCGACCCCCACCGCCACCCCGTCGGAACGCCCAGAGGCGTTCCCAGCCCAAGTGATGGAGACTCTGACTCCCAGTTGTCTCCGCGCCCTCCGCTTGCGCGTCCTTGGCGTCTCCCCCGGGACCCGGGGGGCGATCACATTCTGAGACCTAATCCGGTTACTTCCGGGCGTGGGTCTCCACCGCCTCCCGGGCTGGCTGGACTCGCTTCCTAAGTAGCTGTCTCATTCACCATTCGCCGCCAGCTCCCCTTTCAAAATTCAAGTCTTCGGCTGCCTCCCTGTCGCTCTCCGCTCTCCGCTCTCCGCTCTCCGTGCGAGGGGAGGGGAGGGGGAGGAAGGAGCGGACACCCATGTGTGCCCGGGAGGGGCCCGCACCGCCTCCCCGCTCCCTCAGCAGAGGCCCTGGGCCCCCTCTTCAGAGGGAAATCGGTGAGCAGACACTAAGTGACGCGAGCCCCGGCCCCTTCCCCGCCGGGGGATCTCCGTGCGTTCCAGAAGCGCACCTGGAAGCAATTCTCCTCGCGTAACCGTCGCCTCCTAAGCATCTCCAGCATCTTCACATCTCCTAAACATCTGCACAATTCTGCGCTGTTTTCTGGAGGACCTCGGAGACGGGGAGGGGACGATGGGGTGCCGTGGGGGCAGGGAAGGAGAGAGGTCAGGGGTTACGCAGGATTACGGCTCGGCTCGGTGACCCTTCTCATCCTCCGTGGCCCAGGGAGGGGATCTGTAGCGAGGGCTCCAGACCTCTTTTGCAAAACCGAACTCTGGGGGAGGGCTTGCGTCCCATGAAGCACGGGGAAGGTCTAAATGACGAACACCCACGAGCGGCCGGGAGCGGAAGATGGCAGGATCGACGGGCCCGGGAGGGAAGATGGGCGTGCGTCTCCAGTGACCATGGCACGAGGCGGCGTCCTGCTCCGCACCACGCTACAACCCAACCAGGCCTCCGCCCCTCCGCGCTTGAACAGGGCGGGTCCACCCGGGCGGCGAGCTCGAGCTCAGCGCAGCCTCAGCCCGGCGCCTCCCTCCCGCTTGCTGGGGAAGAGGTGGGAAACCCTCTCCGCCGCGCCCTGGCTCCCACCGCAGGCCTCCGAGAATAAACTCTCTCAGGGAGACTGAACTGTCCCCACCCTCTGTCCCAGCCTCAAGAGGGACTTCCTGAAAATATGGCAGCCAAGAATAGGGTGAAAATGTAAGCCTGAGGTTTCCTTCTCCACCTCCCCCTGCTCCCTGCTCCTTCACCTCCACACTTCCCACCAGCCCAGAGGGGTCCAGCTGTAACCACCACCACCGCCACCTCTACGGTGCTGACGACTGTCACCATTTCCTTCCAGTTCCAGCTGCCTCCTGGATGCCTCCACTGGAAGGCTGACGAGCACCTTCAATTTCACGTGTTCACTTCAGAGCACCCCCGATCCCGCTACCCCTGCTGCCCTGATCTGCGCCTTCCCAGTTTCTCCCAGTCACCCAGCTGGCCACCCCCCAGGAGACATCCCTGATCCCTCATTTTCTCTCTAGAGCCACCTCCTGTCCCTTAGCAAGGCCTGCTGGCTCTGCCTCCACGTCTTTTCCACAGCTCCCCCATACTCCTGCGTCCTCCACCAGCCCCCAAGCCCTTTCCCCCTCCACCTGCAGGGTTGCATGGCCTCCTAACCAGCTCTCCACCTCACACATGTGCCCTGTGGTCCACCGCTCTCCCTACAACAGAGTAAGCTTCAGCTCAGACCTACCCTTGGTCAAAACCAGTGGTTTCCATGTGCATGAGAATTAGACACATCCTTACAATGTCCTTCAAGGCACAATGAAATCCACCAGCCACCTCCCTCACCTGAGGTTCTAAGTCTAGTTTTGCCAGTTCTTGAGCCTCCAAGCCATGGCCACCTCAGGGGAGCTCTTTTCCTTTGGTCCTGACTCTTTGTTCATCTGGTACATTCTTTCTCCATATCTTTGGGCACAGACTGTTCCCCAGAGAAGGGTCACATGATCTAAAATGACTCCCTAATCCAGGTGTGTTCCCCACAGCACTTATGGCTACTTGCAGTTGTAAAGGTGTTGGTGCGTTTATTATTGGTCTCTCATCTAGAACATACCTTCCAGAGGGCAGGGCCTCGTCTTCCTGGCTGTACCCCCAGTCCTGCTAAAGGGACTGGCACACAGTAACATGAAGCCAGTGCTCCCAGACTTTTTGGTCACAGGACTGCTTTATGCTCTTAGAAATTTACTGAGCCCCCCAAAGAGCTTTTGTATATAGCAACGGATAGATTTAGATGTCTATCCGGTGATTTGCGCAGTATGATGAAATGGTAATGTTTTAAATATATTGATTAATTGATTCATTTACAATGACAATAAAAACCCACTTCATGTTTACTTAACATATTTTAATGAACACTTATTCTATTCCCCCAAACAAAAAAAAATTAGTCTGGAGAGTGGTGTACATGTTTGCACCCCTCTTTAATATCTGGCTTAATAGAAGATAGTTGGATTCTCATTTTTGTTTGTGCAATCCATTATTTTGGTTCAAGTATATGAAGAAAATGCAACCTGTCACAGATATGCAGTTGAAAACTGGAGGAGTATTTTATTAGCCTTGGCAGATAATTGTGAACATTTTTCCTTGATATTACCCCCAAATTCAACAAATGGTGGTTTCTTAAAGGTTGGTTGCAATGTGGAATCTGAAACCATGTCAATGAACATTTCATACTCTATTACATTAAAATCCATTTATCTGTCTTGCACTTTGAATGGCTCTTTTGCCCACAAAATATTTCCTTCCTTCCTTCCTTCCTCCTCCCTCCCTCCCTCCCTCCCTCCCTCCCTCCCTCCCTCCCTCCTTCCCCTTTTCCTTCCCCTTCCCCTTCCCTTCCCTTCCCTTTCTTTTTGACAGAGTCTCTCTCTGTCACCCAGGCTAGAGTGCAGTGATACAATCTCTGCTCACTGCAACCTTGCTTCCTGGGTTCAAGTGATTCTCCTGCCTCAGCCTCCCCAGAAGCTGGGATTACAGGTGCATGCCACCACACCCAGTTAATTTTTTGTATTTTTAGTAGAGATGGGGTTTCACCATGTTGGCCAGGCTGGTTTCAAACTCCTGACCTCAAGTAACCCACCTGCCTCAGCCTGCAAAATATTTCATGCCACTGTATATTGGTCATTTGGAAAATATTGGTTCACTGAGTTATGCAGGTCTTCCAAATGTCGAACTATTTCCTTAAACAGTATCACAAAATCACATTTGTTAATATCACCACTAATCTTATTGGAAAACTCTTTAAATTTGGGAGGTTGTCTGACTCATGATGTTGGATACAAGTTTTCAAGAATTTTAATTTTCACTTAAAAACTCACATTTTACCTTTAGTGGTAAATACTACTTTCCTCAACACGACAGGGTAGTTTCATTTATTTTTGCAAAGGTGTCTGTCAAAGACCTAAGTCTCAATAACCATGATTTGTCTGTTGGGTGCCGTTCCATGTAAAATGAGGCTCCATGAAAAAGCGGGCTCAGTCAGCTCATGGCTGTAGCCCGCCCGTCCTTTTCCTCGATGGCCGCTGTTCTTCTGTATGACAGCTCCCCCTTTCTTCACCCAGAATATTGAAAAGACATGTGCTCCAGAGCTGAGCTTTAATAAAACTATTTTTTTTTCACTGTTTCTTCAAGAACATTCTTAAGTAAAACCTGCATTTGAAAAAAAAAAAAAAACCTGTGAGTGTGTGGCTGTGAAGAGCACAATGTCTGCTACCAATGGCCAATAACAACCTTTAATGGCCTTCATCCATGTGGAGCTGGACTCACTGGTTTAACGGCCTTCATCCATGTGGAGCTGGACTCACTGGTTTAACGGCCTTCATCCATGTGGAGCTGGGCTCACTGGTTTAACGGCCTTCATCCCTGTGGAGCTGGGCTCACTGGTTCAACGGCCTTCATCCACGTGGAGCTGGGCTCACTGGTTTAACGGCCTTCATCCCTGTGGAGCTGGACTCACTGGTTCAACGGCCTTCATCCATGTGGAGCTGGACTCACTGGTTTAATGGACTTCATCCATGTGGAGCTGGACTCACTGGTTTAACGGCCTTCATCCATGTGGAGTTGGACTCAGTGGTTTAACGGCCTTCATCCATGTGGAGCTAGACTCACTTTTTTTTTTTTTTTTTGCACATCAATGCTGATGTCTACATGCAACAAAGCTACATAATGACTCACAGTGTAACTGTAAAAAAAAGTTTGGAGGTTGTCTTAGGGAACCCCAGGATCTGCACTAAATGAGATTTCATAAATGAATGAATGACTTTTCCTACACAATCACGTATGGTGGATCCTAGATGTCCACAGTTTCTCATCTAAAGCTCTGGGCCACAGACACGTTTCAGAATTTCTTTGATTTTGGACAGGTCAGGTGGTGCACATATCATGTGCCACCTAACCCCGTGGGGTGTGAGCAGGGCCCTATCTAACACAGTCATAGTTCTGTGGTAAATACAGGAAAAGCTGAACCAGCAGGTAACAGCCACAAGGAGCCTATGTCTGTTCAAGTCAGGTTCTGCTGTCCAAGGAGTTAGGAAGACACCCTCCCATTTTGAAAGCATTTGGATTTTGGAGTTGTAGACCAGGGGTTGTGGGCCTATCTCCTGATCTCCACTCCACAAGGGTACCTCGGGGAACAGACGGCCAAGGTCTCCTGGCGGGTGAAGGAGCTGGGAATGGAGCACCCAGGGCCTGTTGAGCTTCCACTCTGTCATCTCCCCTCCCCTCCCCGCCCCGTGACCTCAACCACATGGCCCTCCTAACACGAAGGCTTCCAAGGCCTTTCCTGCCCGGCCCTGGGATTCCTTTCCCCTTCTCCAGCCTTGTGTCCTCCACACACTCTGAACTGTGGCCATGCAGGGCCACTCTGCGTGGTCCTCTGATATTCCAGCATAATCTCTCTGATCATTCTGGACTCTGGGCCTTGTCTCTCTAGGGCTATAGCACCTATTGGTGCCTCTCAGCTTACCTGACCTCCCTGGGATACACTTCTTTTTTAATTTAGTTTTTAATATTTATGGGTACATAGTAGGTGTATATATTTGTGGGGTGTGAGACGTTTTGATTCAGGAACATGTGCAGTAATTACATCATGGAAGATAAGAGTATCTATTCCTTCAAGCATTTACCCTCTGTGTTACCAACAATCCAATTATACCCTTTTAGTTATTCTTAAATGTACAATGAAATTATTATTGACTATAGTCACTCCTTTGTGCTATCAAATAGTAGATCTTATTCATTCTTTCTAATGACTTTTTTGTACCCATTAGCTATCTCCACTTCCCTATTGCTGAAGGACCACTTTGGATTCCTGAACTCCCAAGGGACTTTCCAGCTTTTGGACTTTCGTTTTTCCAGTATCACTTATGAGGACCCAAGTTCTACCAGGGCTTCTCCTACATTGAAAATGATTATATCTAAGATTCAAACAGAAATTTTGTGTCTTGGCAAATTTGATATCTGGAGGGTGAATATTATTTAGAAAACAACCACCTTCTACTTTCTGCTTCTATGAATTTGATGATTCTAGGAGCCTCATGCGAGTGGCATCTTGTATTATAGTATTTGTCTTTTTGTGTCTGGCTTGTTTCACTCAGCATAATATGCTCAAGGTTCAGCTGCGCTGTGGCCTGTGTCGGGCTTTCCTTCCTTTCTAAGGCTACTATTCCACTGTGTGTATGTAGGCAACACTTGCACACCACATTTTCCGTACCCATCCATCCCTCTGTGAACACTTGGGAGGGATTGGGGACTGCATGGCCCCCAGCCATAGGTGTGCTGAGCACGTAAGATGTACCCAGTGTGGCTGAAGAGTGGAATTTTTAATTTTAATTAACATAAATGTAGATTTACAAATAGATTTTCAATTCAGCTCCTGGGAAACCCCCAAAGATGTCTGAAATAACTTGGGCGTGTGACGCTACCTTTTTACCTGCAAGCTTAATGAACCCTAAATGCAGGTCAAGTATTTGCCATGGAAATGCAATGCCCAAGCTGAGATATGCTAGAGGTGTAAAATGCATGCTGGAATTGGAAGACCTAGTACCAAAAAAAAAAATTGGATGTAAAATGTCTTGTTAATTTGTATATTGATTACTTTTGAAATAATAATATTTTGGATATATTAGGTCAACTAAAATATTACTTAAATTAACTGCACCTGTCTCTGGTGTTCATGTGGCTGCTAAAAAGATTAAAATTGCATTGTGGCTCACGTTTTCTTTCTGTTGGTTGTGCTAGCCTAGAACGGGTCTGAGCTCATAAGGGGAGGGAACAAGGGGAAGAAGAATTTTACAGAGAACAGGGCACTCGGGCGCACTGTCAGGAGTCAGCATAGGATTTGGCTGCCTTGCTTTGTGAGGTGAGGGTATGGTGGGTGGCTTCAGGGAGTGAATGGCTGCCATAACAAAGTACCATACACTGGACAGCTGAAACAACAGGAATTTATTCTCTTGCAGTCTGGAGGCTGGAAGGCCAAGATCAAGGGCTCAGCAGGGTTCTACTCCCTCTGAAGGCTCTGGGGGAGGATCTTCCCTTGTCCCTTCCAGCTTTTGGTGGCTCCGTCAGTCCTGGGCGGTCCTGGGCTCCCAGCTGCATCACTCTAGTCTCTGCCATGTCATCACTGGGTGGCCTCTTCTGTGTGTCTGTGTCTTCTTATGAGGTCACAAGTAGCATCGGATTAGAGCCCACCCTAATAAGCTCATCTAACCTTGATTACATCTGGAAAGATCCTATTTCTAAATAAGGTCACATTCACAGGTATTGGGGATTAGGACTTTAAGTTATCTCTTTGCTCGGCCCCTAACGGAGGTAGGCAGTGTCTGGATTCCAGCACCCTTGTAAGTCTTGCTAAGGACCTCAGCCTTTTTGTGGCACGTTCCTGAAACTCTCTATTCCTGCTTCCTCACATGTGAATTGAGAGAGCATAGCACTTCCCTCACAGGGCTGTAGGGGAGTTAAATGTGCTGTATGCAGAAGGCACATAGACAGTGCCTAGCACACAGTAAGTGCTATAGGAGCCTCGCTTTTTTTTTTTTTTTTTTTTCTTTTTACAAGACGGAGCCTCGGTCTTGTCGCCCAGGCTGGAGTGCAATAGCATGATCTTGGCTCACTGCAACCTCTGCCTCCCGGTTTCAAGCAATTCTCCTGCCTCAGCCTCCTGAGTAGCTGGGATTACAGGCGCCCACCACCCAGCCAATTTTTTTTGTATTTTTAGTGGAGATGGAGTTTCACCATGTTGGCCAGGCTGGTCTCAAACTCCTCACCTCAGGCGATCCACCCACCTCGGCCTCCCTAAGTGCTGGGATTACAGGCATGAGCCACCACGCCCAGCCTGCTTTGCTATTTGTATTGCTATTTCTCCTAAAGGCAGAAGAAAGCCACCCAGAGTTTTCCAGTGGCAGAGAGGTAAGTAGCATGGAGGAAAAATCAGTTTTAAAGCTGCCCTGTCCGATGTTATTGCCACTAGCTCCATGCAACTGTTTACATTTTAACTTATTAAACTTAGTAAAATGGTCAGATCAGCTCCTCATCTCATGAGCCATGTTCTGTGGCCAGAGAGTGCGGCCCTGGGCAGCACAGATGGAGAACAACCCATTGTGGTAGAAAGAAGAGCCTGTAGGCAACTGAGAAGGAGAGGAAGCCACGTGCATAGAGGCATGGGACCCAGGGGAGGGGTCTCAGCTGACAGGGAGGGTGGGGAGAGGGCATAGTGGTAAGCCTCGGCAGTGGCAGAGCCCTGGGAGGGGGGAGGGAGGTGTCCTGGCTGAGCAGTCAGTGGTGAGATGGGGACCCCGAATGAGAACAATGACAGTGCAGGTGGTGGCGATGGTGACGATAATTTCCAACATTTACTGATGGTAGAACAGGCATCACGGGCCAGACTAAGTCCCAAGCCCCTTACAGACAGTATTCCTTGCTCACTTACTCCTTCCACACCCCACGAGAGATGGATTATTTGTATGTCCATGTCTCAGCTGACAAGGCTGAGAAACAACAGGCCATGTAACTTGTCCAGTTCGCAGGGTGAGGAAGTGGTAGGACGTGGATTTGAGCCCAGGTTAAGAGCCCAGCGGTTGAACTCAGGGAGCATCTTCACGTCCTGCAGGGACCTTCTTATTGCCACGATAGTAGGGGCATGCCACTGGCGTTTAGCGGGTAGGGCCCCTTCCCAGACATGTGTGGGACAGCCGTGCAGTGAGGCCTGTCTATGCCTCGACGAATATCCCACTGGACTCTGGATGAAGGGGGCTGATGGCGATGCTCTGAGCTGGTGTGTCGCAGTTACAAAGCACTGTTTGCGTGGTTTTGATCTAGGCTATGAATGCAAGCAACGGGGAATCATGGAATTACTGTGCTGGGCTTTCCTAGAACTTCACCAACGGCTACCTCTCCTTTTGGACAACCCCATCTCCGCCAACAGGACCACTGGGGATTGAGGGGCTAGGAAAGCCCGGATGCCCCTTTCTCTGGTGATTACATCGTCTGGTGCAGATGTGCCTGGGCAATTACATGTGGAAGTATGTGTTACTTTGTTACACATTTATTTTTATGTATTATTTTATTACAAATCACTTTATTTGTCTATTACAATTAACGCAGGCTATTGGTTTTGTAAGAGCATCAGTGCACAGGTGTCCATGTTTTTTATGAGCCACACATTCGGGGAGTGAAGGCTGTGGTTCACTCAACCTCATGACAGCCCCAAGGGGTGCTTATCTGTAGGAGCTCTCCAGAGAAACGGCAGATGGAAGAGCTCCACAGGTGTATGGAGAGGTGTATTTGAAAGCATTGGCTCATGTGGTTATGGGGCTGGTTAATCCAAAATGCCTGCAGCAGACCAGCATGGGGGGCTGAGCTGCCGCCTTCAGGCTGACTTTCTTCTTCTCTGGGAACCCTCAGTTTCTGCTCCTCAGGCTGTCAGCTGATTGGACGAGGCCACCACATCACAGAGGGGATCTCTGTTACTTAAAGTCAGCCGAGTGTGGATGGAATCACATCCACAATGTACCCTCCCAGCAATACCTAGATAAGTGTTGGATGAATCACTGGGTACTGGGTACTGTGTTGCCAAGTCAACACAGAAAACTCATCATTTAGGCTCAAATCAGATCTAAAGTAAGGATATTAAAATGCAGGTTCCCGGGCCCTACCCCAGAACGACTGGGCCTGACTCCCTGGGCATGAGACTTGGAAACCTTCATTTTAACAGATTCCCCAGATGATGGGACCCCAGTAAGGTCTGGAAACGTCTGGTGCTGCGCTTTAGAAGGGTGGTGCAGTTCCCTGCAAACCGGTCACTTCCTTCAAATGCACCTGCCATTGTCAAGCGAGGGTACTGTTGGCAGGGACAACACAGGGGCTGGGTGGTGCTGGCCCTGAGTGGGGAGAGGTCAGAACAAGTACTCAGCAGAGGTGGAAGGAAGTGACCCCAGGCTCTCTGTGTGGTTACAAAGCCTCAAATGTGATGCCCTGGCCTCTCCACGGAGCCAAGCTCACCCGAGGAATAAGTCACCTGACGTGGCCGCTGCTCCTACCACTGGGTCCCATCACTGCAGCCCTCCTGGAGCAGACTGCAGCTGGCCACCACTTGCTGAGAATCTTCGTGCCTACAGGGCCCTGGAAGGGTTTTCTTTGGGGAGAGAGGTGGGAGTAGAGATCGAGGGAGGCATCTGCCGTTTGTTTCTTGCAGAGGTTTCCTCAATCCTAGAGCAATCCACGCCCCAGGTGGGGGCCTTCGGGCTGCTGGGCTCCTCCAGGAGGGAGCAGTCACTTGGAGCCCAAGTTTCACCTGAACTGAGTGGTCCTTTGTGACCAGGAACACTGTCCATCAGACAGTCGCTGCTGCTCCTGCCAGGTCACAAGGGCCGGAGAAAAGCCCATGGTGCCAGCTGCAGGCCCATGGGTCCTGCGGGCGTTTGGCAGAGTCAGTGTTCGTTTTGAGCATTTGGGGCCCGAGCTTCAGAGGAGAGTTCAGCGGGAACAGGATTTGCTGTGCTCCCGCCCACCTAAGGGGGGTTAGCTTTTCTCGGGGTTTACGGTGGCAGTGAGGTGCTCCGGATTGTTTTTTAACATCAGAGGAGATTTATTTACAGAAACCGAGGGTGCCCGTGATGGGGACATGCCAAGTCCTGGGCACCGCCCCTCCTCACACCCTGACTGCTGGTGCCGGGTGCAGTTGACAGATGGTGCTGGGTCCCCTGGATTCCCACAGCTGGACTGCCCAGGCAGGGCCACCCAAGGGACTCCCTGCATGAGGCCCCGCGCCAAAGAGTGACCTGACACCTCCCCCTCCCCTGGGAGCAATCACTGGGCATGGGTAGTGTTTTGGGTGTTTTTTATTTTTCAATTGTGTTTTCCACAAGCAAACTGGCAGTTCCTCCTAACTGACTGGATGTGTGTTGGGGAAAAAAAAGTCCCCACTTCAGCCTGGAGGGCAGAGACAGGACAGCACATTCTCTTCTATCTCCTGGCGAGCCTGTCCTGTGGCCACAGCTGGTCATGCTGCCCCAGACAAAATGAGAAGGTGTCAAGTCCATATTTAGGGCCATTCTTTGCCCCTCCAGTAGCTGGCCCTCCTGGGGCACCACCGCAGCACCCTCACCTCCCTCCACGGTCTCCTTATCTGGCTCACTTGTCTTGTGGCCCAGGATGCCCTTCCTCATCTGATCTAAGAAATGAATCTCAGCCAAGGTCGGATCGCTTGATAAACTCACCTCCCCCACGCCTGGGTCACATGCTCACCAGGAGAAGTTAATAGCTTAGCCCAGAGGACTGATGGCGTGATCAGGCTGATCTTGAAAAGGAGACGGCCAAGGGCTTGTGAATTTAGGGAGCTTGGAAAACCCCTCCAGTGCTGCCCTTGACTGTGAGGGGGTGTCCTTCTTTCCTAGGGGGACAGAGAGGCCCTGAGGTGGGAATGGCCCTGGTGGGATGGCCCTGAGAGTCGGGGGCACAACTCGGAGTGGCCTAGCCTTCCTGTCTCCAGCTCTCTGCCCCTATGCTGCATAAACCCGGCTTCTCCTGGTTCTCCTTTGTCAGAGAAAGACACAGGCACCTGCATGGAAGAGACTGATGTTCAGCTCAGAGGGTGAGAGGAATAAAAAAGGAAGCATTTAATTTGCAAACTTTAGACTCCTCCACCCCGCCGTCAGTCCTCTGGGGCATTACAGGAATGTCAGCCCTTCCTGAAGCCTGGATCCCCCATGGGAGGCAGAAAAGAGACAACTGGAGCTGTGGGTGGGGGGCAAAGCCAATCTGATGACTGGAGAGGGAGGGTGGCCCCTGAGGGAGGGTCCAGAATGCCACCGGCAATGATCCCAATAGGGAAACTGAGGCCTGGACCTTTAATTGCAGATCTTCCATTGTGTTTGCCTCACCATAGGCAAGACTCAGGCTTACACTTAGTAATGTATCTGAGGAATAGATGGGAACCCTGCGCCCAGCCCACTGGAAGGATAAATGACTCCCAGATGGCACTTGCTGCAGGAATCTAAGCCCCCGTGGATGTGGCTGTCACAGCTGACCCAGCACCTTGTTAGCCTCTTCCTCACCCTTCTCCTGTCTCCCGCCTTCCTCACCTGGCCTCAGGTGTCACCACACAGCCCTGGGATGTGGGGGTGCATTTCCTGTTTGCCTAGAGCAGTTGCTTAACTGGAAAAAGGTGCAGGCAGGTGGGGGGCCAGTGCTGGCTCTGGGCTCCTTGGAAGCTGCAGTCCCCGCAGTCCCCTGGAGTCGGCTGTCCTCACCTCTGGACTCCAGGTCTGAATGCTCACCTGTTACTGTGTCCCCCTCTTTTCCTTGTTTAAGGCTTGACTACTCAGGACCCCTGGAGTCATTTCAGGTTCTGCTTTCCTCAAAGTGGAGCCCACAGTAAGATGCTCTAAAACTTCCTGCTCCCCTTCTGAAATGACTTCCCATCTTTTGAGAATTCGTGAAAGCTTTAGCGCTCTGGAAATGTGTGGGTGCTCTGAGTCACCTCTGTTAGTGAGGCAGGAAGCTGGACTCAACTCCAGAGGTGGGGCTCATACACTGGACCCAACTGAGGACTAGCTAAAAGGGATAGGGCAGAAGCAGCTTTCCATAAGCCATACCCACCAGTGTGCCATGCCAGTTTACCATTGCCATGGTAACACCTGGAAGTTACCACCCCTTTCCATGGTGACAACCCAATGACCTGGAAGTTACCAACATTTTCCTAGAAATTTCTGCATAAATTGCCCCTCAATTTGCATATAATTAAAAGTGGGTGTAAAGGTGAGTGCAGCCCTGCCTCTGAGCTGTTGTTCTGGGTGCACTGCCTATGACGTAGCCCTGCTCTGCAAGGAGTGGCCCCTCTGCCTCTGCTGTGCACTGCCGCCCCCATAAAAGCTGCTGCCCAACACCACTGGCTCGTCCTTGAATTCTTGCCTGTGTGAAGCCAAGAACCCTCCTGGGCCAAGCCCCAATTCTGGGACTCACCTGCCCCGCATTATTAGGAACTGTGTCCACTTGGACCCCCAAGTGGTCCCCTCAGTTAATTAAGAGTTCTTCTATGATCAGAAGGAAGCCAGCACAGGGTTGGGATGCGGGCTCTGGGATTGCACCAGGGAGCTGGGCTCTTTCTAGCCCCCCACAGTCCAGCCATCAATCAAACAGACAAACACATTGACAAGAGAGCTTCATGCTGCCAAAAGCTTAAAAAAAGGCAAACAGGGCCGTGTGTCATGGTCAAGAGTGCTGGGTGGGGGCCCTGTAGGTTGGGTGGTCAGGAAAATCCTCCCTGAGGAGCAGACATTTGGGGACGGCCCAGAGGATGGGAAAGACTGAGACCTGGAGGAACACTGAAAGGCTTCATTCCAGCCAGAGAAGGGCAGGTACAGAGGGCTCAGAGGGAACCAGCCTGGGCTGTTGTGGAAAATAAAAAGGCCGAAGGGAGTGGGGTGCAGTGAGGGGGACGGAGTGCCAGAAGGTACGATGGGAAGTATTCTGGGAGCAGGGAAGGGGGGCCCTGCAGGCCCTGGGGTAGAGCTTGAAGTCCAGGGTGGTGGATGGAAGTGCCTGGAGGATTTATCCAAGGGAACTGATTTGCTTATAGGAAGAAGATCATTTTGGCTGCTGTACTGAACATAGGTGGACAGGAGTGGAAGGAGGGAGTCAGTGATGAGTCCTGGTGAGAGAGGATGGTGGGATGGCAGAAGCAGTGAGAAGGGGTGCAGGCAGGGAGCAGGAGCAGGAGTTCGGTCTGACGAGAATGATGGAGGAGAGAAGCTAGCCAGGGAAGAGTGTTTCCAAGATCCCAGTGATGGTGGGAGAGTCTGTGCTGGGGAGGCCCCAGGGGGGCAGGTGAATGGACTGGAGCCTTCCAGAGGGTGAGGGAGGGGGTTGCCCAGCCACAGCTTTGAGCCTAAGAGGGGGCTCTGAGGGAACAGGAGTGGAGCTGAGGTTTTGGAGGTGGTTGCTTTACAGAGTGACTGTGGGCGCAGGTGGCCAAGTGGAATAGACGAACAGTTATTATTGGAGAAGGGGATGTCAAAGAACGAGGTGGCCAGGTGAGTCCTCCATGATCTTCTTTCTTGGCCCATTTCGGCATTTTCTTCCTGCCCCTGGCCAATGATGGGAGGTCTACCAAGGTCCCAGGCAGCCCTTGTTCAGGTCCAGGCCAGACTAAAGCCCAGCATGACCCTGGGGCGTCCAGTGTCATGGGGGAGGCTGGGACATGGGGAGGGGGACAGAGGTAGCTCAGGTGGGCAGGGAGTTGGTGGAATTCAGAGAGGACAAAGACAATAAGGAAATCAGTGCTTGGACCATGGAGGTGACGTTTTCATGTCCACTGCTCAGACCACATCTGAACAGGAAGCTGTATGTGCTCTGAGCCTCTTGTGTTAAGGTGGACAGGGAGGGAGGGACCCTGAAAGCCTGGAGGATGTCCAGAAGGCAGCAAGCAGGAGAGGACAGGGGTCTTAAAATTGGGGCAGAGAAGCTGGGGGAAGGGCAAGGAAAATACAGTCTGGAGAAATATGGACAGCGCTGAGAAGCTAACCTGGGCGGGAGCTGCCTTGCGTGACTGATGGCAGCAGGGCCTGCGTTGATCATGTAAACAGCTTCCTCAGAAACACCCTTCGAGTTCATCTTGAATGACTCTGAATGATTTCTCTGCATTTGGCCTGGGATGGGTGGGTCTAACTTGTTGCTGGGGGTCCATGATTCCTGCCTCCCGACAGCCCCTCTAAGACCTTGGAGAAAATATAGCTCTCTAAGTCAATACTGATTTTTCTGAGGGCCAGGCTGGGGTTTGGGGAGGTTGGTGAGAGAGACAGAAGGGCAGAATCTATGGATTTACAGAATGGATGCTGCCCTTGAACATAGGAGAACCTGTGTTATAGTTCATCATCATCATCATCATCATCATCATCATCATCATCATCATCAGTAGTAGCATCATCAGAGTATTTTAGAGTCTTGCTCTGTTGCCCAAGCTGGAGCGCAGTGGTGCAGTCCTAGCTCACTGCAGCCTCGACCTCCTGGGCTGAAGCCATCCTCCCACCTCAGCCTCCTGAGTAGCTGGGACTACAGGCATGTGCCACAGCTACAGTCATTATTATTTACATCTGGATGGGGGATAGATGAGGATGCTTCAATCAGTGCAGAGATTGCTTCTCATATAGTAGATCATGTTTGAGCTCCTTCCAAAAATACCAAGATACTTTTTAAATTAGAAAGGTTGCCATTGACTTTCTTGTGGAAAATAAACATCCAAAAACTGCCAGAAAACACCTGCAAATTAAGAATGCTGAGCGAAGAGTAGCCCCAGATATTAAACATATTATAAAGCTCCTGTAGTTGACTTTGAATAGACACAAAGGTCGATGGCATAAAATATTGAGTCTAGACATTGACACAGATATATATGGGATTTTGGTTTATGGTAGAAGTGACAATTTGAATCAGCAGGGGAAAAGATGAGTTATTCAATAAATAGCGTTTAAATAACTACCTTTGGTCACTACCTGAAAAAAAAAGCTGGATTTTTTACCTTACTTCTTACAAATAAATTCCAGATGGATTGCAGATTTAAATGTAAAAAGAAAACACAAAATGTCTAGAAATAAGCATGGGGAAAATAGACAAAACACTAACATCGATGTAGGGAAATTTTCTATTTCCTATTTCTCTACAAGACACAAGACCTGAACACCATAAAAGAAAAAAAAAGGTAAATCTGCAACAAAACAGTTATGATTCCCACATAACAAAATAAAGCCAGAACACTAACAACAAACCAGGAGAAACACTTGCCACCCGAAGAGTCCTGCCGGGCCACTGTTTGGTGCCAGCCAGGCCTACACTGCATTGTCTGGGAGTCCTCTGCAGGTGCTTCTTTTTGACAGTGATTCTAAATATTTGAAATGTCAGGTCATTTGGAGTCTAATCTGCTGAATAACTTGGGGGCTCTAGTTGCTGATACTATGTGTGTAAAAACAAAACAAAATGAAGCAAGGAACCATCATATAGAAGAAAACACCATTTGCGGGTGTGGAGTTCATCCCCAGGAGGCGTATTCTGTACCAGAAGACGTCCCTGAACATACTCATTGCATACACACTCACGCATTTTTTAAGGCCACTTCACTATTTAGGTCTCGCATCATTTATTGAAGGCCTCATTAAGCGAATGCATGCAGCTCTGTATATTTTGTGTGTGTTAGGCCATTGTTGCATTGCTATAAAGAAATACCTGAGGCCGGGCGTGGTGGTTCACGCCTGTAATCCCAGCACTTTGGGAGGCCGAGATGGGCAGATCATGAGGTTGGGAGTTTGAGACCAGCCTGGTGAACGTGGTGAAACCCCATCTCTACTAAAGATGCAAGAAATTAGCCGGGCATGGTGGCACATGCCTGCAATCCCAGCTACTCAGGAGGCTGAGGCAGGAGAACCACTTGAACCTGGGAGGTGGAGGTTGCAGTGAACTGAGATTGCACCACTGCACTCCAGCCTAGGTGACAGAGCAAGACTCTGTCAAAAAAAAAAAAAAAAAAAAAGAGAAATACCTGAGATTGGGTAATTTATAAGAAAAGAGGTTTAATTGGCTCAGGGATCTGCAGGCTGTACAGGAAGCATAGTGGCATCTGATCCTGGGAAGGCCTCAGGCAGCTTCCAGTCATGGTGGAAGGTGGAGGGGGTGCAGGCACGTCTTACATGGCCAGACGAGGAGCAAGAGAGAGAGAGAGGGGGGAGGTGCCACACACACAACCAGATCTCCTCTGAACTCAGAGCAAACTCACTTAACACCAAGGGGATGGCCCAAGCCATTCGTAAGGGATCCACCCCCATAATCCAAACACCTCCTACCAGGCCCCACCTCCAACACTGGGGGTTACAATTCAACATGAGACTTGGGTGGGGACACAGATCCAAACTATGTCACTGTGTGTGCATATATATAGTACATGATATGATTTATGCATAGTGTCATTGATGGCACCGTTAATAATACTCCCACAGTATCTTCATTTTTGGAAGCATAATACCATATTACTTGGCTAAGTTCCTTGTAGTGGCCTATCTGGAGCATCCCATTTTCCCACTGCAACACTAGAGAAAGGCTCATGGATAAAAGAACTTATTTAGATGCACCTTCTCTCCCCCAAAGAAAAGGTTTCTACGCCCAATCAAAGTCTCCTCTCTCACCTCTCAATCCTCCCTCTGATTTTAAAAAAAAAAAACTTTTGATTTTGTAATAGTTTTAAATAAGCAGAAAAGCTGTGAAGACAGTGCAGAGTGCTCCTGGACCCCTGGACCCCTGTGTCTAGTTTCTCCACATTATCACCTTACCTCGCATGGCACAGGTGCCACAGCAAATGAGTCACTGCATGACTTAAAACACCCAACGTGCAACATGGACGAGACTCATAAACGCGAAGAAGAAGAAGCATCAGGCACAACGTGGTGCAGAGTGCATGACTCTGTGTATATAAAGGTAAAAAACAGACAAAACTAGACCATGACGTTGGAAGCCACCTTGGTTATCTTTGGAGGTGGTGCTGCCTACATGGGTGTGCTTAGTTTGTGAAAACTCACCATGCCACACACTCAGATTGTGCACTTTTCTGTAGGATCGTTCTACTTCAATAAAAAGCAAGTCTTCCTACCCAAAACATATGGGGGAAAGCAAGTTCCCAAGGTGACATGCAGCTAGGTCTGGGAACCACCAGACACCAGACCGAGTAACCTTACCCAGTCCCTCAGAGCCCAGGAGCCTCAGACAGCCATGCAGTGCTGTGGTCTCATCAGGAGACCAGATGATGACAGAATTATAGTCAAACTGCCTCTTCCTGAGCTCTGTGACACATCCACTAATGTAGCTGGCTCAGATCGTCAGGGCTGTTAAGGATCTCCTGAACAGATGTCAGGAAAATGGGGGCATTTATGTGTTTGTAGATGCTTGGCTCTGGCATACATTTTACCCAGATAGATCCCTTGTGAAATTTTAACTCCCTCCCTTCCTTCTCTCCTTCTTTCTCCCTCCCTTCCCATCTCCCTGTCTCCCTCGCTCTTCCCCTCCTTCCTTCCCTGCTGTGCTTCCTTCTTTCTTTCTTTCACGGTACCTATGCATTCAATGTCTCTTTGACCCTTTTGGCCGGGACTACGTGGGCTCTGAGTGCTGAGGCAGGGCTGGGAGCCTGCCTTTCAGAGTAATCCCTGGAGAATGCCATGGTCAGAGGCTGCGCCACATGTAGACAAAGGCCCTGTATGGTCCCTGTATGACCAACATGGTCACGGAGTGGCGTCGGGTCCACCTTCTCACTGCGGCTCCTCTTCCTTCCTGCTCTTGTCTCTGCTGGTCTCGCTCCTCCTTGCGTGCCGCTGCTTCTTGGGACACCAGACTGGAGAGAGGCCTCAGAAAGGAGCTTCCTGACCCAGCTCACACCCTCTCACACGCCCTTCCACGTGGCAGGAGCGCCTTTGACCTACATATTTATTCTACACAAGATGTTCCCGGACCCCTGATTGTCATCTACCTAGGATGACTCCCAAATAATAGAATCTTAAAGCTCCTCTAACATGGCCCTCACACTGGCTGCCACCCAGCGGCTGCATGCTGGGGAGACTTTAGAATGCCTCTGGGATGCCTGGGTCCTGGACACAGGACTTTCCATTTAAGTGAGAAAACCACTGGCCTCATCAGTCCCCCCCTTCCATTAGCTTCTCCCTCAACGAACCTCCAAGGATGGTGCACTGACCCACACGGAGTGCCTGCGGGTGGTGGGGCTGACCGGGAACACACTCCTGTTGCCTTCCGCCCCTCCAGGGAGATCCCCGAGTGCTCAGGACAAGACTTGGTGGCAACGTCTCCCTCTCCACAAAGCCTTTGTGAGCCGTCTCTACTAATCCAAGCGGCCTGGGTCCCCCACACGGTTCCTTTCTGTTTCCTCCTCTGGTTGTCCTGGGCTCAGGCATGGGGCGGAACTTAGAAATAACACAGGATCTGCCTACACATTCGTGCAGATAACAGCCACCCCCTGCTATTTGCGGATGAGCACTCTTTCTTTTTTTTCTTTTTTTATTATTATACTTTAAGTTCTAGGGTACATGTGCACAATGTGCAGGTTTGTTACATACGTACACATGTGCCATGTTGGTGTGCTGCACCCATTAACTCATCATTTACATTAGGTATGTCTCCTAATGCTATCCCTCCCCCAGCCCCCCACCCCACGACAGGCCCCGGTGTGTGATGTTCCCCAGCGGATGAGCACTCTTTCCCCATCCCTTATTCGCTTCTAATTTGCTCCCGACACTCACACTGTCAGGCAGGTTTTCTGACTTTCCATTTGCAGACCAAAAAGCTGCAGGGCAAGAGATGAGTGAGGAGAGCTGAGCCTTGAACCTGGCTGCCACCCGTGCGGGGTCCTTGTCCCCTCCACAGCCTTCCTGTGCGGGTCTGGGCACCTGGGCTACATCCTCAAAGGCAGGGGGAGCAGCACATATTCCCTCTGTACCCCCTTCGCTTCCCACCTCCCAACACCACATTACTGAGTCCATGATCTGTGTACCACAAATGCTTACTGAATGTTTGGACACGTTTTCAAACTGCTCCCAACAGCCGAGTTTTAAGAAACAGCTGCTTATGCTAAGAAGGAAGGTTCTCATTTCCTCCCATCCTCCCGTACCCCTGCCCTCCTCTCTTCCGCAACATCATTTTCAAGGAGAAAACCTTTCTACTAGGGAGGCTCCTGCTGGCTGGGCCCTGGGGGCAGCGTCTCTCTCAGGGTCCCTGGGTGGATAAGATAAAGAGACCGTGAAGCTACTGCTGTGTGGCCTGAACACTGGACCCCTTTCCCCCAGGTCCTCAGGCAAGATGGTTTTATGGCTCTTGCACAGATCTCTGGGAGACAGAAGAGACAGGTGTGCCACACTAGCAGCAATTCCCCAAATTCCTAGGTCCACTGCAGCTTGATGTCTTTCTTTCTTTTCAATGAAGCAATTTGTGAGATATGTGTGAAGTACAAGTCTCCATTAAATAATTTAACAATAACAAATAATATATGCAAGCACTTCTTCTTTGGGGACACACAAACTGCCTTTGTCCCAGGGATTCCCAGGGCCTTTGGGTGGAGGCGTCAGTCTGCCCACCCCACCAGGACACCATGTGTAAGGCAGCACAGTTCACACCATATAGGTGTCCCAATTTACATGCCAGTGCACGGGAGGGAGGTGGTGGGCATTCTGGGCACCTCCTGCCAAGTCCTGAAGCAGCAGAGGAAATCTGCATCCTGCACAAACTCACACAAGCACATATGGCCGAGCCCATACCTGTGGGGACACACACACGTGCATGGATGCCTCCGCTCCCATGACCCTCTGGGATTTCTCAAAAGACACTTGTCTTCACTGACTGGTGTTCCCAGGGGCTCCATCCCACACCCCCGACCTGACCCTCAGCTAACCTGCAGACATTGTACATGCCTGGAGGCTGGGATCCGTGAGCAGGCAAGAGTCAGGGTAGCTGGGAGTAAACCAGGAATGCTATCCATGGGGGCTCTGCAAAGCTCCTCAGGAGCAGGAAGCTCACGTGCACTGCTACATCCATTAAGAATATTCTCTTTAAGGTGGCTCTTTAGAATTTGCACAAAGGCACAAAGTTTGGAGGCTGCTCTGCAGAGGTCCCTGGGCCTGGACTCCTGTGCCCATGGGTTCCACATTTCCATCACTGGCACTTGTTCTAGGGCCTCCTTGCCACCTCCACTTGGAAATTGGCTATATATTTTTGATTCTTTGTAAGTCTAGTAATTTTGAATTGTATTGCAGACATTGTGAATGTCGTGTTGTATGAACTCTGGGTCTTATGGTCTTATGATAAACCTCTGGAGAATGTAGGTTTCTTTCCCTGTCTGGCAATCAATCAGTGCACGCAGTTGAGGCTGTAAGTTTCATCTTGCCTCTGTGTTCATTTTCCAAGCCATCGCTCTTTTGCTTTGTCTCAGCCGTGCCTGCTCACCGAGGGGCCAATCTGAGCGGTATACAGTGGGTTAGGATCTTAGCTCAGTTCTCAAGGCATTTGTTATGCTGCTTTGAGTGTGTCTCACACCTGTCGCTCCCGGGTTGATCAGAGACTTGGATGGGGGTTTCAGTCTCCCTGCCATTGCTCTGTTTCAGTCTCCCCTCAAACCCTTGCTCTGTTGCCACACCTGTGCAGCTTAGAGGTGCACAGCTTTGTCTGGGTTCATGCACAGGTTTAGAATATCCCCTTCCCCGTCGTCCTCCTCTCTGGGTCCCCCCACCTGCACCGACTCTATGAACACAGGGAGTGTGGCTGGGGGGACACTTTTGCAGGTTCCTTTGGCTTGAAGGCTTTCCCTGGCACTGATGTCACTCCTAGGGGGTGGCTTATCCCATCTTGCTCCATCTCTTGCCAGCTATTCTTAGTGCTTAATCTTGGAGGCCCTGTTGTATTTCCAGGTGATCCAGCTTCCATTAGCTTCTCCCACAGTGAACCTCCAAGGATGGTGCACTGACCCACACGGAGTGCCTGCGGGTGGTGGGGCGGGCCGGGAACACACTCCTGTTGCCTTCCGCCCCTCCAGGGAGATCCCCGAGTGCTCAGAACAAGACTTGGTGGCAACGTCTCCCTCTCCACAAAGCCTTTGTGAGCCGTCTCTACTAATCCAAGCGGCCTGGGTCCCCCGCGTGGTCCCTTTCTGTTTCCTCCTCTGGTTGTCCTGGTCTGTGAGTCCTACCAGGAAAGGACCTTGTCTTATTTATGGTGGCTCTGTGCAAGCATTTCCTGTGTGCTTCTCAAAGCAGGACCAAGCTGAGAGTCTGTAGCCTGACCCGGCACCTCAGCTTCTGGACCCCACAAGCTGCAGCATGAGCAAGGATGACCGGGTGAGGCCAGATGGGAAAAGGTGTGGGGTGATGTGTGAGCTGCCTCTCCACCCTGGTCCTCAGCACTTCATCCTGCAAACAAGGACCAGATCTCCTTCTGGTGCCACACTGGTTCCTGCTCCTGTGGAGGAAGGCGCCTGCCAGAAATTGCTGAATTTCCTATAGCTGCTGGGGTTTAGGAAGTCACCTTCTCACCAGCTAGCTCTTCTCTCCTCCCATGTCTAATGGGGCCAATTGAGGTGACTAGGCCCCCCTCAAGTGCAGGAAACAGCATAGCTCTGAGGAGCCGTGCCGTGGCGAGCCCCTCAGTGCATGGGGAAGTGAAGGAACAGACGACAGAGGAGCCACACGCAGTCCCCAGAGACTGGGGGGAGTCAGCGAACTCCTTCCACACAGTTCATTCCATAAATACCTTCACCCCGTGGGCACACGGCCCTGTGACAGGTGTGGGGCTATATGATCCACAAGGCAGGATTTGGGGTCAAGGTTGGCCCTGACCTTACCTAAGAACCTGGTCTGCCATGTGGGATTAGGCTGTGGGGGTTGCGGTTGGCGAGGCGAAGTTGGCACTGACCTTACCTAAGTCAAGAACCTGGCCCGTCATGTGGGATTAGACCGTAGGGAGTGTGGCTGGGGGGAACACGTGCTCAGCCCCGGTGCTGCTGCTATAACTGGGGCTGCAGTTCAGCAGGCCTGACGTTGTCTTGGAGAAGGCCCAGTGCCCCCACCCCATGCTGGAGCCCCTGCCCCCCACGCTAACAGCAGCCACACAGATGTGGACTTGGAAGGACGGCCGGGGAGCTGCTGGGGGGAGGGTTGTCTTACCGGCTTTAACTTCTTGATCCAAGAAGAACTTCACTTTTTCCTGGGTGTGGATTCATTAAGACAAGGGAGCAGCCTGACCTCCAAGCTGGTCCCCATCCGATGATGCTCCTGGGCGGAGCTCTGTGTGGAACGAGGAGTCCCCGTCCCTGAGGCTTTCATCCCGCAGGGCGACAGGACTTGCTGGAAGGCCACGGGCAGCAGTGGCCACACCCCAGTCTCCACAGCACCGAGACTGACACCCTGAGCCCTCTCTTGGTTGTTGGTCAAGTGAAGTGAAGCCAGGAAGCTCCCTGGAGGCAGAGTGGAGCACGGTGAGGCCCAGTCAGCAGTGGGTGGGGAAGGAGCCACTCCGAATGTGCTCACCGGGGGGTGTTCGGGATTCCTGTGGCTGCTGGAACAAACCACTGTTAAAAAAAAATCACCACAAAGCCAGGACTTGAAACCACACATCATCCTTCCAGGTCCTATAGGTCAGAAGCCTCTTGGGTAAGTTTTACAGACACTAAGATTTGATCACCTCTATTCTAGACAGAATGTGTTGTTGATAAGCAAAACTGGAACCAGCTGTTTGAGGCCTTCTCTAACCCCTCACCCTGTATCAGTGAACATGCTCCTGTTTTCTTTACTCACTACCTGTGTTTTTTGGGACCACGAGACACAGGAGAGGAAGGGCCCTCCCGAGGTTGCCCGTGGTTTCGGCACTTGGAGCCTGGCAGTGCCAGTGAGGAGCACCTTGACCTCCTGGCTGTGCTGGAGGCTGTAGCCAGGGTGGAAAGGGGGGCGGCTCTCAGCTGGAGACCAGCACCACGCCAAGCTGTTTGGCCAGCCCAGCACACCCACGACCCCTCTGTCCCACCCCGAAGGGATCTGGAGAACAACACTGTGGTTCCCATTTGGAGTCTCCTCCAGATTGCAATGCAGGGTGGAAGCCTGCTCTCCTCCAGCTGCACTTACTGATATGGAGTGTTACTTCCCATGAACCTTCAAATATGGGCTTCCCCAGGGACAGGAGGTGTGGAGAGAGGTGCACTGGGCTTGGGACAAGGAGGGATTCTGGTTTCATCTCTGTCATTCAGTATTTGAGTAGCTTGGGCAAATCCCACTACCTCCGTGGGCTTCCAAAATGCAGGGCTTGGATGAATTCCCTCGGCTGCAGATTCTGCTGAGGATCGCTCTCACCAGTGGTCAGGCAGAGGGGAAGTTTTCTAGGCTAATTGAGCTTTGACCCCAATTCCACCCTATCCGAGAAAGAGTCCCGATTAGTCACTTATTAGACGTCGCTTTAAATAGCACCTCAATTTGCTTCCTCACCCAGCAAGCCGGGGTCTCCATGGAGAGGCAGCTGCCCACGGGGACCTTCTCCAGTCGACATCCAAGAAGAGTCTGTCAGTAGCGGGAGCCCCTGTCTGCCCCACCAGGGATGGAACCTGCTTTCATTTCCTTTCCATGTGGGGTGATTCTCAGACTATGACAATTAACAAGGAGAAAAAACCATTTGCATTTTTCCTGGGTGTTAATGACCTTCCAAACCAATGCTCAATTGGCTCGTTTAAAGCAGTGGAGCACACATTGGCATGAATAATTCAAGGGCCAGAGTCTCCCACATGTGGGGTGAAAAGCTTATTTCTGACCTAGTTCCTACAGTTGATGAGCTTGTGTCATCACTCTATACACACAGTTTCTGCTTTTTAAGGTTTGTGTTATTTGACTGAACAATATCACAACCTACGTAAACTTAGTGGCAAGGTTTGGGGACTTAAATTGATGAAGCAGAGACCTAATTTGTTTTACATAACCTGAAGCCTTAAACTTAATTAATTTTTCATTTTGGGCACAGAGGCACCTGCTGGTTAGGTGTGATATGGCTCAAGCAGGCATCGTAAATACATAGACAGACGGAGAAGCACAGACATGCGGATGTTCAGGACCATCTCAGAGGAGTTCGGGGTGTTTGTGGCTCTGGGCTGAGGTGGGGGCTTGGGTTGTAACCAGAGGTGACCAGTGGTCAGAATCGAGAGAGAACTGTGGGCTGACAGGCAAGGATAAGGGTCTGAAGCCCACAGACAAATAGGATGATCTTTGCCCAGCACAGTGCCGGAAGGCTTCCATTCCATAGAACGGGCTCTCATCACGATCACCTGCAGCCTGCAGCTTAAATCAGGGTTTCTGGCAGGGCCTCGGGAGCCACAGTTTATAGTGATTGCCCAGGTGATTCTTATTCCAAGCTCCACTCCTTTCCCAGGTGATTCTTATCCAAGCTCCACTCCTTGCCCAGGTTTGCAGCTTGGTAGCTTCAGACAACAGAAATGTACCGCGAAGCAGGGCTGGTGCAGATGTAATTCATTAAGGTGAGGTCCTGCAGCAGAAGGGCGGGCACTGTCTCCAGGTCCAGGGCCACTAGGCTGACCCATCTGTAATGGTACAGCACGCGCCATGCTGCAGCTGTATGAGGCAGGCCGGAGGGGACCCATTAGTGTCTGCTGGGTGGATAGACTCGGTGTTTAGGCAGGATTGGTTCGAAGGAGCAGTATTGAAGAAGAGATTCATTTGCTCTTAGATTCATCAGGTGTCTGTGCACTTCTACGTACTGACTCTCTTCTCCTGCCGACGAGTGCGGTGGGGGGCCCGTGGCCCCTCATCTGCAGCCTCAGCTGGGTAAGGACATCCTCAAGGTCTGCTAATGGATAGCAAGTCTGTCCAGTCAACAGTCTCACAGTTTTTTGTTTTTGGTCAATTTAACATAATTGGTGGGATCTCACCATCCCAGACAGGGGTCGCAGTGGACCCCAAAGATGGCTGAAATAGCCAGACCCAGACAGAATCATTGACTGGTGACTCCTGGCCCTAAGTCCAGAGGCCACCTTCATGCACACACACTGTCCAGCTGCAGACCAGGCATGGCTATTGAGGTGGGCGGCCTCGGATACCCCACGTCATGGTGCCTACCCAGAAACTTCCCCAGGGAGTGCATGGTGCCCAGCTTGTCCTGGAGCCGCAACCACAATCACAACCAAGCCAAGGGGCGAGAGGTCTTGTTCGGGTTTCCCCTGAGTGCAGCTCAGGAGAGAGGGAGCCAGGACTGTTCACGCTGGAGGAGCGCACGGTGAATTGGTGGCTGCGGTCCCCACGGGACTGGCACAGGCCTCAGGCCTCCCGTCCGTGAAGACCAAACCTTGGCTGGAAGTCTCGTCTGAGGCTGGTCAGCTTAAGTCTCATCTTCAGTGGCACCTGTAATGGACAGGCGGGCAAATGGGGTGGGGGGGCAGGCCAAATGACTTGCAGAATGAAAATTGTTTTTTGAGCTGTTAATAACAGCCCAGGCCCACCCCATGCCCGACCCTGCTGATGTAGACGAGGCCAGACTGTGATGAACGAGGGTGTCCTGGAGGGGAACGGAGTTCCCGGGGCTGGGGCATCCTGTGTGCTGGCCCCTCAGCTAGAAGCGGGCAGCTTCCTGGGCCCTCACCACGGTCCTGGCAATAGGCGGGCTGGTCCCAGTGGTGGGGGATGGCCGTGCTTCCATGGATTGACCCTTGCCTTCTTGCTGCTCTCTAAACCCTACCCTTCTGTGAACTTTCCTTTCTCAAGCCCAGCACCTGGGCAGCTCCCTGGAGACCTCATCACCTGGGCAGCTCCCTGGAGACCTTATCTCAGGCCAAAGGAGCCAGACCCCACTGGACACGGGGAGCTGGGAAGGCCTGAGAGGCCGCTTTCCACCCCATCCTCAGGGCCCTGCATGGCCAGTGCCGGCTGTGGCTGCCCATCTCCTTTGCTTCTGCCGAGGGTGACTCTGGGCAGTTTTCCCCAGGACTCCCCGTGGCTGAAGGCGCCCTTGGCAGTGCCCCCTGCCCGGCCCCCTCTGCTTCCCCGTTCTGCTTCTCCCACACTCTGACCAGTCTCCTGGGGTCACTTCCTGAATACGTCCTTGCACACAACTCCTGGCCTCAGAATCCATGGCTCCATTTTACAGATGAGGAAACTGAGGCTCACAGTGATGAAGTCGGCAGTGCAAGGTTACTTGGCCGTGGAAAGCCATGCTGGGAGGCAAGCTCGAGTCTGGGTAAGATTCCTCCCACTCCCTCGCCTCCACCTGCCAGAGCTGGAGTGGGGACCTGGGTCTCAGTGCCTTTCCGAGGCCTGACAGCAATGTGTTCTCCAGCCATTCATCTCCACAGGGCTCTGTTGGAGCACAGAGCGGTGGGGGTGGTGGAGATAAGGCCGCAGTGCAGGTACAGTTTGGGAAGCATTCTGCGATGGGGCTGGAAGGCCTGGGGCTGCTCCAGGGAGGGCGGGCCGGGGCTCTCTGGCAGGTGGTTGGGCCGATGCTTTCCCAGGCTCACAGAGGTAGCAGGGATGCAGCCCACCCTTTAGCACCAGGCAGGGCTGTGGATGGTCGCCAATGTGGAGGAGTGCCCAGTATGACATCTCAGTTTCCAAATGTCGAGGTTGCTTCAAGGTTGAGGGTGTGTAGGGCGGGAGGGCCCTCTACCAGGGGGCACTGGACAGCACCCAAACTGAGTGCACTGCCCAGGATATCACAGGCCACCAACTGCACATACACAAAATACAGCAAATGCCTGGAGACAAAAAATGCAGCGAGTGAGCCTGAAAAGGCCCCACGGAAGAGCACGCTCATTTTTAGAACACGTTCCCTTGTGGGCCCTGCCGTCTCCTAGTGCAGGAAAGGCCCTGAGAAGTCCTGCAGGCTCCTGCTGCACCCTGCGGGGTCCACACACACCTCATCTGGGAGCCCAGCCGCCTCTGACACGTCTCCTGGCACATCCTGCTCACTTCCTCTCTTTTATATTTTCCTTCTCCCAACAGGAGCCCCGGAGTTTTATTTCACACAGTATTCCCCGCACTTGTTCTGGGAGTGTTAATTCATGTTCCCTCAAAATAAGAGTTTCATGTTCAGGTGAGGAGGTCGTGGAGCTCCAAGGGCAGTACGGTGCTCCCTCACATCATCTCCTCATTTTCTGAGGGTCTCTGGAGGGGCGATACACAAAGTGCTCCAGGGTTTGAGTGGCACAGGCTGCTCCAGTGGATGCTGGCCTCAGGCAGGCTGCACCCCCAACGCTGCTGGGATGGGGGTAGAGGGTGGGGACAGCCGCCAAGCAGTGGGGGAGGCAGTGCTCGGGGGCTGGGCTGGTGGCAGTTTGCCAACAGTGCTAACCAGCAGTAACCAGCATGGCAGCACTGGGTGTCAGCCTCGGATCCCAGCTCCTCAAGACAGCTTGGGCAGTGCTGCTGGTGGCTCCATACTGAGTCACGAAGCCTGAAGAAAATGCGGCCCCTTCTCTCCCTGTGCTGTCTGCGGACGTCAGCACCCATCTTTCACACGGAGATGATCATGGCTCAGGTTACCTCTAGCCCTTCCATTTTAGGAGGCTACACTACAAAGCTATAAATGCACTCACAGCTCTGCCCAGGGTGTGCGGGTGAACTCCACCCCCCAAAGCCCACAATGGAACACGAGTGACAGGGTCAACCTCATGAATAGGTGAATTCAAGTGTAGTTTGATAACACAGGTAAGTACTCATGATAGGGCAAATCTTGATTTAATTTTTGTTAGTCACTCAAGCCCTTTGTAGATGCATGATGGTGACAGTAATAAGAGTTGACATGCATTGAGCATTTCCTGTGTGCCGAACAACAATCACATTCTACCTAAAATATGTAAGCTTCACAACTATACTATTATTCTCAATTTATAGACAAGGACATGTGTAGTTTTAAGAGTTTAAATTACTTGACTACATTTATACAGCTAGTGAGTCTAGATCCTTCTGGTCCCGGAGGTGAGAATCCTAATGGCCATGTATCTTCCATTCTTGTGGTTGTGTCCCACAAAGCTGCTGGCAGCCAAAACTAACTTCCCTGTACAGAAGAAAAATATTAGCCAGAGAGTCAGAAAATACATGAGCTGCACATAGTAGGTGCTCGCTGTACACGTGTTGCTGTGATTATTCCTGAGCACGGCGAGAAGGACAGGTGTAATGGCTTAGTTTGCATCCTCCCCTTTCTAGGTCTGATGCCAACAGGCAGTCCTGCCAGCAGTGACCTGCAACTCCACTGGATGTGGCAGGCAGGATCTGTTTCCCTGGCCATTTTTCGGAGAAGGTCCAGCTGAGAGGCTCAGACAGCCATAATGGATGGGATCTTTTTAGAGGTACCGAGAATGCCATGGTTTCAACCCAAGAAGACAGCAGGGCCATTAGCAGAAGTGAGACAAGGAGCTGGCTGGAAAGTGAACATCACAGGCAGAAGGAAGAGGCGTGGCAGGTGCCCCAAGTGACAGAGGACTAAGGAGGGCAAGACCCCATATGAGAGATGTGGACTCGGCCAGCAATGGCACAGGTGAGTCTGTGAATGCCCTCAGAGAGTGGTTCTGAAACGCACACTTGTATTTTTCAGGGTTCTTCAGAGATACAGAAGCAATAGAATGTGTGTGTGTGAGTGTGTGTGTGTATGTGAGTGTGTGTGTATGTGTGAGTGTGTGTGGTTTATTATAAGGAATTGGCTCATCTATTTCAGGGGCCTAGAAGGTCCACATTCTGCTGTCTGCACACTGGAGACCCAGGAAGCTATGGTGTGGGTCAGTCCAAGACTGAAGGCAGAGAACCAGGAGCGCTGATGGCATATGTCCCCACCTGAAGGCAGGAGAAGATAGATGTCCCAGCTCAAGCAGTCAGGCAGAGAGTGAATTCTCTGTTGCCCAGTCTTTTGTTCTATTCAGGCCCAAATGGATTGGATGAGGCCCACCACACTGGGGAGGCCATCTGCTTTTCTGAGTCCATAGATTCAAATGCTAATCTCATCTGAAACACCCTCATAGAAACACCCAGACCATGTTTAGCCAAATATCTGGGTACCCTGTGGCCCAGTCAAGGTGACACATACAATTACCCATTGTGAGACTCATGGGAAAGCTGTGTAAATCATGAGACATCACTTTTGTTGGCAAGAGAACCAGAAGAGCCACTGGGGAGGGAGGCTGAGGACCCTCATGTGCCCCAGGAACATGCAGAAGAGCAGTGGGAGGGCAGCTCTCCGCCTGCAAGGAGTTTGATCATGAAATCAGGGCAAGGGCCCTCGGCAATTTGCTCGGAAATTTGCACTGTGGGCAGGGGAGGCAGCCTTGCCAGGAGCCTTTGCCACGGCCACCTGGCCTCATGGGAAGCCTGTCCATGTAGCTACTCATCCCTGAGCTGACCGTGACTGAGCCTGCTCAGTTGTGCTGGGGCCCAAGAGGCTGCTTCTGTGAAAACAGAGAACCAAGCTTTGCACATCTTTGCTTTGTAACTAGAGGGACTGTCTATCCTCAAAGATTTATGTTTGAAGCCCTTCTCTTGGCGCGTTTTCCTGATGTGTGGCTGCCGTCTCCTCAGCTAATTCTCCCAAACCCTCCTCATCTCTCTTGCCGGCTTCTCTGTGCTCCTCTCTTGTTTGGGAGCCGACGAGTGAGCTTTGATATCAGCTCTCACAGCTGGGATTCAGGCCACTTCGCAGATGAGGGGCAAACCTGTCATGAAGTCCTTAGCCCTGAGCCTTGGAGAGTTTAAGGGTAAGCCCTAGGTATTTATTAAACCACAGGCCTGACAGGAAAAAGGTATCTTTAAAAACATAATAAAATTCCTTTAAATATATCCCCTGTCCCGGTTTGCTGAGTTCTTAGAGGCCTGGCTAAGGTACCCAGAGGCAGTAAGTCCTTCCCCTGGCTCATCGCCTCCCTGGTGGCTCTGGAGACTTAAGTGGGGAGGAGAATTCTGGGCTTTCTGCAATGTACCCCATGCTTTCAGGGCTTTGCTTACTTGGAGCTTGGAGCTTTTGGGTGTGTGTGTGTGTTTGTGTGCACATGTGTGTGTTCATGTGTAAATGCATGTCTATGGATGTGTATTGTGCATGCGTGAGCATACGTGCATGTGTGTACATGGCTGCATTGTGTGTTTGCACGTGTGTGTGTGTGGGTGTTCATGTGCAAGTGCGTGTGCATGTCTATTTTTGTGTGAGCATGGTGTGTAAACACAAATGCCTATGTATGCATGCGTGTGGCATGTGTGCATATGTTTTGGTCATGCGTCCATGTGGAACGGGAACACGGCTGTCCTCCTATGTTTCTCTCCCCAGGCAGAGGGAGATCCTCTCATGCAGATCTGATCTGGGATAATGGGATCAGAAGGCCCTGCTCCATGGGTCCATATGGGAGTAGCTGCCCGCCTGCCCCCACTCTCCCTGCACACAGAGCTGTGGCCCAGCCTTCCACCGACATGGGGATGAGCCAGTTGGCAGTGTTTGAGGACAGATTTCATATCCAGCAACTGGGAGCCCTGCCTCAGGCTCGGCTCCGCCTGCCATGCCACAGAGCAGGACTTGGGTGCTGGCGGCGGGAAGCCCTCATCACATGGTTCTGGGGCCTTGGAGAAGACCCTCCACAGCCCTCCTGCTCCCTCCTCAGCAGCCAGGTGCACAGACCAGAGACTGTCCCATGGGTGACTCCCTGCGTTGGAAGAGAAGCGCTCCTTCCTCCACCTCCTCACAGAGGAGGAGACTGAAACCAAGATAAATCAAGGGACGTGCCCAGCTCCACAGGGACTCACCGGTGGAGTACGGAGAAGAACAAAGCCTCAAGTCATTAGTTATGAATTTTTTAACATAACCACACGTTAAACATAAAATGTAGAGCAATTTTTAAGCCTTTTTGAGGACTAGGAGTTCACGCTGCATCTCCCGTGGGCAGGATGGGAGGAGGGCAAAGTGCAGGATGCTAACAGTTCCCTGCAGGGGAAGAGCCCAGGGGCTCCAGGTGCCTGGGTGGAGCCCAAAGGTCAAGGGGACTTCACCCCCAGGCCCACTGCCTGGAAAAGTCATCAAATAGAGGAGGAAAGCGCTGAGCACAGATAATGCACCAAAATGGCCTGGTCACAGCAGGGAGAGAAAGCAGCTGGGCAGGGAGGGAGAGCAGCCAGGCAGGGAGGGAGAGCAGCCGGGCAGGGTTGCGCATGTGCCGGTCTGTAGAGCGGTCTGCGGTGCGGTCTGTCGTGCGGTCTGCGGTGCGGTCTGTAGTGCTTTCCAGATGTGAGGCTCCAATAAGCTTCCTGTATGAGCTGGGCATGGAAATGCCCCTTCGGATCCCTCCAGGGAAGGCCCTGCCCTCCAGCATTGGGAGAGCAGCCTCAGATACCTCCAGCTGTCCCTCCTTCAGGCTGCCTCAGCTGCAGATGGTCACCTTACCCGGGACCAGCTGTGGGGGGTATGAATGCCCAGCCCTTCCCGCCCACCTGCAGCAACTCTAACAGGCCCCACAGCCCAGGGCTCCCTGGGGGTGCCGAGGCTGGGCCAGGGTGCATCTTGCTGGGCTTCTCTCTCTGCCCCTTTCCCAGGCATGGGTCCCTGATCAATATCCTGTGCTCTAAACTCCATCTTAGCATCTGCAAGCAAGTGGGGGACAATACTCTGTCTCAGCTTCAAAGAAGACGGAGAACTGATAAGGGCGAATGCCAAGACTGGGCCAGGGAGGGTGCAGCAAAGAGCCACGGCAGGTGGGAGGAGTGGGGGGGCTGCCCCTGAACAGTGGGGAGCAGGGCTGGGGAGGACGGGGCCCTACAAGCCTGGGCTACACCCAGGGACCAATTCCTAAGCAGAAAAACCACAAGCAGTGAGCCCGGAGGGGTTGGGCCTGGGGTTAAGGGGAGAAGGAGAGACGGTGAGAGCAGTCAGACATCCCACTCACGGGCAGGGCATGGAGGGCTTGGCTGGGCGCCATCTCCCAGATCCAGGAGGAGCAGGAGGAGGCCAGAGGTGGCTGCGCCATTTCTTTCCTCCACCTGGCCCAGGACTTCCTGACTCTGAGAAACACAGCCCTCTAACTGGCCAAACAAGGTGTAGGTGATGAAAACATGTCCCTTTGCCACTGGGGCAGCTGTCAACAGCATTAAGGTGTGTGTTATCTTTTGAGCTCCATGTTCCCTGTGGTGAAGAAGGCTGGATGCCTCCAAGCAGGGCAGAGAGAGATGAGAGCAAGGGCCAGAGAAACAGGGAAGAGAGAGATGGGAGCAGGGGCTGGAGAAGGAACTTGCCTGAAGCCTTCTCTTCTGAATCTGCATATAACTTCATATAGAAAGAGAACATACGTATTGATAAGAGGAAAATGATTCAATAGAAAAAAAAAAAAGGGAAGGATCTGCACAGCTAATTTCACATGGGAGGAAATCCAGATGAAAGCGATGCAGGACAGGCAAACACCAAAATCGGGGCTTGCCCAGGAGGGAAGAACTCCAGGGCGGGCCAGGGGTGTGAGGCAGAAGCTTTTGTGGAAGCCCCGTGCACAGCGGCGGCAACGGAGGGACTGCTCTTGGTAAAGCAGGGCTCCCCCATAGGCAGTGCGCCCAGGGTAGCAGCTTAGCGGCAGGTCTGCAGTCATGTTTAGGTCCACTTTTAATTATATGCAAATTAGGGGTGGTTTATGCAGAACTTTTAGGAAAAGGGTGGTAACTTCCGGGTTGTCAGGTTATTGAAGGGGTGGTACTCCGGGTATTGCCGTGACAATGGTAAACTGACATGGCACACTGGTTTTCTGCCCCTCCCTGTTTCAGCTAGTCTTCAATTTGGTCCTGTGTCCAAGAGCCCCGCCTCTGGACTCAGGTCCCACCTCCTACCTCAAAAGCAAAGGTCTGAAGGTGGTCCCACCACGCTAGCAAAGAGGGAGATGGAATTGAGGCCTACTGAAGTGCTCCACAGCCTAACACTCACTAGCAGAAGCCTTGTGGCCTTTGCTGATATTGAGGAATTAACGGGATTGCACCTAGGTTGCTAAAAACTCTTGGTGCCTTAGAAATGCGTATGGGTGTCTGTTGGTGAAATACCATAATGTTTGGCAGGGATTTGTTCTAAATATGTTCCAGAAAATGGCCAGGGAAACAGATGCAATACAATTAGTAAAAGCTGATGGTGGTCGCAGCTGGGTGGTGAGTATGGTTCGTTGTTCTGTTCTCTGGACTTTTGTGTATGTTTGAGATTTTCCTTAGAAAGAGTTGAGAAAAGAACAAAGAACCATACGCCTGTCTGGTGAGAATGTGGGCAACAGTTCTCTCACACAGTCTGCTAAAATGAGGTCATGAGGTGGGGCCCTGGTCCAATCTGACTGTCCTTACGAGAAGAGGCGAGTGCACGGACACACAGAGGGGTGGCCACAGGAGGATACTGGGAGGAGACAGCGTCCACAAGCCACGCAGGGAGGCCCCAGGAGAAACCAGCCCTGCCCACACCCTGATCTCAGACCTCCAGCCTCTGGGGCAGGGAGAAAACAAACTTCTGCTGTCTATACCACCTGGTCAGTGATATTTTGTTAGGTAGCCCTCGGAAGCTGGTATATGGACCCCATGTTTATAAGAACAAATAATAGCAAAAATCAGTCTACAGAAGCATGGATACACTTGGATTGTGCGTGTTTGTGGTGGTGGCAGAGGTGGGGGGTCTGGGGAGGGTCTCCACTCACCTTCACATTTTGTGCATTGCTTCCCGCCGGCATGCGTTACCTTTGTCACTTAAATAACAAATGGCAATTGTCTGAGAATCAAAAAGAAAAAAAAGAGAAATGAAAGGAAAATGATTCTGGACCATGTATCAGGACAGTGGGATAAACTGAGGCTGCAAATTTCTGGAACTTTCCAAAAATTCCATATAGAACTACCTTTAAAAAAATTTAATTGGGTATATAAAGTGGAAATTTATAGAAAAAGGAAAATGTTCCCTTTTGCTAATGCTTCTTGCAGGTACAGAGTGAGCCTATGATGTTTACCATAGGGCTGTGACACTGTGCTATATATGTGATTATATATACTTTGGCTTGCTCATCATAGTACCACATTTTGTCTTTCAATAAGGAGGACATTTTCTTGTAGTTCTGCAGAGAATCTGAGAATCACAGTCTTAAGAGGAATCCAGTTCCAAACCTCAAAACTTCCTACAGATTCTTTCTCCCTCTTGGCCTTGAAGCCTTTTGCCCCTGGCAAGTCAGTGAGTCTCTCATTTCACCTCTCATGGGGAATGAGTCTGACGCTGCCCATGCTCCCAGCCCGGTCCTCTAAGGCCTGGTCGGGAGGGTGGGGGTGCAGGACACATTTGTCCACTCACCTCTGGAGCAAAACTCAGCAACATGCTGGGCTTCAAGTCCAGTGATTCGGAAGGATGACAGTAACCCGTGTGGGAAGCCCCGGGGCCCGGCGCAGCCATGCACTGGTTCTTTGACGTCCTGTCTGCTGCTTCTGCTTTGCCTCTTTGTGCTTTAATAGGACACCGCGATTTTTCATTATAAAATCCCCCAAGTGCATAATGTTTTGAAATCATTTATGAGAATAAAGAACCGCCACATGCTGTGAAAGGAAAATAAATCTTGGGGCTCCAAAATCACTAAGCTAAAGGGAAAAGTCAAGCTGGGAATTGCTCAGGGCCAACCTGCCTCCCACTCTATTCAAAGTCACCCTTCTGCTCACTGAGATAAACGCATCTCTTGTTGCCTCCTTTGGAGAGGCTAATCAGAAACTCAAAAGGATGCAACCATTTGTTTCTACCTGTGACCTGGAAGCCCCTTTCCTGCTTCCTGTCTTGGCTTCAAGTTGTCCCGCCTTTCTGGACCGAGGTCCCGCCTTTCTGGACCAAGCCAATGTTCATCTTGCATATGATGATTGATGTCACTGAGGCCCCGCCTTTCCAGACCAAGCCAGTGTTCATCTTACATACGTTGATTGATGTCACTGAGGCCCTGCCTTTCTGGACCAAGCCAATGTTCATCTTACATAGGTTGATTGATGTCACTGAGGCCCTGCCTTTCCGGACCAAGCCAATGTTCATCTTGCATATGTTGATTGATGTCACTGAGGCCCCGCCTTTCCGGACCAAGCCAATGTTCATCTTACATATGTTAATTGATGTCGCCGAGGCCCTGCCTTTCCGGACCAAGCCAATGTTCATCTTGCATATGTTGATTGATGTCACCGAGGCCCCGCCTTTCCGGACCAAGCCAATGTTCATCTTACGTATGTTGATTGATGTCTCATGTCTCCCTAAAACGTATAAAACCAAGCTGTGCTCTGACCACCTTTGGCACGTGTGGTCAAAACTTCTGAGGCTGTGTCACAGACACACATCCTTAACTTGGGCAAAATAAACTTCGTAAATTGACTGAGACCTGTCTCAGATTTTGGGGTTCACAATGCTAAACACTAAAATCGAAGTTTTAGAGTCAAACATGTTTCCGTTTCCTTAGAAACCAACATTTTAGGGGAAAAAGGAGAGATAAAATCATGTATTTTTATTTCTAAGCATTTATATTAGTTTTAGACTCCGCCCATGAGTGCTGGTTATTCCCTGGAGCTCATGAAGTGGCTCATGGGGTCTTGGTTGCTTCGTTGATGAGTCAGACATAGATGAAGACCTTGTGGTTGCTCTGAAAAAAGCGTCAGAAGAACAATGGTTATCGTTACTCATTTTAATCCCTGGAATTGAAGCTCCAAGGGCAGAGACTTTTGTCTGTTTTGTTCACTGCAGTGCCCCAAATAGAGGAGGCCTCAGTAAATGTCTGTCTAATGAGTGCATGAACACATGGATGACAAACACTTGACAAGATTGCGTTCTTCCTGAACTGGACAAGGCCGAGTCCTCCACGCGCTCATTCATTCTATCCATCGTTCCTGCTCCTCCCTGACCGCCAGCTCCTAGCACAGCACTCGGCTCACAGCAGGCACTCACCCAGTATCTGCGGAATGAGTGAACATCACAAAGGAAAGTTAGGGACCCCTCCCGTGGACTTGCTCCCCACCCAGGTGGGCTCCCAGCATTGGAGAAAGAAGTCGGTGAGGCGTCAGTGCCACCCCTGCTGCCCAGCGGCTGCTTTCCTTAGAACCTCACCTGGACGAGAAACCGCTTTGAGAGGTGAGGGCTTCTCTGCCTGCTGAGCTGGTGCTCTGCCTCATTCCTGGAGGACGGCCGGAGCACCCTCACCGCCCTGGCACCCTGCCTTTCCTGTGCTTGTCCACCGGGCCCACCAGCCTCTCTGACCCCAGGGCCTGTCCACTCCCTGACCAGCCACCAGGAACCGTCCACAATGAACGCCTCCCTTCCCCAGAGACCCTCGTCATCATCAGAATCACAGCCACCATTGATGCCCAGCTACTACACGCCTGGCAGGACACACATGTCCCATCAGCCTCAGAGCCAGGGCCTGAGGCACACGGGTTACCCCTAGGTCATGGACGGGAACAGCAACCACTCCCTGCAGTGACCGCATCTCAGGGTGCGGCTCCTCCTCGGTACCTGGTGTGGCTGCTCTGGTTCCTCCCCTGTTGTCACCACAGCAGCCCAGAACGGGTCCCCTTCAGCCTGTTCCCCTGTCCTTCCTCACCCTGCTGCTGGAGTAAGCCTTCTAAGAAGTGAGCCGGTCCCCATGGCTCACAGAATGGATTGCAAACTCCTCAGAGGGAATGGCAAAGCTGTGGGTGCCACGCGCCTGCCCTCCCAGCCTGGCTCCCAACACCCCTGCACCACACACTGTGCGGCAGGTGCACTGGTCCCCGGCAGCTGTGACTTCCCAGGGGACCACCTCTCCCTTTCACCTTCTCTGCCAGGCAGATGCGAGTCTCCGGACTTGATCAAGCGCCCTCTAGGGGGCTTTCCTGTGCCTGCAGACACAAGGCACAGCAGCGCTCCCACGTCCTCCCTGGCAGGGTGTGCACACCCGATGCCACCTTCCATGTCAGGATATTGGAATCATTCGGGTCCACATCCAGGTCTGCCGCGTGATGCTGAGGTTCTCCAGGGCCGGGGCAGGGCCTGGGTGATTCCAGGTCCCAAGCCCTCCAGGCACCTCCTGCATGGGATGGAGCCACGCTCTACACGCTGTCCCTGTCTGCAGAGGTGACATCTCACTGTCGTCACAGGAACGACATGCAGCATAGAGAGGCAAGAATTGCTTCCGGCATGTGGAGACCTGGCTCTTCCACATGCAGCTGGGGGGCCTGAGGCATGCAGTCTACCCTGCTGTGCCTCTGTTTCTCCAGGGGTGACAGAATGAGGTGAGAACATTCCTGACTATTCTAAGCATCCAAGGAGGGATGCCCAGGGATGCCCGGGCTGTGAGGCCCTGGGGTGGGATGGCCTGCTCTCGTCTCTAACGCCCTGCCTTGCTCCGGACACCTCTCGCTTCCACGCTATTTGTGTTGCGCTTCTGGCTTCTCAGACCTTGTTGCAGGCTTAGTATGTGTGAGTCTCACCCCGTCACGTGACATGGGCAAAGCATCATCACTCCACTTCACAGGCAAGGAGGATCTGCAAGGGACAAGTGACGCAGTCAGGCCCCAGCACTTGTTGGTGGCAGAATCCAACTCAGACCCGGGGCTCCTCTTTCTCATTTAGCTCCTTTGATTTCTGTGTGGCCGGGTCCTGGCAGGGGACCACCTGCATTCTCATAATAATACCAATGATGATGGCCATGATGATGGTGATGAAGATGACGATGATGATGGTGATGATGATGGTGATGAAGATTACGATGACGATGATGGTGATGATGATGGCATTGAAGATGATGGTGATGATGATGGTGATGAAGATGATGGCAATGAAGATGATGGTGATGATGATGGCCATGATGATGGTGATGATGATGGCTAACTTTTACTGAGCATGTTGCTATGCCGAATATTCATATTATTTCAGTTAAGCTTCGCAGCAGCCTTATGAGGTTGATACTATTATTATCATCCCCATTTCCTAGACCAGAAAACTGAGGCACAGAGAGACTGAGTAACTCCCCAGATCACACTGTTGGCTGGAGGGGTCAGCCCTTGGTCGCTCTGTGGCTCCAGCAATGTGGTGGATGGGTGGTGGTCATCTTTGGGGCTGACAGTTGGGTTTTAGGGCATATGTTTAAGACTGTCAAATAAGGGGGAGGCACTAAGGCACCTCCACATCTGCAGTGAGTGTCTGCTGTGGGTGAGCCCTGTGGGGCCTCAGTGGTAGGTGGGGGACGGCACATTAGGGCTGGGCTTTGCAAGGGGTCTCTGGAAGGCCTTCTGAGGAAGGCTCACCGAGTTCCTCAGAGGGAGGCTGTGGGAAAGCAGGAGGGGAGAGACCCCCCAGATGACCTGGAGGGACCCCCTCTTCCTGGGAAAAGGAGGTAAGAGTGGTGGGGAGGCCTTGGTCGGGAACTGGCAAAGGTCACAGTGAGGAAGAGGCACATTACGGGCCCTGGAGCAAGGTCACAGTGGTTAGTGAGGAGGCAGGGAGCCCCAGGGGACTCCTGGCCCAAGAAGAGGGAGGAAACTTGGGGGTCTCTATTATTAGATGTTGGCAGAACAATGGCTTCCCCATGATGTCCATGATCAAATCCCTAGAACCTGTGGGTCTGTTGCCTTGTGTGGCCCGGGGGACTTTGCAGATGAGACTGAGGCCCTGGAGACAGGAGAGTGTCCTGGGTCTTTCCTAGCTAAGGCCAGGGGCAGGTGTGACTAGGAAAGATGGCCAGACAGAGGCAACTTTGCTGCCTGTGAAGATGGAGGAAGGGACCATGTGCTAAGGAATGTGGGCAACCCGAGAAGCTGGAAAAGGCAGGAAACTGTTCCCCTCCCAGAGCCTCCAGAAGGACCCAGCCTGGCCAACACCTTGACCTTAGCCCAGTGAGACCTGGGCCGGCCCTCTGGCCTCCGGGACTGTAAGGTAATGCATGCGTGCTGTTCCAAGCCACTAAGCTTGTAATTTGTTACAGCAGCCACAGGAAACTAGGAAACTGATACAATATGCAACAGGGCTTCCAGCCAGGAGCTATCCCCCAGTTGGCCAGGTCTGGAGAAGCGGGGGCTGCATTCCTATTCATGGTAATTACAAGAAGAAGGGCATCTGGCGAGGAATGTCATCTCCCCTAAGGCAATGCAACTTACAAGGACTAGCCTGCTTCTGGGACAGGGGAGCAGAGGGGATGGGTTACCCCTCAGATCTCTGCAGCCCTGCTTCCAGGAGAGATGCTATCTGAGCAATTTCCTCTGCATGGTGCGGTGCAGGTAAGTCATCAGCCAGGTGACGCAGGGCAGGAAGGGGAGACTTGACTCCGTGGCTTCAGACGCGGCCATCTGTGCATTCCTGCTGACCCTTGGCTCTCTCCTGACCCTTGGCTCTCTCCTTAGCATGGGAGCATGATCCCCGCGTCACCAGGCTGCTGGCTGGCCCAGGTGCAGGGTCCTCAGGGAGTCCCAAAGGGTGCGTGAAGTGGAGCCTGGGCATTGGAGCGTGGCCCCTCTCCAAGGATACCTGTGCGCCTGGACCAGGCCCGTCCTGCGCCCCCTCCCCGCGCCCCCTCCCCGCATGAGCGTGGGCAAGGCAGGGAAGCAGGTGGGGGATACAAAGGGTAAGCACATGCATGCATTCACACAACACACTCTTCTATACACACAGACACCTGCGCTCTCACATGCGTGCGCACACACCCTCACAAACACATTCACACACAGACACGCACAAGCACACACACAAGCACCGACACACTCACAAGCACAGGTACACTCACACACAGAGATACACTCACACAAGCACACACAAGTACACTCACACACAAGCACAGACACGCAAGCACACTCAGACACACGTGCAGACACACAAGCACACACACACCATCCTGAAACCATTTCAAAGTCACTGAACCACCCGGACTGCCACTCAAAGCTATGGCCTGATGGCTCTGAGCAACCGAGTCCGCTTGGGTTTCGTTCTTGATCTTTTCAAATGAAACCCCTGCACCCTGGGAGTCTGTCTGTGCGGCTCCTGGCCCCTGGCTGAGGTGCTGAGCAAACACCAACCAGGTGAGAGCCAGGTGAGCACAGCCTCGGGAGGAGGGACTCTGCGGATACTGGGGGCCAGGCTAGGAGGGGGCAGCCCCGTGAGCCCACAGCCCGCCTCGCGTGCTGCGCTCTGCATCCCCCAGGAGACGTGCCCCCACCAGTGTCTCATGGCACAGAAGCGGCGGCAGAGGCTGGGACACGGTGGCCCCCTTGCTGCAGGGCGCTGCCTGTTGGTGGCCACGCAGGGCTTGCAGGGTGTCCTCCACCCTCCCTCAAATCCCTGTGACTGCCCAGTGCTTCTCTCTGAAGGGCTGCTCTGTTCACCCTTCCTGTCTGCTGTGGAAGTCCAGCACAACACGTCAAGTGCACAACATCACGAAAGTCTGCCTGCGCGCCCACCTACCCATGACCTGGACCTAGATCCAGCTGTTCCCCTCGGCAGGCCGGCTGCCCTCCGGCCTCGGCAGTCAGTTCCCTTCCCCACTGCGGCCAGGACTCCACAGCTGCGCCACAGACAAGCTTTGACAGCCGTGAGCGGCACTATGGGTTAGCGTGAAGGCAGTAGGGGGTTCCTGCCCCACCCCAAGGAATTCCCCGCCGTAGGTGCCACTGTGTCTGGAACTTCACTATTACACACTCATTCCTTTAGGCGATTTCTCCTTTATTCCCAGGAGGTACAGCAGGTCAAGAACATCTACACTAAGGGGTTGACAACTGTCAGGTCCCGAGGGGCGCCGGGCCAGGCAAGGAGACGGTGGCTGGGGCGGGAAGAAGCAGAGAGCCCTGGAGGGAAGGTGGAGCCGTCGCTGCTCTCTCCAGCTCAGGGTGGCCTGCCACACTCCCACACCGCACACTCCCATAACCCACACTCCCACACCACACATACCCACACCCGACACTCCCACACCCGACACACCCACACCTCAAACTCCCACACCGGACACTCCCACACCCCACACTCCCACACCCCACACTCCCATAACCAACACTCCCACACCACACACACCCACACCCCACACTCCCACACACCACACTCCCACACCCCACACCCCACACTCCCCACCCCACACTCCCATAACCAACACTCCCACACCCCACACTCCCACACCCCACACTCCCACACCCCACACTCCCACACACCACACTCCCACACACCACACTCCCACACACCACACTCCCACACCTCAAACTCCCACACCCCACACTCCCACACCCCACACTACCAAACCACACACTCCCACACCCCACACCCCACACTCCCACGCCCCACTCTCACACTCCTACACTCCACACTCCTACACCCTACACTCCCACACCCCACACTCCCACACCTGACACTCCAACAACCCACACTCCCACACCCCACACTCCCAAACCCCACACTCCCACACCCCACACTCCACACTCCCACACCCCACACTCCCACGCCCCACTCTCACACTCCTACTCCCACACCCACACTCACACTCTCACACTCCCACACCCCACACTCCCACATTCTCACACCCCACACTCCAACACCCCACACTCCCACACCCCATACTCCACACTCCACACTCACACACTCCACACTCCCACACCCCACATTCTCACTCACCACACTCGCACATCCCACACTCTCAAACCCCACACTCTCACACCCCACACTCCCACACCCAATCTGACACCCCACATTCTCACACCCCACACTCACCCCACACTCTCACACCCCACACTCCCACACTCTCACACTCCCACACCCGACACTCTCACACCCCACACTCCCACACCCCACATTCCCACACCCCCCCACAAACACAACACTCACACCCCACATTCACACACCCCACACTCCCACACCCCACACACTCATACCCCACACTCCCACACCCCACATTCCACACTCTCACACCCCACATCCTGCACTCCCAAACCCCACACTCCCGCACCCCGTACCCCACACTCCACACACACTCCACACTCCCACACACCACACCCCACACCCCACACTCCCACACTCTCACACCCCACACTCCCACACCCCATACCCCACACTCCACACTCACACACTGCACACTCCCACACCCCACACTCTCACACACCACATTCACACACCCCACACTCACACCCCACACTCCCACACCTCACATTCTCACATCCCACACTCCCACACCCCACACTCTCACACCCCACACTCTCACATCCCACACCCCATACTCCCACACCCGACACACGCACACCTCAAACTCCCACACCCCACACTCTCACACCCCACACTCTCACATCCCACACCCCATACTCCCACACCCGACACACGCACACCTCAAACTCCCACACCCCACACTCTCACACCCCACACTCTCACACCCCACACTCTCACACCCCGCACTCCACACCCCGCACTCCACACCCCACACTCCACACCCCACACCCCACACTCCCACAGCCCACACTCCCACACCCCACACTCTCACACCCCACACTCCCACACCGCACACTCCCACACCCCACACTCCACACCCCGCACTCCACACCCCACACTCCACACCCCACACCCCACACTCCCACAGCCCACACTCCCACACCCCACACTCCCACACCCCACACTCCCACACCCCACACTCCCACACCCCACACTCCCACAGCCCACACTCTCACACCCCACACTCTCACAGTCCACACTCTCACACCCCACACTCCCACACCCCACACTCTCACACCCCACACTCCCACACCCCCACACTCTCACACCCCACACTCTCACACCCCACACTCTCACACTCCACACTCTCACACCGCCGCTGCTCCTCTCAGAAAGTGCCTGGCGGCATTGGCTCTGGGTCTGGGGCCGGTCTCTTCATAACCGCAGCCCCCAGAAGAAATGAAGACTCATCCCTGGAGCCAACACACCTTAAAGCCGTAAACACTGGACCGAGACCACTTGCATTTGAACCCCAGCTCTACCGCGGGTGAGCTGTGTGACCTTGACTGAGCGTCTTAACATCTCCCCACCCCGGTTTCCACATTTTTGAAAGGGTGACAACAATAATACCCACCTCATGGGGTGGTTTCAAAGATTAATTTAGTTAATATTTATCAATCACGCAGCAACATGCCTGGTTCGGGGTAAGCGCTCTATCTGCGTTTGTGAAACGAGTTAAAGGAAATGGCGCTATCATAGCACAGTCAGGCATTTGATTCTTTCCTTCTGATCTTTGATGTTCCATGTATACAACCAGGAATTTTTACATGCATAATTGCCTGGGAATTTCAACTGCATATGGTAGCACTTTCTGCTTTCAAACCATTTCTGAGGTGGTCTGTAGGCCCCCAGTTCTGCTAGATGCTTTCACAAGTAAACACTGAGAAGAATGCCTGATCCCTGCCCTCAGAGAGGTTGGTGGATTTGGGAAGACAAGAAGAATCCACATGGTTCAGGAGGAAAACCTGTGGAGAAGCCTGTAATGAGGAGCAAAACTGTGTGCAGCCGAGCGGAGGGGCGGGCATGGTTGAAGTGGGGCCAGGCAGCAGCCATGGTGGGGGTGACAAGAACCACAGCCGCTTCCTGCTGGGGCGTCCTGTGGGCTTCACGAATGCCACCACCTAGATGAGGACACGAAGGCTCAGAAAGGTCACACAAGACACACGGCTCACAGTGGGGAGGTGGGGCCTTCTGCCCATCACCTGCTCGGCAGCCCTGGTCCTTAAAGAACGCTCCGGTGAGGGGATCCGCATGGCCCGGCTGAGCTGGAGTGTGGACTCCTGGAGACGGTCCAACCGGACGGGGAATGTGTCAGGAGGAAGGAGCTGCTGGGAGGCCAGGAGCTGCTGGCAGTTCCCACCCTGCCCGGGTAGCACAGGCCCCCACAGGCTGTGGGCGGGAGATGCTGAGGGTTTTTTGAGCCAAGGGGCTCTGGAGGAAGGCAGAGGCCCAGAGCCACTGGCACCTCTGAGCAGGGGTGACTGGGGCGAGGACTGAGTCTGGGGTCCTGTAACCAGTCGAGTCGTACTGGGCGAGCCGAGGGGACCGTGCCTCAGCACACAGGTGGAGGGTTCGGGGGCAGCCTGTGGCTCTCCCAGGGACCGGCTGCGTCTCCCCTTCTAGCTCTGCCCTCTGCTGTGTGTCTCGCAAACACCACCCCGTGGACTGTGAAAAAAAGATTTCAGAAACTGGGAGAATTGCTGTCAGGCTTCCAAGCCAGCAGCACAGAAAAGGCAGAAAGACACCAGGACGGTTCTCTCGAACTCAGTTTAAATATGGAGGGATTTTGTCATTTTTTTAAACAAGAAAATCTTGTTTGATATTCTCTTTCTAATTGATTCTTCATATTTTCCTTTAAAAAATATTTCAAGCAGCTGTTTCCTGATAGGAGAGAAGCAGGGAACTGACACCCACAAATTCCTCCGGGCGGTGGTGCTGGGGCCGGGGCAGCGGGGCAGGTGACCCCAGGCGCAGGACGCTCACCTATGCTGCCTCAGCAAGTCGGGTGGGCTTGAATCCCCCTTCCAGGGCCGCAGCCTGCAGAGCCACCTCCTCACAAGACCACAAGCAGGCCTGGGCAGGCACCAGACGGGGAGACGGGAATGCTGGCCCTGAGCTCAGCCCTTGACCCGGTGGTGGGGCCACAGGTGCCATGTAACGATGATGGGTACCACTTGGGGATGAAGGCGGGGGCCTGTGCCAACTGACTTCTGACCCACAGGAGCCCTCTCCACAGCGTGAGTGGGGACGGGACCAGGTGGCAGCACCTCCCGGGATGGGCTCTGGTCCTGGCACCTCCCTGGGCGAGTGCTGGGCCTGCTTCCTCCCCTGCCCAGTGGAGAAGAGAGCAGCCGCCCTGGGGGAGCTGTTCTGGGGAGAGGGCAAAAAAGGGACAGGGAAGGCTTTGAAGGGGATGCTGGTGCAGTCCCTCAGGCGCCCCACCTCTCAGGAAGATGGGCCCCGCTGGGGGGCCCGTGGTGTGGAGGCCACGCTGCTGCCCGGGCTGAGGGACCCGAACCTGCAGGCCCCAGAAAATAAAAGGGTGGAGTCACCCACCTCCAGCCTGGGGCTGCACCAGCCCAATCCCCAGCCCCAGCAGGGGCTGCCCACCTCCAACTTCCCCACCCCATGGCCCTCCTCCTGCTGTCGTCTCCCCATCATAGTTCCTGCACCACACGTCTCTGGAACCGTATAAAGTTATGCGTCTGAGTGGCTGACAGCAGCCTCCAGGCTAAACTTTTGATCCGCTGTGTGCTGACATCTTCAAACCAGAGCGGGTCTCTCCCTCTCTGTTCCTGGGTTGGCGGTGGCAGGTCTCCTGCAGTATATGGCATGCAAATAAGCAGGTCTGCGCTGTCACTCCCTAGCTGCCAGACCCCTGCCTGGTGCCTGGAGGTGGCTGTCCCTCCAGCCACCTCCAGCAGCGAGGCCAGAGCCCTAGGCTGCTCCCCACCCCTTTGTTTCCTTCTGGGAGGTGCTGGTGACCGAGGCTCAGGAGGGCACCTGCCCCTAGGAAGGGGCTCCCCCAGGGATCCCCGCAGTAGAGAGGGGGCCACTGAGGGGTGGGTGGGCAGTGGCTGGGGGCTGCCTGCATGGACTGAGCTTCCTCCCAGGCTCAACCCCCACCCCCCATCAAATCCACCTGACTCGCAGAGGCTGTTAGAACTGGGGGGCTGTGAATCTGGCCACCTGGCCTGGTCCCATAGCTAAGGTTCAGTGGGAGTCTCAGCCCCAGCTCCTGGCATGGGGTAGCTCAGGAAAGGGGCTGGAGCTGACAGGTGTGATGAGGGTGAGGTGGGTGAGGTGGGTTTGGGGCCAAGGGGAGCCTGGGAAACCAGGTGAGAGGTATGGGAGGCTGCAGTGGGGCCAGGAATCCTGGGTCTCATCCTTGTTCCCATGCCAGCAGCACAGGCTGACACTTTGTCACAGATCTACTGGGTCCCCACCACTTAGCCCCTCTGTCCAGCCTCCGCAGCCCCTGGGAGTAAAGCCCTTTAATCTGAAGACTCAAAAACCCATCTCTTCCTGGAGCCAGAGGCCCAAGTGGCTGCCAGTGAGAGTCTGCTGCCAGCCCTCCCTGCTGGGCTCACCCACGGCTCCCGCCAGGCGCACAACAGCATCTGCGGACTCCTGCCCTGGCTCCTGGGTCACTTCTGTCTCTGGGAGAGGCTTTGGGCTTGAACCCTGGCAGCTTCATTGGACAGCGGTCCCAGCCTGCATGCCAGGTCCTGTCAGTGTCCTGGAGGGTCCTGTACTGGTCCTGGTCTCTAACCCTGTGCGAGGCCATTTGGGCTTACTTTTCTCTCTCCGAGATCTGCTCCTGGTTGCAGCGTGGTGACCAGTGAAATCTTGCATTTCTCTGCTGTGCCCCCAATCCCTCCAAAGAACATGGCCTCCTGGGATGCTCTCTGCCCTCCAGGCCCTCTGCCCGGCTCCCTCCTCACCCACCATGCCAGGCGCACGACACCCCAACACCGCAAAGACTTTCAGTCAAAGTATCCTCCCCTCCCTGCTCCTAACACCCTTGCTCTCCCTTGGAGGTCCAGAACAAAGAGGTCATTTCTTCTGGAAGGACCTCTTGTTCCCATGGCTACAAAATCCTCACTATTTACTCCCTTCTCTGTGGGCACGACCAGAGACAGCACTGCTCTTGTATTTCTTATGATGAAGATCAATGGGATGTCCTAGTGGTCTTCTGGGCATCCACATGATTGCATCATGGGTTGCAAGCCCCCAACAGAGAAAGTCTGTGCACCTGGACCCGCTCTTCCTTCTATTATGCACATAACCTGCCATGTTACAGGTTAGGGGAAGCACATAAGAAGGTGTGTGCTGTGGGCTGAATCCCCTGAATTCATATGCTGGATCCTGATCCCTGGGACCTCAGAATGTGACTGTATGTGAAGCTGGGGTCTTCACAGAGGTCATGAAGGTTAAATGAGGTCACATGGGAGGCCCTAGTGTAATATAGCTGGTATGCTTATATGAAGGGGGGATTAGGACACAGACACACACAGAGGGATGCCCTGTGAGGAGACTGCTGACTGCAAGCCAAGGCAGGGGCGGGGGGAGGGGAGGTCGAGAGAAACCAGTCCCTGCTGACACCTTGGCCTTGGACTTCCAGCCTCCAGAGTTGTGAGGAAGGAAAGCTCTTGTTTAAGCCACCCATGGTATTAATATTTGCTAGGGCAGCCCCCAAAAACTCAGACAGTGCATGTGTGGTGAACCAGAGATGGCTCTCAATTCTTCACCGCCTGTTACAGATTGGTGCCTGTCTGACCTGTGCCATGGGGTTCTGCAGGGTCCCCGCTGTGGTGGACGGAGTACACATTCCTGCCCTGGGACTTGGCCTTGGCCAGGTGACTGCTGCCAATGGAACATGAACAGAAGTGACAATACCCCATCTAAGCAGAGACACTAAGTATGATCCACGGCCTGGTTTGCTCTCTGGCATCTCTGCCATCCACTCAGGAGAGTGTTCCCAGACCCCACTGATCCCAGAATCAGAAACATGTGGAACAGACTTGACCAACAGCCTGACGCAGGGCTGCTCATTGCCCAGAGACCCCAAAGCAAGAAAAACACACGTTTGCTGCAGGAAGCCATTTCCATGTTGGGGCCATTTGTTATGCAGCCTTGTCACAGCAGTGGCTGACTGATACCTTAGCAACCTCATTTCCTGTCCCACACCTGCCTCATTCCTTCTGCTTTCTACACAGGTGGCCACCGTTATTAGTTTAAAAAGGCGTTTGCTTGGTGAGGAAGAAGAGGGAGAATCAAGCAAAGGCATTTGGACTTTATTCCACAGGCAACGTAGATCAGTGGAAGGTTGATGAAAGGGAAGTTCCATGATGAAATCACCGGGGAATTATTCTATCAGTGCTCCCCAGGCTGCTGGAGAAATGAGGGAGGAAAAACAGACACAGAAAAACCTGGTCATGGTTTTTATTATTTCTCTTAAATTCAGCTCCACCCCATCTCTTCAAAGAATTTTCCTCTTTGGTTTTAATAATGTGCTTAAGCCACAAGTTGAACAGTCTTCCATCCTCCAAGCTGTCTTCTGGCTGAGGGAGGCTGCTCTGGGCTTGGTGGGCGGTGGAGGAACGGGTAGCGGTTGGGGACTGTGTCGCAGCTGGCCCAGCCACTCTCCCTTTCTTGGGGTGTACTAATCTGACTCCCAGAATGGTGCCGACTCTTTCCAAGGCTTCACATTCCTCCTCCTCTAGCTCGGGGGAAAGTGAGTCCTGATTTAGACTTCTGTAGTCAGGCAAAGAATTTCTGAATGCAGGGGGCTACTCCAGGCTGGATGAAAAACCCACTTTCATGCCAGCTGGGTTTCTGACAGAAATGCCACAAGCTGGCACCTGGCAGTGTTACTGGGCTGGCAAAGTCAGAAAACTTTGAATTTGTGCAGCTCACACGGTGCAGCCTTCAGCATTTTACAGACGTGCCCATGTGACTTGCATCTTTGAAAGGGGATGGTGTGGGAAGTCATGTTAGATCACCTCTGATATGATTAGGACCTAATGGTGTTATTTGAAGTTCCAGCTCAAGTCCAGTCAGGTCACAGTCACTGCCACAGATCAGGAAATCGTGCTGACCTGGATTCCTCGGTTCCCCCTTGTCTGTTTAATTGACGGCCACTTTCTCATCAAGGCCATCAGCAGCCAGCACACAGGCTTTTTAAAAATTAGGCCTCAAGAAACAACAATAACAAAGTAAAATCTGTCCTGATTTTTAGGCTTAACCTTTGAAAATGTTCTCTCTCTAAAGAGAAGAGGTGCCTTCAGTCCAGTGAAGAGCGCTGGGCTGCTACCCGAAGCATCTGCACGGGAAGGAAACGAGATGAGTCGGTGACTCGTTGCCACAGGGGCACGCATGGTACACGCAGCACAGCACCAGGAGCTGGAGCAGGCTGCACAGGGCGAAAGTCAACAGGCACACGGTGGGCTTGAGGGGCTTCTGCAGAGGGAGTGGGGGACAGGAGTGACGCCTGGGTGCCAGTCCTGAAGGCACCTCTTCTCTTACATGCTTGGACTGTGTGACCGTGACAAATCCCTCTCCCACTGTGAGGTTCATCCAGAAAATGGGGTGACCTCACAGCCTCCCCGGAGTTCTGTGAGCGTCAAGGGGACACCATGTGGAAACCCCTAGCACCGTGGCTGTTTGTGGGTGCAGAATCGTGTGCACGAAGCGAACAGAGGCTTCCACGTGGCCTTCATCTCTGCTTCTTTCGCAAAGCAAACCTTGGCCCCGAGATGACAGCTGCTTTGTGTTTTACACCCTGGGGCTGAGTCTGCCAACTGTCCCATGGTGTCCAGACTCCCCTAACTCCTTTCAGCAATGGAACCTGGCCAACGAGTGTCAGCGGGGCTGCAGCTGGGGTGGCAGGGGGGTGTGCAGAGACGCCCTCTCCTCTTGACTCGTCCTCATGGAGGAGGCTGCTTGCCATCCGCTCTCATTTCCCACTCCCTCCACCTGCAGCACGGATGTGGGGCTGTTGCCCCTCAGTCACCCAGGTGAGGGTGATGCCCCAGGATGGCAGGGCAATGGGACGGGGGAGCCCGGCCCCGGGCACCGTGGGAATGCTGTGGACTCTAGGCTGCTGGTGGGAGGGAGTTTTCTAGGGCTGCCTCCAGGGTGCTGGCCACATCCCAGCATCGCACAGGGTTGGTCCTTTTCCCCTCATCCTCATAACACCCAAATGAGGCAAGCACTATTACCTCTGTAAGCGAGGAGACGGAGGCGCACAGAGGTTCACCAGCTATCTAGAAGCACCAGAGCTGGGGCTGGAGCCAGGCTGACTGCCCCGGAGTGTGAGCTTGTGGCCGTGATCAAGCCTGGCTGGCATCTATCACAGTCAGGCACTGTGTGCGGCTCTAGGCACACAAAGGCCAGGTCTGCAGGGGGATGCCAGTCAGAGGGGAAGGGAGACAGGTTGCCCTGAGGACAGCAACGTGGTCAGTGCGTCAGTGCTAGGGCAGGCGGGCGGTGATCTCAGCGGGAGGGACAGGCATCTCCGAGGCAGGGGACGGGTCTGCCAGTGGTCCCAGGTGCTGTGCTTCCTCCCGCACTCCTGCCTTGAGGTTTGTGGCCCCACCTGTCACCTGTCCTTCCTCAGCCTTTTCTGGTCGCCAGAACGCCTCCTTGCGTAGTAGTAGTTACAACTACTGAACCCTAATAGTTACTACTACTGAACACTAATAGTTACAGGAAAATTGTCAGGTGTTAAGTAGAAGTGTAAAATTGAGACTGTTTCCCTGGCATAAAAAGAATTGAACACCAGAGTTGTGGAGAGAAAGACATCTTGGTCATGGAGAAAAAGTTCTGTTTATCTCTTCTCGGAAAACTGCGGAACTCTCGGATGCCACCTTAGAGAAGCCACACAGCTCAAGAGATGTGCTGGGTCTCCACGCAGCAGGGGAAGCAGGAGCAGAGGCAGGGCTGGAGAACAGGAGGAGGAACGTGGCAAGGGTGTGGCTGGCAGCTGGCGAGGCTGCAGTCCATGACGTGGGGGGATTCGGTGGCAGGGGTAGCCTGCAGGGGGCGGCAGTGAGCGGAGCGCACCCTGGGTGGTGAGTGGAGGCCTCAGCTCCAGCCTGGCTCCGGCTTGCCACGTGAACATGGAGGGCTGGCCCCTCGCCTCCCACCCTTTTCCCTCCTGGTGTCTTTGGACGGTTCAGGGCTTCCTAACTTCTCGAAGACTCAGTGTCTTCTTCTGTGGGGGCAGCCTTCACAAAGTGCCACAGACCCGGGGGCTGAAAACAGTGGAAATGTATCCTCCCACAGCTCTGCAGGCTGGACGGCAGAGACCCAGGGGTCAGCAGGCCTGGCTGCTTCTGGAGATTTCGAGGGAGGGTCTGTCCCAGGCCCTCTCTTAGCTGCTGGTGCCACTGGTAACTCTTGGCGTCACGTGGCTTATGGATAAATTGCTCCCGTCTCCGCCTCCGTCTCCACTTGGTCTCCCCCAGGTGTCTCTGTGTCTCCTCTGGTCTTAGAAGTGAGAGGTGACAGAGTGCTGGCAGTCCTCACAGCCCTCGCTCGCTCTCGGCGCCTCCTCTGCCTGGGCTCCCACTTTGGCGGCACTTGAGGAGCCCTTCAGCTCGCCGCTGCACTGTGGGAGCCCCTTCCTGGGCTGGCCAAGGCCGGAGCCGGCCCCCTCAGCTTGCCGGGAGGTGTGGAGGGAGAGGCGCGGGCGGGAACCAGGGCTGCGCGTGGTGCTTGCGGGCCAGCGTGACTTCCGGGTGGGCGTGGGCTCGGCGGACTCCGCACTTGGAGTGGCTGGCCAGCCCCACCGGCCCCAGGCAGTGAGGGGCTTAGCACCTGGGCCAGCAGCTGCTGTGCTCAATTTCTCGCCGAGCCTTAGCGGCCTTCCCGCAGGGCAGGGCTTGGGACCTGCAGCCTGCCATGCCTGAACCTCTCCCCGCACCCCCCGTCCCCTGCCTCCCCGCCCCCCCCGCCCCCCGCCCCCCGCCTCCGTGGGCTCCTGTGCAGCCCGAGCCTCCCCAACGAACACTGCCCCCTGCTCCATGGCGCCCAGTCCCATCGACCACCCAAGGGCTGAGGAGTGCAGGCGCACAGCGCGGGACTGGTAGGCAGCTCCACCTGCAGCCCCAGTGCGAGATCCACTGGGTGAAGCCAGCTGGGCTCCTGAGTCTGGTGGAAACTCGGAGAACCTTTGTGTCTATCTCAGGGATTGTAAACGCACCAATCAGCGCCCTGTCAAAACAGACCACTCGGCTCTACCAATCAGCAGTATGTGGGTGGGGCCAGATAAGAGAATAAAGGCAGGCTGCCCGAGCCAGCAGTTGCCACCCGCTCCAGTCCCCTTCCAGGCTGTGGAAACTTTGTTCTTTCTCTCTTTGCAATAAATCTTGCTGCTGCTCACTCTTTGGGTCCACACTGCCTTTATGAGCTGTAACACTCACCACGAAGGTCTGCAGCTTCACTCCTGAAGCCAGCGAGACCACGAGCCCACCGGGAGGAACGAACAACTCCAGACGCTCTGCCTTAAGAGCTGTAACACTCACGCGAAGGTCTGCAGCTTCACTCCTGAGCCAGCGAGACCACAAACCCACCAGAAGGAACAAACTCCGGACACGCCGCCTTTAAGAACTGTAACACTCACCGCGAGGGTCCGCGGCTTCATTCTTGAAGTCAGTGAGACCAATAACCCACCAATTCGGACACAGAAAGACACAGTCATGTTGGAGTAGCCCCTGCCCACTCCAGCCTGACCTCAGCCTAACTCATTCCATCAGCAAGGACGCTGCTTCTGAATAAGGCCACGCCCTGAGGTTCTGGGGTGAGGACTTCCACATAGCATTTAGGGACACACAATTCAGCTTGTAACACTCGGTTTCCTCAACTTGGAGGGAAACACTGTTACCCACCCAATAGGGTTTTTGAAAGGATTAAATCATTAATGCATAGAAAGTTCTTTGCACTAGAGCTTGGCCCATCTTAAGAGCCACATCAACATGACCTATTATTACTGATATCTTGGGAAGAGTTTTGTAACATTCTGTGCCATGTTAAAGGTGAGGTTTGGGCTTGGGAGCTGGATGGTCTGAGGCCATGGAGACCCAGGTTTTCTGCTTACATCTGGACTAAGGCCTTGTGAGACCTCAAGTGTTTAAAAAGCAAACCCTCTAAGTCTGTGTTCGCTTCCCTTTGCCACGGGGGCACAATTGCTGCTCAAGAACCCATTCCCTGATAACACAGCAGGAGACCAAGCAGGCTGTGCGGGGCCACGGTCACTAACCGGCTCTGGGGCACCCCACGAGCTGCCCCCACCAAGGCCAACTTCCAGCCTCAGAAGAGAAGAGTCTGAACCAGGCGCTGCAGAGATGTGCACGGCCGGCTCGTGTGAGCCAGGAGCCAGCTCCAGCAGAATGTGACTCTGAGAAGAGCCTCTCACCACCTGCCCTATCCACGGGGAGTGTTTCCGCTGTATCCCTGTGTCCTATTTCATAATCGGTGGCCGTCACCGCTGTATTGCTACTCACGTTGCAGCCTTCAGTCAGCTCCCCCTGTGGGTGCCAATGTGTTTAAGTACAGATTGAGGTTGTCTGGTTTAAATAGGCCGCCAGGGTGATTCCAATTCATCGCCCTTCGCTTCACTCTTCCCTCCTCAGGTGAGATCCAGTCATGCATTTATTGAGCTACTTTTTGTGTGTGTGTGAGACAGGGTCTTGCTCTGCTGCGCTCTGCTGCTCAGGTTGGAGTCCAGCGGCGCCATCATGGTTCACTGCAGCCTCAACCTCCTGGGCTCAAGCGATCCTCTTGTCTCAGCCTCCCGAGTAGCTGGGACTGCAGGTGTGTGCCACCACACCCAGCTAATTTTTTTTTTTTTTTGTGGTAGACATGAGGTTTCAATATGTTGTCCAGTCTGATCTTGAACTCTTGCACTCAAGCGATCTGCCCACCTTGGCCTCCCAAGGTACTGGGATTACAGGTGTGAGCCACGGCACCCTCTCTGTTGAGCTACTATTATGTCTCAAGCACTGTGGAGGGTATGCGGAAACAGAGAGTAACAACCAAACCAAAACAAGGTTCATGCCTGCAGGAGTGTCTTCACCAGCTAGAAAACCCAGGTTCCCACTGGATGACAACCCCAACCCGTATCTGGGAGACAATCATGAAGTGTTGAGATGCTAGTTATGAGCAATTAAGGAAGGAAGAGCTCAGAAAGGGCAGGGAACAGAGTGATTAAATGGCCTGGGGTGCTGGGGTAGGATCCAGGGAGCTGGGGCAGAGTGGAAAGGAATAAAGATTCCTGAACAGCTGTTCTCCATCTCTTCACTACTAGAATCCCTTTTTAAAAATTTCTCCCAAGTGTGTTTTCATTTTGAAATGAAATTGTTCCACTAACAAAGAGGACATGAATTAAGAAGAAATTAGTTCTCCCCAGTTCTCACATTCAACAACGAGTTAAGCATCTGGGCAACCCAGAATAACCAATGTCACCACACTAAGTGGATGTCATTTTAGTCAGACGCAAGGACACCTGCTGTTTGTCGGCCCCGCAGTGTGAGTGCTGGGACCTCGGGGGTCTGGGAAACTGTGGGAGGAGCCAGGAGGGCACCAGGCAGTGCCAGTCAGCAGCCGGCCCCAACAGAGGCAAAACGTAGGGCCCTGAGCACCAAGGGGACAGAGGAAGGCAGTCCCAAAGGAAGCGGATGGGGGCACAGTTCCCTGCATTGGCTGTTCTGTGGGGTCCTGGGAAGTAGCTGTGGAACAGTCAAAACAGCGCTCAGTTTGGAGCAGAGGCCCTAGTTCTGGTTTCAGCCCTTGCTAGCTACAAGATCACAGGCAAATTACTGCATTTGTCCAAGCCTCGGCTGGCACATCTGTGAAGCAGGCAGAATGCCAATCGAGCCGCCAATCCTACAGAGCAGGGCGAAGTCTTTTGAAAACAATTAAACCTATAATCGTGTGTTGCTTGGTGAAGGGCATCATTCGGCCTCCTGAGCTGCAGCAGCCCGAGGCAGTCACTGTCCCTACCCTCCTTCCTTAGCGCTGCCTTGGTGATGCCTCTCAGATCTGCCTGCCGCCTCCCTGTGCCTCCTCTGGCTCTGCACCATCCTCCTCTGGACTGTCTGAGTTGCTTCTGACGATTTGCCGGCCACCTCCATCCATCCAGATATTCTTGGCAATATTGTTCTCCTGAAACAAAAAGATGGCAGTGTCATTCTCTGATCACAACCCGCCCCCCAACCCCCAGCCCCGGTTCCCCTTCCCTACAGGATAGAAGCCTCACATGCTGCCCTGAGCCTCATCTCGCATGCACCTGCACACCTCGGACCCCCAGAAGCTCCAGGAACATGGCTGGTCTTGCCATGGCCCTGTGCTTTGAAGTTTGCCAAAATGTCCTTTCCTGCCTTACTGGTACCCCCAGGCCCAAACTCCCTGTTGACCACCCCCTGAGAGGCAGCTCCTCCATGGAGCTGTCCCATTCCTCAGCACCACACTCGGGTCACACCTGGAGCCAGCATTGGCCAGACAACCTCGTGCCTCCTTGCCTTCACGGCTATGGGACCTGTAAGCTTCTCTATGGCAAAACCATGAGTGCCATGTCTCCCTGCTTCCACCACCATGGAGCAGGTGCTCCACAAACTGCTCTGTGAGTGGGAGCCCAGCACTGAAGCTCCGTACAAAAGTGATGCCATGGGGTCATGGTGGCGGCATGGTGGCACCGAGTGTGTTAGTGTGTCGCCATTTTGTTAAGGCTTCAGACCCAGGATCTCATTTAATACAACATCACTTCATGTTTAACCATATTTTACAGATAAAAGAAATGGAAGCTCAGGAAAATTAAATCCGTTGCTAACATCTCACTGCTGTGCAGCGGCAGGATTCCAGCTTGGCTTTGCTGACTCCAAAGCCCATGCACATTCATCTCCAGCAGGCCAACTCCTCCTGAACTTGACTCTCTTAGAAAGTGCTGGTTCCAGGCCGGGTGCAATGGCTCATGTCTGTAATCCCAGCACTTTGGGAGGCCGAGGCAGGAGGGTCATTTGAGCCCAGGAGTTTGAGACCAGCCTGGGCAACATAGTGAGACTCTATCACTATAAAAACTTTTTTTAAAAATAACCAGGCATGATGATGCATGCCCATAGTCCTAGCTGAGACAGGAGGATTGCTTGAGCCCAGGATGTTGAGGCTACAGTGAGCTATCATTGCACCACTGTACTCAAGCCTGGGTGACAGAGTAAGACCCAGTCTCTAAAAAAAATGAAATTTGGCCTGGCGCAGTGGCTCACGCCTGTAATCCCAGCACTTTGGGAGGCCGAGGTGGGCAGATCACTGGGTCAGGAGATTAAGACCATCCTGGTTAACATGGTGAAACCCCGTCTCTACTAAAAATACAAAAAAATAGCGGGGCATGGTGGCACGCACCTATAGTCCCAGCTACTTGGGAAGCTGAGGCAGGAGAATTGCTTGAACCTAGGAGGCAGAGGTTGTAGTGAGCCGAGATCGCGCCACTGCACTCTAGCCTGGGTGAAAGAGTGAGTCTCCGTCTCAAAAAACAAATTAATTAATTAATTAATTAATTAAATATAAATTGCTGGTTCCCTTTATAGGGTAAGTTCCCTGTTTCTAAGAAAGTTTAAGAATGAAGTATTAATAAATAAGAACTCTCAACCACAGCCCAACACTCCCACCCAACATTATTACTGACTCTTTTCCCTTCACATGGCAGGGATGGGGTAGAGGGGTGACACATTGGAAGGGTTAGGTGGCAGGTCTGTTTCCTCCTCTTGTCCTGTATTTGATGATGAGCCCAGGTGACTCACTGCAGACCTCATGTGGTGAGTGACTACTAAGTTCTGATATGCCTGGCTGGTCCATGGTGGCTGAAAGTCACAGAACTCTGGATGAAGCCGAGGGTGGCAGCAGCTGTCCCCAGGGCTAACCCACATGATTTCACATTTGTGAGTGCAAATCCCTTCCGAGAGGGTTTTTATCTGTCCTGCTGGTCCCTGGGGCAGGAGGAACCCTCAGAGGTTGCCCAGGCCCTCTGCTCAGCAGTCACACAAGGCCACTCACTACCTTGTGTGATTATGAGCCGGCTCCCTGGCATGCCATTGTTAGAACATCCTTAAGCAGGGATTATTTTTTCGTGAAGCTGCAATTAAATATTGTAAATTCAGAAACGTGGCTGGAGGAACAATGGGCCTGGAGAACAGGAAGAGATGCAGGTTGGGGTAAGTCACCATTTCACCGTCCTCTGCAAAGTGGATGAGATCGCAGCCTCTTTGTCCGCGCCTGTGGATGAGTGCTCTGCAGCTGCTGGCTTTCTGATGTGGGACTGCTGAGCATTCACACACTGATTCACTGGAGCCAAAATACTCACAGCAGAAAATAGTGTTTGCTCAGGGTAACGCCTGCCCCTGGAACCTGCCCTAGTCCTCCTCTTCCAGACAATGCCATTCCCAGCCATGTGAAGAAAAAACCCCACGCTATTGTTCCCAGAAGACACCTTCAGAAAGAAACCTGCCTAGTGAGCACCGCCAAGCAAGGATGGCGGGAGGCACCTGCGTACCCAGTCACCCGAGTCCCCAGCATGCAGAGGCCCTGCAGGCAGGTGGGAAGCCGGGCCTGCTTCTCAGCACCTCTCTCCTGGTCCCGGGTTCTCCTCCTCCCTAGGATTACTTAGGAAGAAAGTGTTTCACACAAAGACCAGACACAGGCTCAGTGTTGGTGCTTTGGGTAGAAAGGTTGAAGTTGGCCCGGTGGGTAAGCCTGCGCCGTTATGGAACGCCGGGCAAAGTCCATCATGGGGGGAAATGAGAAATGGCCGGCCACCTTTCAATGGCTCCTGGGACATCTATCCGCAGGCAGAGCCACACCGCAAAGAATCCCCAGGGATTCCTTCCAGGTATCATCTAAAGATCACCCATCTCAGTGCAAAACCGTGCTTTTCCCAAAGCAAGTCTGGAAAAGGTCTTTCAAACCCGGTCTGTGCAAAATGGCATTTCCATCGTTGTCACCAAAGACAGCAGCAAAACGCCTGGCATCTGATAGAAACATCAGTTCTGACTGCGCTGGTGAGGTGGCAGGAGAAGGCCCTCCCTCGCTCTGTGGGTCGCCCCTGAGCTTCCGAGGAAAGCCATTTGGTTGATATCTGAGGAAAATTTGATCTCGTGCTGCTAGGGCTATTGGTACAAAATGGAGATTCCAGAGAAAGCATCACTAATTTAAAATTGAATTTTAAATTGTCTTTTCCATCTTTCAAAGCCCAGCCCAATTCCTAAAGCAACACATAACTGGTTTTTCATACTTTCCATGAAAAACAAATGCACATATTTTATACTGTTTCTTCTGAGCAATGGTAAATGGCTCTTTTCTTTTGACTTTTTGGATTTTTACCCTTTTTTCCAATGCTTAGGATGGAAATTCCAGAAACCTTACAGAATTACACAGTACTCTAATTTCCCATTTGGGGAGCCCTTTAGAAAGTGCGCTGACTTTTGAAAGCTGCAATCTGAGAGTATTCTGTCTATAGGGTCAAACCCTCATGGACATGGGCCCCACAGGGGGAAGCGAGGCTGAGGTCTGTTCCCTGCAGGTGGGCTGGACACGGGGCCCTGGGCAGCAAGGAGGCTCACGGCTCTCCTCACGTATCTCCAACCTGGGACCGCTCTGGCCATCCTCCCCACCCCTGTGCAGAGCTCTGGGTACCCCCAGCTCTCCCTCACGGTGTCCTGATCTTCACTCACCTGGACACACTGCACAGATTTCAGAAACAGGACTCTGCAGAGAAGGCATCTCCTGCCCCGAGGGAGTGGGTTTGCAGGGGTACCACATCAGCCCTTAATGGGGGAGGGTTTTAGGTGGGTCCTCTTGGCCTCCTAGGTCTCAACATGTTCATAACTGGGCTGGGCCCACCTAAAATAAATGGACTGCTTTAACTCCCTCAATTTATCACGAGGTCTAATACGAACATAGAAAAGGAAAGAAGCATTTGGGTATTGAATGACTGCACATTTTCTGAACTCATCGCCATTTCGAGCTTAGGCTCCTTAAACGTTTGACTCCAGGCCGTTCACATGTTGGCTTCAGGGACTGCACTGGCTACGCTTTCTCTGCAATATTATCCACAGCTGTAGAACCTGTGGTTGTGAAGGAGGATGCATTATTAATCCTGCCTCCCAGCCTGTGCATATTGAAACCAGCTCTCCGACATCTTAGACTCCAGCAGGCACGGACCCTTTCAAGACGGTAGGATTTTGAGCTCAGTTACGTGAACTGTGAACTCTCAGCCACGCCAGCATTAGGTTAGTATACAACCCTTGTACACAGGGTGTCACGCTCATATTTTAATGAAATTGGGAGATAAATGCATTATGCTTTTCTTCTTTTTTTTTTTTTTTTGTTGTTGTTGTTTTGGGACAGGATCTTGTTCTGTTACCCAAGCTGGAGTGCAGTGGTGTGATCAGGGCTCGCTGCACCCTTGACCTGCCAGGCTCAGGTGATCCCCCCACCTCAGCCTCCCTTGTAGTTGTGACTACAGGCACACGCCACCACACCACACCACAAATTTTTGTATTTTTTGGAGAGACGGGGTTTTGCTATGTTGTCTGTGCTGGTCTCAAACTTCTAGACTCAAGAGATCCACCTGCCTCAGCCTCCCAAAGTGCCTTTTTCTGGTATTTACCAAGAAATACTATACTGTGAATTTTTTTACTTAATGATTTTTTCCCACTCAAACATACGCAATTTATGAAGACACACTGTTCTCAAGAAATAATGTTGGCCAGGCACAGTGGTTCACACCTATAATCCCAGCACTTTGGGAGGCTGAGGTGGGTGGATCATGTGAGGTCAGGAGTTGGAGACCAGACTGACCAACATGGCAAAACCCCATCTCTATTAAAAATACAAAAATTAGCCGGGCATGCTGGTGCGCTCCTGTAATCCCAGCTACTAGGGAGGCTGAGACGGAAGAATCGCTTGAACCTGGGAGGCGGAGGTTGCAATGAGCCCAGATCACACCACTGCACTCCAGCCCGGGCAACAAGAGCGAGACTCCATCTAAAAAATAAAAAAGAAAGAAAAAACGAAGAAATAATGTTGAATTTGTTTGGATGTGAATGTCTTTGGTCACCAACATTGATGAGAACCCTCCTTGCCCTTGGCACATAATGCAGTGAGTTGAGCTGTGGTTTGAGTGAGAAGCATGTTGGTGCCTCTGTCCACGCATCTCTGAATCTCTGGCTGTGGCTCCCATGAAGCCGGGAAGTGCTGATGGCCATGGGCACTCAACAAGCGGATTCCTAAGCTTTAGGCCAAGGTGCTTCTGCTCAGATTTCCCGTCCTATTTCATGGTATAAACATGACCGGAGGACTTCACAGAGATAAATGAGAGAGTTTGGCTCTCCCTTGCTTAGTTCAAAGAGCACATAATTTCAGCAGCTGATGTAAGCAGTGACAGCTTCATCTGTGCCAGCCCGTCACTGCCACCTCCCACTTAATATATGACCATTCATACAGCCCAGTCCTCTAAAGAAGGCAGAAATTGAGCATTTCACCTGAATCTTTCCAGAGTTGGTGGTGCATACTGTGTGGTTCCAGGGGACAGATGGGCCCTGACTCCGAATCCCTTTCAGGGGCATCTTTCCTGATCTTCTCCCACTAGGCAGCTGCTCTCCAAGCATCCTCCCAGCTTGGACGCTTGTACCTGGTCCATGTTCCTGGGAAGCAAGCCCCGCCCCCCCAACCCCAGCGCGTCCACCTGGGGCTGCCTTGCTGGGATGTGGCACCCATGCCTGTCGTGCTCTGGGAGCCCCTCTACGTATGGAGGATCTGGCTTGTGTCTAGGAGGAGAAGAGGCTCCATGGCCAGTGCCTCTTAGCCAGGGCAGCACCAACCTGGCCTGAAGGTTGACTTCAGCATAGAAGTTGAGGATTGGCCAGCTTTGGCATCAGGAAACCTGGATTTAAATTCTGGCTCCATGCCCTGCCACCTGGTGACCCCCCGACAAATGATCTGTCCTCTCCACTGTAAAATGGGGAACTACGCTTCTTCACAGCACACAAGAGACACACTTTCCAAGGTTTGGGTCAGGGCTGCCTGCCCCTCCCTACCCGCTCCCATCTGACCCCAGAGGACGTGGCATGGCCTCAGGTTCCAGGGGCTCGCCTCACCGCCACCCATGACCTTGAGCAGCTCATTTCCTTCCTGAGGCTTTGTTCTTCCCCTTCTCTGGGAAGGGAGGAAGCTACAGCAACCCTGGCCCACCTGCCCCACCTGCCCCGCTGCTGGGCAGCAATGAACACAGCACAGTCTGCACACAGGAAGAGCTCAGGAACCCGGTTACTAGAGGACCCCCGAAGGCTCACTGAGGCCGGCTGCAGACTGCCTTTGGCTTCCGGGAGCCACTGAGGGCAGCAGCCAATCGTCTGGTGGGGGGCAACGCTGCAGCTCCTGGGGCTGACAGAGATCACAGGAGGGATGCTGTCACTGAGCTGGGACGACCACAGGGGCCCGGGGAGTGCACACACCTTCTACAGTCTTCACTGTGAAAGCCACCAGTCCTGCAAGGGAAAGCCCAGCAGGCCCAGACTAGAAGGATGGGGCACAGGTGCAGAGGAGGCCTTCTCTGGTCAACCCCTGCCCTCCTCCGAGCCCTCGGAAAGGCTCAGCCTCTGCGGAGCTTCCCTCCCTTCCAGGAACTCCTACCACCTGGCACACTCTCCGTGACACTGAGCCCTTGTCCTCCCCTTGGTGCTTCTTGTCAGTGGCTTTGTCTTCCTAACTGGACTGAAAAATTTGCAGGTATGACTCATTAGTACAAACCTGTGGATTGATGAAATCAGTAAGAGTGGGAGAGTAAGCAGCTATCAGGTAACTCATTGGACCACTGAGGACTTCAGTTTCTTCTTCTGGAAACTGATGGGATTGGAGGAGTGTCTGCTTTTTGTTCCTAGGGCCATAGAGTGGGCATACCCTGGAGATGCCTATGCTTTCTTTTTTTTATCTTAATTCTCCCCTTGACTAAGGTTGGCCTATTCTTTTTTTTTTTTAATCTTAATCTATTTTATAGTTTAGATAAACTCCACCTAATGCTTTTTCATCCAGTGGCCACACGGCCCCAGGAACCTGAGACCAAAAGGCTTTTCTATGACCAAAATTGCAGTCCCAATAAGAATGCATTGTTTTTAGACACAAGGGGACTGAAGGAAAGACAGAACATGAATGACAATCAAAGGGACCACCCTTAGCCACAACAGCACCCCCAGAATTCCCACCTGATGAAGGCACCTGTTCGCCCCATCTTCAGATATAAAATGTCAAACATTTTGAGCTAATGAGCTATTATAAAAGGGCCCTTAAAATAAGCTACTTGAAAACACCTTTTGACAGGCTGAAGCCCACGTGGTCTAATTCCCGATCCAGTTCTTTCCCACACTGATGAAAGGCAGTGTGTTCTTGTCTAAACAACTAAAACCTTTTGCCCCAGGTTGTTTACTTTGTAGCAAGCCTGCCCCCAAGGACCACTCACTTTGAGGACAACAGATGGCTATTGTATACAGCTTCAAACTTTTCAAAGTACTTTCCATTTTCCCCAATTGGTTCATCTCAACAACCCCATACGGGAGGTTTTAGTAGCCCTATTCTGCAGATGAGAGGACAAGGCCTGCCTGAGAGATGCCGTGATGAGACCTGGCTCTGCCCAAGCCCCCACTGCCTAGATCTTGGCAGCCAGGACTCCAGCTGCACACACCCTCTCCCTGGGCTGGGCTCCTCCTGGCACAGCCACCCAAGTGCTACCCTCAGCCCCTCTGCGGGAGGCACGGAATCTGCGTGGATCTACCCCCAGCGTGCAGACTGCCCCCGCCCCACATGACCTGCAGTGTTTATTCCCCTGGGTGGTGATGGGCGGAGGTGGCCACCGAGCAGTCAAGCTAAGTGGATTCCCCAGGAGCAAGGCCTTGGCTTTGGCCCACGATTGCCCCTCACCCCCACAGCACAGCCCAAGCTCCGGCAGACACTGGCCTGGTGCGTCCCAGGCCCTCCACACATCTGTTTCCTCATCTGCAAAATGGGGGTGATCTCAGGCCACCCTCACAGATGTGTCCTGAGGACCGAAGGAGTTCGTTGCACGTAGGAAGTGTGCACACACACCCGGCCCCTGTGCCTGCCGCCTCAGCGTTTGAATTATGGCATCCGTCATTTCTGCAGGCATGCATTCATGCAGCATCTGTGTCTGCACAGCTGCGGGCCTGCATCCCTATGATTAGATCCACGCTCAAGTTCATGTGAACTGCAAGCACAAAGGTTCTAGCAGGGAGGGAAGATCACTCATCCAAGTCCGCCCAAGACTGGGGAAAGCCCAGCAAACTCTTTGGGAGGCGAAGGGGTCCTATCTGAGATCGTGGCCTTGGGAAATTACCCACAGCCTGAGGCATCACTCTGCGGTTTGGGATTGAGGGATTGAGATGGCTTTCCGAAGTCATCTCCCAGGGCTGCAGAGGGAGGGGCTCGCAGCCAGTTGTTCTAGCTGCTTTCCGTCTGCAGCACCACCCCTCTGATGGCAGCATCTGGATCCCCGCACATGACAGCTGGAATCCTAAATGTTCTGGGTTAGTGGTAACTTGTCTGGATTTTAACCTACATCTCTTCCTTCCTCATTGCAACAAGACTTCTCTTCTTGTCCCTGTCTATGGAGTTGAGGGTGGGAAGGATGCTTTGATTCAATGCTACCCTATGTCATGTCTTTTTGGAATACAACTTCCAGGCAAAGGGGAGAGCTTCCTCATCCCCATGGACAGAGAGGTGACCAGGGTTGCATTCACACCCGTTTGTTAAGCACCTGCTGCCTGCAGGCCTGTGAAACACCCTGTTGTCCTGGAGATACAGAGACAAGAGGCCTAGCCTCTAGGATTTGACATTGGGGACAGGCCCAGAAACACAACATGGCAGCACACTGTGGCTAGGGTGGAGGCAGACCTCGGTGCTGGCTGCTGCAGGGACACGGAGGAGGGACGCCCTTCTCAGCCTGGAGCTGGGAGGAGGCTGGGGAGCAGTGCCAGGAAAGGTGTCCCTGGGGATGAGAGCTTCTGTTTCTATTCCAGATTCCCAGAGTCACAGCGCAGAGGGGAGCCTTTGTGCTCATGGCTTTTTGACACTTTCAAAAAACAAACAAGAAAAAAACGGCATGGTCTCTGGAAGAAGTGGAGGAGTGACTCATGGGTGTCTCCCTTCTGCCTGTCTCTAGGCACCTGGGGCCACCAGAGTGCTTCTGCCCTGGGCTTTGAGGGAAGCTGATCACCTGGGTCTTCCTGGCAGGAACTAGCAAGTAGGGGCAGTTTTCAGGGGGTGGAGACCCCAAAGATAACATTGGTCTCAACCTTGATGCTGTTTAGAACCACCCAAAGAGCCAAAGCTCCCAGGTGGTGAGAGACAGGACTAGCTGGATTTCCCAGGCTGACTAAGAATCCCTAAGCCTAGCTGGGAAGGTGACCGCATCCACCGCTAAACACGGGGCTTGCAACTTAGCTCACAACCGACCAATCAGGTAGTAAAGAGAGCTCACCAAAATGCTAATTAGGCAAAAGCAGGAGGTAAAGAAATAGCCAATCATCTATTGCCTGAGAGCACAGCGGGAGGGACAGTGATCCGGATATAAACCCAGGCATTCGAGCCGGCAATGGCTACCCTCTTTGGGTCCCCTCCGTTTGTATGGGAGCTCTGTTTTCACTCTATTAAATCTTGCAACTGCCCACTCTTCTGGTCCGTGTTTGTTATGGCTGGAGCTGAGCTTTCACTCGCCGTCCACCACTGCTGTTTGCCGCCGTCGCAGACCCGCCGCCGACTTCCATCCCTCCGGATCCAGCAGGGTGTCCACTGCGCTTCTGATCCAGCGAGGCGCCCATTGCCGCTCCCGATCGGGCTAAAGGCTCACCATTGTTCCTGCACGGCTAAGTGCCCGGGTTCATCCTAATCGAGCTGAACACTAGTCGCTGGGTTCCGCGGTTCTCTTCTGTGACCCACGGCTTCTAATAGAGCTATGACACTCACCACATGGCCCAAGGGTTCATTCCTTGGAATCCGTGAAGCCAAGAACCCCAGGTCAGAGAGCAAGAGGCTTGCTGCCATCTTGGAAGCCACCCGCCACCATCTTGGGAGCTCTGGGAGCAAGGACCCCCGCCCCCAACAGTGACACTCAGCCTTGCTCTTAGAACTCACGTACCCTGTATCTTGTTTGATCTTCAGCCCATTGGGTACTTAGGATACCGAATGGCCTTCCCATCTCACAGAGGAGAAAGCCGATTCCTGGAGGCCAAGTGAATTCCCAAACACCGTAGACAGAGCAGGAGCCAGGCGTGGGGTCTGAGGTTTGCAGGTCCAGCACCTGCCCCTTCTCCACTCCGAGTCAGGGGACACAACCTGAAGTCCTGGCTGTGTGCTGCCTGGCATGTAGACCCAGTGGAGATGCTGCCAAAATGAGCAATTGAGGGTTCCCCGGAGCCCCTCTCTTCTGAGCCCCAAATCTCCTCCAGCTATTGTCCCCATGCGCCCGTCGTTGGTGCTGCTGTGCTGCAGCCCTGGCTGGACCTGGATTCTGGTTCAGGGCGGGTGCAGGGACAGGGTGCTCCAGGGTGTGAGGGCCCAGGAGGGCGTCAGGGGTACACCAAGCAGTGGGGAGAGCAGCAATAGAGCATCCCCACTTTTCTCCAAGTGCTCTCCTTCAGGAGCCGGGATGGGAAGGGCAGACGCGCACCATGTGAGAGCCACATGGCGAAGGCAGAGGTGGCTTTGGGATGCTGCACCTCTGAGCCCAGGGAGCAAGCGTTCCTGGAGACAGCAGAGGCCAACAGGGCGGGAAGGGCCCTGCCCACGCCTGGACTTTGGACTCCGGTCCTGTGGGGGAACACATTCCTGTTGTGTAGGCCCCCCGGTTTGTGGCACTTCGCTAAGGCAATGCCGGGAAGCTGATGCAGAGGGGTAAAGTGACAATCAGGCAGTGATTCCCCAACAGGTGAGCAGGACTGGGGAGGCTGGGGAGGCTGGGGAGATGACCCAGTCCACCTCCAGCACCCACCGCTGCTGAGAAGCCAGGCAGGAGGCAGTGGAGGGGAGGCGTTGAGAAGCGTGGAGACAAGCAAGTCTGGACCCTGCTCCGCAGACCAGACACCCCCCAGAGACACCCCCCAGAGAAGGCGGGCGTGGGAAAAGAGGCTAGGCTGGAACTACACCTGGGTGCCCCTCCTGGGAAGCAGGGGGTTTGTGAACACCTCCAAGGGGCCTCTCTGAAGCTGTGCTGTGGCTCTCGGCCTCCCCAGCCCCTGCTGGTGTGAAGAACACAGAAAGGGGTTGGAATAATCTAGCAGCTGCTTGCTGTCCCAGGCTGGCCAGCCCCCACAAAGTGTTCCCATCTGGCCCCAGCCTGCACAGGCAGCACTAGCAGCCCCCCGTGAGTAATTTGCAGGCTCGGATGGATGGGCAGAGCCCAACCAACTTCAGCCAGTGGAGGGAAGGCCTTGGCCTTTGCAGGTAGGGGAGACAGCTCAAGGCCAAAGATTCCCATCAAATCCTGAAACGCCTCTGCCCAGCCTGGCCACCCGAGACCGCACCCAGCCAGGAGCACTCCCCAGAGAGCCCACACACGCTTCCAGGTCTTCCTCCCCAGCCTGCCAACTCAGTCTCAGCATCACTGGTTTCATTTCACTTAAAAAAAATTTTGTTTCAATTTAGCTTCATTTGGTCATTTTAAAGAATAAGTTGTCTGTGCCCCCAGGTAGGGTTATTTTCTATGTTGCCCATCCTCTGCATAAGGCGTCACTGTCCCTGGGAATATACAGGGATTCTATGCCTGGCCTCGGAAACTGAAATGAAATAAATTTGCACCATGAGAGAGTAGGTCCAACTCTGCACAAATTAAAACAAAACACAACAAAAAATGTTTCAGCCAGAAGTAACATTCGACATGGTCTACCCCCATCAGCTCCTTTTACAGGTGAGGAAGTGGAGGCCTAAAAAGCTGGGAAGACTTGCTCAAGGTTATGCTCAAGGTTACATCCACCTCTTCCTGCAGGGTAGAGGCTGGAGGGTCTCAGAAAGGCTCCCTCCCTCCCTTCCTGCTTCACAGCTGGGGACTGGAGGCCCAGATCCAGACCCAGAAGCTGGAAAGAAATCCCAGGTTGTGAGGCCCGTCCTCCCACTCAGCCCCCAACTCTAGGCCTGGGACCCTCCACAGCCCTCCAGGCACCAGGGGACCAATCGGGATGGAACCAGCCCCTCAAGACCCAGGGCCACTACCTAGCAAGTCCCTCCTTATCTGGGTAGCCTATACCCCCCACCTTGCCTTCCCCAGACCCTGTGCTAGGGACCCCTGCCTCAGGAAGTGAGCCCTACTGAACAGATGGGGGGCGGCATTTGTGGCTCGCGGCCTCTTTCTCTGTCCCTCCCTCCCGGCCTGCCCCCTGCCCTTCGAAGAAATTGAATTCCAAGGAGGAAGAGGGGAGAAAGAACACCCAAACCCCTGCCTTCTCACTGCATAAATACCTAAATCCCGGGTCCTCCAGAGCCTGCCTGGAGCCTGCCAGCCGCTGCCTGCGGTCCTGCCCACAGCCTGAGGTCCCGGCCTGCACCTCCTCATAAGCCCACACTGGCGGTGCCATGCCATGGGCTCCCCTGGGCTCCCTCTGCCGCCCAGCCTGCCCCGCACACTCCACTCGCGCCGCCCGCCCTTTGCTGCAGGACGGGGCCAGCCAGGGCAACTCTCCGCAGCCCAGAGCTCTCGTCCCTTGAATCCTGCCGGTGGAGCAGGGGGCAAGGGGGAGCCAGGCACGCCCAGCCCCGGACCCGCAAGCAGGGACCCTCGGGGCGGCGGTCCGCACAGGGCAGGGGCTGCTGGAGACCCGCGGCCCCCACCCCCGACACTCACCGCGCGGTGCCCAGCGCGCGCCAGGGCTCCCATCAAGTCCTCTCGGAGCCCGCAGCAGGCTCCCACTTCTGTTTTTCTCTGACAGCCATGCAGGCAGCAGGCCTTCAGCCAGGCTCCCCGCCGCGCTTCCACGCACGCACACTCACAGTCACGCTCGTGCACACTCGCACGCACACGCACGCTCACGCTCATGCACACTCACACTCACATTCGTGTACATGTACACATTCACACCCGCATGCACACTCAAACTCACGCTCACGCACACTCACGCTCGTGCACGCGCACGCATACACACGCCCGCGCTCACACGGACACGAGAACTCGCCCCGCTGCGCGCCTGGCTCCCGGGACGCCTGGAGCTGGGGAGCGAGGGCCCCGGACGCCTGTAGCCGCCAGGGGAGGCCGGAGGGGCAGACGGGTGCAGAGAGCAGCCGGAAAGGCAGTGCCCGGCCACCAAGAGGCCGATTACTTGAGGGGCCTGAGGTGTGGAGCCCAGGCCGAAGACCCTGGGTGCGAGAAGGCAGCGGCCAGGAGGCCGCCCTAGAGCCTCGGGAGCGGGCGGGGGAAGGGGGATGTCCACGGAGACCAGAGTTGGTGGCTCTGACCGAGGAGGGCCTCGCGCTCCCCACGCCACTTGGCAGGGCTGGGGACACGCGCCCTCTCCCCCCTCTCCCTGGGGCCGCGCAGGGCTGTACCCGGGCTCTGCCCAGATCCCCTCGGAGCGGAAGATGCAAGTTGGCTTTTGTCTGACCCGGTCAGACAGAGCCGTTCTGTGGGATAAAGGCTTAACGCTCCGTGAACACGCAGAAAAAGCTCCGCGCTGGCCCTCTGACAATCCCATTGTCTCGGGCCTGAGCCCGGCGGTTTGGTCTGAAAGCGCCAAGTTCATGACATTTCAAAGAGCAATGATACTGGGAGAGGGGGGTGGGCAGGGGAGGGAGGGGTGTGCAGGAGAAATACATTCCTAAAATACGAAGTAACAGTATCTGACTCCCTCGCCAGCGCGTTCCTCAGCTCAGCCCCCTGCCCCACCCTCCACGAACCCATTCAGACCGAATCCCCTTCTCCAGCCCCGTGTGGACCCAGAGCCAGGCTGCAAAAGTCAGGATCACCAGGGACTGCGGTTTGGAAGGTGAAGGTGTGAAAAGATGCCCAAGTAGCTGCGTGGAAGCTTCCTGGAATGTCAGCAGAGTGACAGCAGCCGTTTAGCACAAGCTCCCATTGTCTGCACTGCCCCACAAGATAAGAATTTGCCAAAAAGGACTTTAGGTGCCCACATGAGTTTATTTTAAAGAGCTAGAGTGTTACTGTTTTCTTTCATTTGTATTACTGTTCGTACTATATCCTTTAAAAAAAAAACTATTTTCTGAGCCAGGAAGCAAAGGAGCTTCCATTTTTAGTGTTTAATTTGTTTAATGTGCCTCGGCAAAAGCAAATAATTCCTGAGAGAAAGCAGAATCCTCAGGAAATTGAATGTGTTTTGTCTCCAGCGAAGTTTCCCTTGAGTGATTTCGTTTGCTTTCTGTCTCGCCAAGCAGGCTCTGCACTGGGACCTCCAGCAGGCTGGGGCCAGGCTGGGCAGTCTGCAGCCCCTCTCCCCACCTTAGGTGGTGAGGCTTCTCTGATCCTCAGCCCACTGGCCAGGTAAACTGTGCTCCCGAAGAACAAAACGTAGCCTTGTAGAGTCATTCTAATGCGAGGAGAAAATAGGATTAGGCCAGAGTGTCAGCCAGGTAAGTCGGATTAACAGCAAGGTCCAATACATTTTGGCATTCTTGTGCTATTTTTAATTGTACAAAGGTATATGCTTCCCTTCCCTGGCTTTATTTAAAGAGGCTGTTTGTTTGTGCCCAAGAGGTAAATGATGAGCGATAAGGCTCTATGAGGAATTGGAAATGTATAACCTTGCAAAATGACATTTCGCCCTGGAAAGTGTGACACGCACACACGGGTAGATAAAGGGAGAGTGCGGAGCGTCCCGGGCTTTGTTAACGCTTCTTGCCCCCTGGCGTTGCTTTGATGGAAGGACACCCCACGCCTGGCTGCAGAGGTGTCTGCCAACGGCAGGAGCTCCTTCCCCACAGGCAGCCAGGCAATGACTACAAATCGATTCATTTTAAAAAAATATCCAAAGTCAGGTGTTAAAAAACGTATGAACCAGGATGGTAGGTCATTAAACCGTGGGAGAAAAGAGTTGGCAAAAACCTGCTTATATTATTTTTTAAAATATATATCTGTATTGCATTTTGCCACATGCAAATTTAGTCTAGGTTTGTTAATCAGGATCATGTGAGTGTGTCATAAATTAACATGATTTCTTCGGGGCAAGTCAAGAGAGAATGTATAATTGTTTAAGTTTGCAAATCATTTAGCAATTAACTTGGGGGGCAGAGGGCTGCAGTTCCCGGGTGGCCAAGGACATTCATGAGCCATGTGGAAGTTACTGAGTCGAATTGTAACTGTCCATGGCATTTCTGACCGTCCTTTCCAGGCCAAATGACAGACAGAAAGCCAGAGGGGACAGCACTGAATCCAAATGCTTTTGCATTCTGGGTGAGTGTGAACTGAGGGCACAGAAGCTTGGGGCCAAAGGAGAAGAAAGTTGCATTTGATCAAAGTTCCCCCTTTTGGGCAGAGGGCTGAGAGTGAGGATGACCAAGGGGTTTTGGCTTCCCTTTCAGACTCTGCATATGTGAGGTGGCAGGGCAGGGTTTAGGAATGTCATTTTCCTTAGATAGAGAAGGGTGTTCCCAAAAGAATTGTCCAGGGGTCAGGATTCTGGGAAAGCCATAACAGATGTATGTCTGTGAGGGCTTCCATCAGCTCGTGGAATGTTTTCTTCCTGTTGCAGAAACAGAAAGAGCAGTTTGTTGAATCTGAGAGTCGGTTTTGCCGACCTTGTTTAACTGCTGTCTGTCTGAGAGCTTCTTGCAGAGACGCTGGAGAATTCCTGGGGCGGGGGTTATTTCAAACTCAAGAATCTATCATTCCATTTTGATTAATCTGGTAAAGCAGGGTTCTGTTTCTCTTTTAAATTTTTTCTTCTTTTCCATATTTAACATAGATATGCATGTACATGAGAAGTAATGGACATTCAAAAAGCCAGATCCTGCTGATTCCACATTTCAATGGCTTGGTTTGCCAACTCATGCATGGGTGCCTCTAAACACTAATCAGTAATCCAGTTCATTGCTAAGGCTGCAGAGCTCCAGGATCTCTTATTTTCTCACAGGTGGGAAAAGACCCCCCGACCTTCTTGGTCTAAGCTCTCTTCTGGTTACTTGGTACCCACATGTTTACAAGGTATTTATTTTCATTAGACCTCCGATCGTTCTAAAGGCCTGCAGAGCCCAACCCTTCCTGCCTCCTCCTCTCCCCATCTTTAAGCTATAAAACCTTGGCGGAGTTTTCTGGGCTGTTCTCCAGGTTTTTGTTTTCCCCACTGTCCAGCATGGTACCTGAGATTGAGTGCAGGTGCAGCCGGCAGGACACAGTGGCTCCAGCGCCAGCTTCCGCTCCATCTCTACCCCATCCTTCTCCTCTGACTTATTTTGCTGTAACTCTGCACTTAATCTGATGAGGAAGGGTCCCTAGAATGTAGAATGTTGAACAAAATTCTCCCTAAAACAGGAGGAAGAGCTGGCCGTGGGGAGCGGGTTCTATAGTAGCTGCAAGTTGACCAAGTATGTAGAAAACATCAAAATGTGTCTCCATTCCCTTTCCTTGGGTCTGGGAGGAATGTCCCTGAGCCGTTCTTCCCAGCCCTTTTGTAACTAGCAGATGCATTTGTTAGAGAGGTCCTCTTGTTATCCCTGTTCTCAGCATTGTTCTTTCAGCTAGAAATTCACAGTAAAGGTGAGCCATCCTCCGAGGCCGAGGGGCATAGCTGAAACTCAGCAACAGGAACAGAAGTGAACCTCTCTTCACCATGTGTATTCGTGGGGTGGGGGTGGTGAAGGGGAAAGGAGATAGTGTTTGATTTTGTGAATCCAGGGTGAGGCTACAGGGACCCCAGAAGCCTCCTCTTCAGGCCCTTCAGTCAGCAAAGGCGGCCTCCCATCCCCAAGGCGCAAGCAGCGCAGATACCATCACAGCCGTAGCCCAAGCGCGCGGGCCCTCGGCCACTGTGTGCCTTCCCCGGACGTTGGTCTATGCGGAGCAGCCCTCAAGCCTGACTGATCCGGGTCTGCATCCCGCGGGTCTGGACGCGAGCTGGGCATCCGACCGCACCGCGGCGGGACGGGGAGCGCGGCCGCCTGGAGCTGCTTCTTCTGGGCGCTGGGCGCACGCTGCCGAGCGCGGGGCTGGGGCTTCCGGGGGCCAAGCCGGCTCAAGCCCGCACAGGCTCGCGGCGGGGCTGCCTGGCTGCCGCGTCTTGGATCCGGCCTGGGCCTGAGCTCCTGGACCTGGGGTTTTGTTTTGTTTCGTTTTTGTGGAGGAGAGGGGGTTTGGAGACATGAATTGCACTGGCATGGTGTAGGGGAAATATTTGGAGATAGTTGGCAAGAATTCATCCCCAGGTCCAAGGAGTCCAACTAAGCCCGGTTTTAGGGAAGCCCAGCCAGATGTATCTTGAGACAGAAAAGGACATCGTGCTAGGTCTGTGGGGCGGACGCTGAAGAGTTGCCCCGCTAGGAATTTCCTTCCTTTGCAACCGTGAAGGGCTCGCTGCTGCAGTCCAGTGAGCCGTGGGACTCCAATGCCTGCTTCCCACCGCCAGCCTGTTCAGGGGAAATCAGATCAAATCCACCTGCAATCACAACTCCTTTATCAGCTGGGGGGCCCCAAATCTAAAGGGAGAAATGGGACGCTTTAGGAGCCCACCTAATTTGTGATGAGAAATGGAGAAGGGGAAATTCATATCCAATAATAAACTGCTGTAAAAGTAGGTTTGGAAGAAGAAAAGTGAAAACAGTACATATGTTTGTAAGTATGTGCTCATATTTATTGAATATTTGTCTTCTCTAAGTATAGCTTTATTAGGTGTCATAAAACCCCTGAGTTGAGCAGAGTCCAAAAGCCGTCTTTTGGCCAAGCTCACACACATCAGCTCTCTTCCTGGGTGTCCCCCGTGCATTTTATTTATCTTTCAGTTTATTCAAACTTATTTTGAGCCACATGAAGGCAGTTTTATTTGGCTAGTAGAGATTGTGTTTAATTCATTGAGTATGCATTGTCAAAGTTTAGACGTCAATGCCAGCCTGAATTCCAAATTGGGAAGTTAAATATTTGTTTTTAATTTTCTGGCTCAAAAATGTTAACTAACAGAAATGATTCTTTCTGCTCTAATGTGCTTGCATAAATGGGGTTATTAGAACTTTCCCCTAAAACAACATTTGCTTCCTGTCCAGACACGTTGTGTTTGGAAACTTCACTCCTGGAAGAAATTTTTAATATGTATAAATAAAAAGTAAATGCCTGGCCTTTGAATGTTTTGGTACAGAGGCTTATAGGAGGAGGAAAATGAGAATGCAGCATTCCTATCTCAGTAGCTTGATTACAGACAAATTTAGGTTGTGGTGGAAAAGTATTAAAGGGCTTGCATTACAGAAAATATTGACACCAAAGTCCCCTTAATGGTTGTCCTTTATAAGATATGGAATTTTGTAAAGAATTTCAAGGTTTAATTTGCCAACTCTTTTAGGTTTGTTGTATTATTGTGCACTTAATCTATTTATACATACTTCTTAAATTCCGTGATTTGAAAATGACAGAGAACACAAATGCAAATAACTTCACACATAACCCTCATACTATTGGGAATGGAACCAGGAAAGACTACACCTTCTCTGTAGAGGTGTATTTCCAGTAAATCAAATTGCAGACAGTTTAAAACATGATGCTCAAACTGAGACCTCATATGCGAGTGAAAATGAACTGACTATAGAGATGTGACTCACTATAAAGAGCCAGAATTCCAACAATCTTCAAATCTGATTTTTTTAAAAGTGAGCTTTCCGGAAACAGATCTATCTAAAGCTTGGCGAGACGAGAACCCCATAACAACCATCTAGATAACTGTGCCTTCACTAGCATGTCACTTATTTCCTCCTTACTTGATTCTCTGACTTGTTCTTGAAGGAAGCAAGGATGCCTCCTGCCTACATTTGGGTCTTGGATTGACTCACTACATCACAGGACTGCTGGGCTCCAGGATGCGAAGATCCAGCCACAACTGGCACCAGAGAACAAGAGAAGCTTCCTTTCCATCTCTGGTGGCCTGCTCACCAAAGACCCTCTGGTCCCGTCAACTTGGTGTTAACTCTTGGGTGTAAATGCCTTTGAGAAAATACCCACTGCACCTCCTACAGTGAATCCCACTGCTCACACAGGGTTTGTATGAAGTCTGCCCTTTATGGGCCATCTACACATCTCCTGTATAAGATACAGAAGGTGAGTCTACAGTCGTACATAGGAAGAGCGACCTAGGATTTAGTGGGCCAAATACAACCACGAAACGTCGCCTGGCAGCCTGATTCCACAAACGCTGTAACCTTCCTCCTCCCTCCTGTGGGGACTAGGAAAGAAAAGAGAAAGAGAGGCACAGCCTCTGGTCTCGGAGGTAGGCAGGAATGGAGGGGTTTCTAAGGGCAGGTCATCTCCTTTCAACAAACTCAGAGATTTGGCAAGTCACCAGGTAATTCTTTCAACCACAAAATCCGCAGGCAACACAATTTAAAATCTCTTGGCAGAGACTTCCGGAAGTGCTTCCTCCCTTCTTTCTCTGGAGCTCCAGCTGCAGGACCACCGTGAGGAAGCTGTCACCGCCGCTAAGGCTGGCTGCCCTCTCTGGGAGTTGCACTTCCTTCCTCCGGTCCCTAATCTGAGGACTGCTGGATTGCAGACTTGGCAAGTCCAGTGTGTACCTACTGTTACCCCACTGGAGTCCTGATGTGGCGGGAGGCCTGGTGGAAGGGACAGGGGGTATTTTCCCTTTTAATTTATTCAATGTTTTGTCTTAAAAACAGAGGGAGGGTAGGCAGCGATCTTACCTGTTATTAACTTTCCACCCCCGCTGCCATCCCCTTAGCTAGAAGAGCCACTGGTTTTTATTTTTGTTTTTATCTTAATGACCTTTCCTACTTCCCCTCCCCTACACTGTTTGAAACCCCGCTGTGGGGTTTGACTGACCCGACCTAGGGTGCTGCCCTCACGTGGACGCCGGCCCTGGGCGTGTCGCGTGTGCGCGGGGACGGCTGTGCGCGCGTCTCTGGACGAGACCAATTTCTCCATCGCGCAGCCATCCCCGCGGACGACGTTTGAAAGGCGGACTGAGGGTGGAGGAGGTCGCGGGGAAAGCGGACCGAAGGGAAAGAAAAATCAGAAAGACCATTAGGATCTGTCCGGGTGCCTGAACTCTTCCTCCTTCCCTAAAGGACCCTACCAAGCCGGTGGCGGCGAGGACGCAAACACCATTGAGGGGGCTTCCGTGGGTCCGCGGTCTCGCGCTCCGCCGTGCAGAACGAACTGTTAGTGGGCGCTACTGATCGCGCCGCGCTCGCGGCCTCGCCCCATTCACACGGCCCCGCGTAATGAATTCGTCCATTTAAATACATTACAGGAATATTGGAGATTGCGGAGGACGTGACACTTGACCCTGCAACCCGAACCCCGCAGGGGCAGCCGCCGCCTTGCAAAGTAGCAGTCCCCGAGCAGCGCCGCGCGGCGGTGGCCGGCCAAGCCCTCCGGGAGCTCTCCGGGTCCCCTTCCTCGCCCCCACCCCCGCCTTGCTCGCAGCTTGCCTCTGTCGACCCCTTCCCGCAGCCGCGTTTCAATCAAACTCACTGAGACGGCACCGAGCGGGCGCCGGGGACAAGAAACGCCTCGCCAGCGACAACGCGCGAACAAGCGGAGCCGCGGGCCCCGGCGCCTCCGCCCACACGCGCCCCGCGTGCTGAAACCCGCACCTGGCCCACGGGTAGCCGGAAAAGCCGGGTCCCGGCCCGCCCGCCGGGCCGCCCCTGCTCCCGCTCCCCCAGCTCCAAGCGCTGCGGCTCAGAAACCCACCCGCCCGGCCCAGCCCCCGCCGGAGCCCTGCACCTTGGGGAGCCGGAGGCTGGGGAGGGGACCAGAGAAGGGGAAGAAGGGGCATCGCCCTTCTTCCTACCCTGGGACAGCGCCTGGACTGGAGCTGGGTGCCGAGGAAACGACGGGAAGAGCTGACAGAGAGGCGGAGGGAGAAAAGAAAGGAAAAGAGGCAGAGACGAGGAAGGGAAGAAAGGGATCCGAAGTGACCCGCCCTCGGGCCTCCGCGCCGGTGATGCCCCGCGCCCAGGGCGAGGCCGTGCTTCGCGGGCATGAGAAGCCAGGAGGCAGCGGAGTGCGGGTCTGGGGCACCGGGGACATTGCCAAACATAATTGGGGTGCCAAACTGGGCTTCTTAATCTCGAAGCCAGGATGGGCGGGTGTGGCCGGGGGTGCGCGGGGTCAGCCAGCTTGGGGTGCTTTCCTTCGGGGCTCACACCGGCAGCGCGGACCGGCCGAGGCCGCTGGGACTGCAAGTCCGCCGCCTGCTTTTGTTCTGGGTTCTGCTGTAATTTAACATAAAACGCCTGTTAGAATCACTGCTGCCGAAACACGCGTTTCTCCTTGTTTTGCCACCAACTAACAGGATTAGGCAACAAGAGCGAGATTTCAAATTAACCATAAAAATGACAAATTGCAATTCATTTAGCTGCCCACTTACTACATTAAAAAACATAAATAAATGAATCTGCGTATTCAGAGGGTTGAACGGCCCGCAAGGAAGCGAAAGCGGTTGAACTCAGGCCTCCGGGTGGGAGTCAGGGCTGTGGCGCTGGCGAGAGCGGGCCGCCGCGGAATTCGCACCGTCTTCCAAGGGCCCGGAAAGAGGCAGCTTGGGTCATTCGAGGAACCGAGGAGGAGGGAGGAAGCTGCGAGGCCCGAGCATTTTTAGCACCTGAATTCTCCCTGCGGAGGGACTGTGTGGGGGAAGAAGGGTGGGGCGCGGAGGCAGGTCTAGAGGGGAGAGCGCTGGTTCCAGTTCGAGCTTGTCGGAAGGAAAGGCGAGAAAACTCAGCAAACGTGCTTTGCAAAATTCTGGGGAGGGGGTGATTCTCGTGTGGTGCCCCGTGTGTGAAGAATGAGACGCTGGCGAATTTTGCAGTGAGTTTGGAAGAGACCCTGGCTAAATTACTAATTCCAGTCCATCTGCAAGAGTACCCCCTTGCCTTTTTTGTTGTGTTTTGTTTTTAGGGAAGCAGCCCCTTCCCCTTGCGAAGCCGCGATGGGCTTAAAACCTCGTTTGTGCATTGAAGCTTTTCGAGATACGGATACTCAGAAACCTACAGATTTGTCTGAGCAGTGGACCTGGCGGGAGGCGTGGGTCAGGGTGGGTGAGCAGAGAGGGAATCCTCCCTCCTGGGGGAGGCGGATGTGGGCGGGAGTACTCGATCTTCCCCCTTGGCCAAGCATTACCCAGAGGGAAACACTGACCACGCTGCGCACTCACCAGTTTTATTTTTTGTTTTTAGTTCCAGAGTTTTCGTTCCTAAACCGGCTGGTCGCGGACCCACGCTTTAGTCTCCCTGCAGCGGGGACGAGGCCTCCCCAGGGGAGGTGGAGTTGCCCCCCGCAGCGCGCGGTCGGCAGGGGGCGCGCTGGGACACCCTGGCCGCGCCCACTCCGGCCCAGCCGGCCCCGCCTTAGGGCCGCGTGGGGGAAGCTCCAGCTTCTCTCCCTGGGGAGAAGCGGCCGCGCAAGTCGGCCTGAGCCCGCGGGCTTCTACCGGACAGCGTAAAACGTGGGCACCTGTCCGGGGACTTCCCTGAAATGGAGGAAAGCGCGCCCCCAGGGAGCGCGGGAGGCTACCAGGGAGCGCCGCAGCACCTGCATCCTGGGGCGGCGGGCGGGGGTGAGCCAGGGCGTAAGAACCCGAGCTGGCTCCGTAAAGTGTGTGCGCCCAGCTCCAGTTCAGGCGCTGTCCCAGGGTAGGAAGAAAGTGCGCGAGACGGCCCTGGTTGCATCCACGAAGCGCGCCCTACTTCTTTCCGGACACGCATTCTCCAGCACCCGGGGAGCTCCCCGCCGGCGCTCCTGCCCTAAACTCTCGGCCAAGCCCAAAGCCGGGCGTGCCTTCTCCCTAGAATGTTCTCGAGCAAATCCCGAACAAGTAGTCCGATTCCACCCCAGGCCTACACGGGTAATGCGGGTTAAGAAGGCAAGGGGCGAGAGGAGGTGGGAACAAGTCCAGGTGGGCGCCTAGGGGTGTCCAGGGCACCCTGCGTAACGCTGGCCGCGCGGTTCCGCTCGGCCTAACCTTTCTCGCCCTCCTGAACCTGCTCACGGCCGAGGCAGGTGGAGAGGGCGCCTTGCATCGGGAAGGCCGGGACGCAGACTTCCAGAAGCTCTGTGGGACCACGGGGCGGTTGCCTCACACGGGTGAGGTCTCGGCGCCTTTGTTGGCTCCCAGGAAACCGTGGGCAGGACGCCTGGATTGCCCCCATCTAGCTGTCCCAACCTGTGCTGCCTCTTTACCCCAGGGGAGAGGGGCACCCAGCCTGGACCCGTGCAGCGCGGTCCGCTCGCCTTGCAACAGGGAAAGAGGGGATGGAGCGGGTCACGAAGTTGTTTTCCTATTCTCCTGGCTGGATTCATCATTCTTGCACACCAAGCCAAAAAATGCAAAGGGAGTTTGTTCTTTCATTTTCCTCTGCCAATAACCGCCGATCAGACTGTTTCATTCCACTCCCCGCCCCACCTGCCCTGCGTTCCCAGGTACGGAAAGGACGAGAGGCCTTTGTTCGATCGACTGACAAGAAGGGACTGCTTGCCCAGCCAGGGTCCTCGCAGGTGGGATGGGGCTTCCTGCAGGCCTCTGCAGGTTTGCGGGCTGCTGAGCTAAACCCCTTGCAGAGGGGCCAGGGCCGTCCTTGGGTTGTGATGGTGTCCGATTGGACTCTTAAATGGTTCCTTTGAACCTTGAACCAGAATTCTTGCAGAATCCTGCAAACATACCCAGCCCTTGCAAAACAGGGCTTTAGGGTAGGAGTCGAGGGGTCTGGGGGTGGCCGTCTGAATACAGCATGAGTGGATTCCTAGCCATCACTTGGTGGGGAGCACAGTGTCTGGGGACAGGTGGAACTAGTAGCCACCCCTGTAACAATGACTAACTTTCAGGTGGGGCGCACAGTGTCTGGGGACAGGTGGAACTAGTAGCCACCCCTGTAACAATGACTAACTTTCAGGTGGGGCACACAGTGTCTGGGGACAGGTGGAACTAGTAGCCACCCCTGTAACAATGACTAACTTTCACGAGTGATTCCGGCAGGCCAAGTGTCTTTTCAGCATGTTTTGTGGGTGATTTTATTTTTATTTATTTATTATTATTATTTTTTGAGACAGAGTTTTGCTCTCGTTGCCCAGGCCGGAGTGCAATGGTGCTATCTTGGCTTACCACAACCTCCACCTTCCGGGTTCAAGCGATTCCCCTGCCTCAGCTTCCCAAGTAGCTGGGATTACAGGCATGAGCTACCATACCCAGCTAAATTTGTATTTTTAGTAGAGACGGGGTTTCTCCATGTTGGTCAGGCTGGTATTGAACTCCTGACCTCAGGTGATCCACCTGCCTCAGCCTCCCAAAGTGATGGGATTACAGGCATGAGCCATCGCGCCCGACCTGTTTTATTTATTTACTTTTTGAGATAGTCTCATTCTGTCTTCTAGGCCAGAGTGCAGTGACGCACTCATGGCTCTCTGCAGCCTCGACCTCCTGGGCTCAAGCAATCCTCCCACCTCAGCCTCCCGAGTAGGTAGGACTACAGGTGCACACCACCAATTGTTTAATTTTTGTAGAGACAGAGTCTCACTATGTTGCCCAGGCTGGTCTTGAACTCTTGACCTCAAAAGATCCTCCCTCCTCAGCCTCCCAGAGCATTGGGATGACAATCATGAGCCATCACAGCTGGCCTGTGGGTGATTTTATTTATTCCTCGAGATAGGTACATTTATTATCTCCATTTACATCTGAGGAAACTGAGGCACAAAGGGGCAAAATAACATTTCCAAGCCTGCTGACTGGTAAGTGGCCAGCATTTGACTGAGGAGGTCTGTCTCTAGAAACCCTGCCCCTGCTGCCCCTTCTGTGTCTGAGTGTGGCAGTCAGACCCCAGAGGGAATCCCACACCTGTAAAATAAAAACAATCAGCTGGCCCTGCTGACCTCGCTGGGGAGCGAAGCCCAGCCTAAAAAGGGATGAGTACCCTGAAAAGGTTCTGCTTGGGTGTGGCCGTGCAGGAAACGCTCCTGCTTTCTTGCCTGCCTGTCATCGATGACCCGAATAATCTCTGCACCAGATCTGTGTTTGTCTCTTCCCTGCTGTAGGTCGCTGTGGCCTTGCCCCTCAGAACAACAGAGCAATGGGCTGCGGCCAGGCAGCGCTCTGCGCTTTGATGAATTTTAAAGCGTTGGAGTGATCACAGGATGTCCGTCCGAGTTTCACAGTTAGCGAGCTGCTGAGCTGAGCCGAGCTGAGGGTTGGCAGGGTAGAGTCCTATGGGAGAAACACTGCTTGGATCACAGAGATTTCTGTGTATCAGGAACCAACAAATACTAAGTAAGCACTTGCTGTGGCTAAATGCTTACCACATCGGCTGAGTAGGGGGTGTGCAGATGGGGGAGTCCCACAGCCCCCAAAACCAGCTACAACATCCACGTTTTACTCAGACAAGGGGCCCTCAAGCACCACCTCATGCCGAAGTGCTGCTTCACGTGAATAGAGCTAGGATTCTAAGCCAAAAGGCCTTTCTAGAACTTTCTGCATGTACCAAAGAAGCTGCTTCCACCTCACTGCCTCCTTTCCACTGTTAGTGTTCTGCTGAGGCTTCTCTTGGGCTCTGCCTCTCCCTGCCCAACACCTGAGAAAGGCCTGATCAGTGCTGGAGGCACTGGGTGGCACCTCTCCTGCGGACGTGCTTCCCACGTAAGGCAGGTATAGGGAGACCTGCCTGTCTAGAAAGACATATGTTTACATGTCAGAGAGAAACACAACACCTGCACTCTCTAACCATTTCCTGAAAGACCCCTCTTGACACACCTTAGGGGCTTCAGGGCCACACTGCCTGGCACAGCTGGTTCCCAGTGTGGACCTGTCTCCACTGCCAGCCCCTGCCCCACCCTCTCCACCTGAGTCCTGATCCCTGGTGACCAAGAGAGGCTGTGCTGCTTCTGGCCTTCACAGTAAGCCAGATGGCCTGGGAAGCGAGACTCTCTCTGCCTCCCAGCACTCCAGGCTGCAGTTGCTGTTTCATCATCCATGGGTGTAAAACACCAAGCAAGTGACATGATACAGAATGACCTCCCTGTGCTGGCAGTGGCACCACAGAAACAGGAAGACTCAGAGCCAGAAGCTGCCTGCGCAGATTGCCATTATGGAGCCTGGGAAATCAAGTCCTAGAAAGATTATCTGTTTTTTTTTTTTTTTTTGAGATAGGAGCTTGCTCTGTCGCCCAGGCTGGAGTGCAGTGGTGTGATCACTGCTCACTGCAGCCTCTGCCTTCTGGGCTCAAGCAATCCTCTAGCTTCATCCTCCCAAGTAGCTGGGACTACAGGCATGCGCCGCCATGCTTGGCTAATTTTTTAAACTTCTTGTAGAGACAAGGTCTCACTATGTTGCCCTGGTTGGTCTTGAACTCCTTGGCTCCAGTGATCCGCCTGCCTCCAGTGATCCTCCCACCTCGGCCTCCCAAAGTGCTGGGATTACAGGCATGAGCCACTGTACCTGTCCTAGAAAGATTAAAGGATACCTCTACGTCTACCTCTACCTCTACCTCTACCTCTACCTCTACCTCTACCTCTACCTCTAACCTCTAACCTCTAACCTCTAACCTCTACCTCTACCTCTACCTCTACCTCTCCCCACGGTCTCCTTCCACGGTCTCCCTCTGATGCCGAGCCGAAGCTGGACTGTACTGCTGCGATCTCGGCTCACTGCAACCTCCCTGCCTGATTCTCCTGCCTCAGCCTGCCGAGTGCCTGTGATTGCAGGCACGCGCCGCCACGCCTGACTGGTTTTCGTTTTTTTTTGGTGGAGACGGGGTTTCGCTGTGTTGGCCGGGCTGGTCTCCAGCTCCTAACCGCGAGTGATCCGCCAGCCTCGGCCTTCCGAGGTGCTGGGATTGCAGACGGAGTCTCGTTCACTCAGTGCTCAATGGTGCCCAGGCTGGAGTGCAGCGGCGTGATCTCGGCTCACTACAACCTACACCTCCCAGCCGCCTGCCTTGGCCTCCCAAAGAGCCGAGATTGCAGCCTCTGCCCGGCCGCCACCCCGTCTGGAAAGTGAGGAGCGTCTCTGCCTGGCCGCCCATCGTCTGAGAGGTGGGGAGCACCTCTGCCTGGCAACCACCCCGTCTGAGAAGTGAGGAGCCCCTCCGTCCAGCAGCCACCCCGTCTGGGAAGTGAGGAGCGTCTCCGCCCGGCAGCCACCCCGTCCGGGGGGGAGGTGGGGGGGGTCAGCCCCCCGCCCGGCCAGCCGCCCCGTCCGGGAGGTGAGGGGCTCCTCTGCCCGGCCGCCCCTACTGGGAAGTGAGGAGCCCCTCTGCCCGGCCAGTCGCCCCGTCCAGGAGGGAGGTGGGGGGGTCAGCCCCCCGCCCGGCCAGCCACCCAGTCCGGGAGGGGGGAGGGGGGTCAGCCCCCTGCCCGGCCAGCCGCCCCGTCCGGGAGGGAGGTGGGGGGATCAGCCCCCCGCCTGGCCAGCCGCCCCGTCCGGGAGGTGAGGGGCGCCTCTACCCGGCCGCCCCTACTGGGAAGTGAGGACTCCTCTGCCCGGCCAGCCGCCCCGTCCGGGAGGGAGGTGGGGGGTCAGCCCCCCGCCCGGCCAGCCGCCCCGTCCGGGAGGGAGGTGGGGGGATCAGCCCCCCGCCTGGCCAGCCGCCCCGTCCGGGAGGTGAGGGGCGCCTCTGCCCGGCTGCCCCTACTGGGAAGTGAGGAGCCCCTCTGCCCGGCCAGCCGCCTCGTCCGGGAGGGAGGTGGGGGGTCAGCCCCCCGCCCGGCCAGCCGCCCCGTCCGGGAGGGAGGTGGGGGGATCAGCCCCCCGCCCGGCCAGCCACCCCGTCCGGGAGGTGAGGGGCGCCTCTGCCCGGCCGCCCCTACTGGGAAGTGAGGAGCCCCTCTGCCCGGCCAGCCGCCCCGTCCGGGAGGGAGGTGGGGGGTCAGCCCCCCGCCCGGCCAGCCGCCCCGTCCGGGAGGGAGGTGGGGGGATCAGCCCCCCGCCCGGCCAGCCGCCCCGTCCGGGAGGTGAGGGGCGCCTCTGCCCGGCCGCCCCTACTGGGAAGTGAGGAGCCCCTCTGCCCGGCCAGCCGCCCCGTCCGGGAGGGAGGTGGGGGGGTCAGCCCCCCGCCCGGCCAGCCGCCCCGTCCGGGAGGTGAGGGGCGCCTCTGCCCGGCCGCCCCTACTGGGAAGTGAGGAGCCCCTCTGCCCGGCCAGCCGCCCCGTCCGGGAGGGAGGTGGGGGGGTCAGCCCCCCGCCCGGCCAGCCGCCCCGTCCGGGAGGTGAGGGGCGCCTCTGCCCGGCCGCCCCTACTGGGAAGTGAGGAGCCCCTCTGCCCGGCCAGCCGCCCCGTCCGGGAGGGAGGTGGCGGGGGTCAGCCCCCCGCCCGGCCAGCCGCCCCGTCCGGGAGGTGAGGGGCGCTTCTGCCCGGCCGCCCCTACTGGGAAGTGAGGAGCCCCTCTGCCCGGCCACGACCCCGTCTGGGAGGTGTGCCCAGCGGCTCATTGGGGATGGGCCATGATGACAATGGCGGCTTTGTGGAATAGAAAGGCGGGAAGGGTGGGGAAAAAATTGAGAAATCGGATGGTTGCCGGGTCTGTGTGGATAGAAGTAGACATGGGAGACTTTTCATTTTGTTCTGTACTAAGAAAAATTCTTCTGCCTTGGGATCCTGTTGATCTATGACCTTACCCCCAACCCCATGCTCTCTGAAACATGTGCTGTGTCCACTCAGGGTTAAATGGATTAAGGGCGGTGCAAGATGTGCTTTGTTAAACAGATGCTTGAAGGCAGCATGCTCGTTAAGAGTCATCACCACTCCCTAATCTTAAGTACCCAGGGACACAAACACTGCGGAAGGCCACAGGGTCCTCTGCCTAGGAAAACCAGAGACCTTTGTTCACTTGTTTATCTGCTGACCTTCCCTCCACTATTGTCCTATGACCCTGCCAAATCCCCTTCTGCAAGAAACACCCAAGAATGATCAATAAAAAAAAAAAAAAAAAAAAAAAGAAGAGTTCCAAAAAATTTAACAGCATTTCCAGCAATGATTATTTCTGAAATAAAAAGATATGAAACATAATTTATACAAAACTAAAAAAAAAAAAAAAAAAAAAAAAAAGGATTAAAGGATCAACCATCAGGTCCCTAACCACAGACCCAAAGACGGAAGCCTTGGCAGGTAATAGTAGTAGTAATAATAATAACAATAACCCACAGCATCGCCAGGCATCATGCAGCTCTGTGAGTGCAGCCCCATAGCAAGCCCCAAAGGTAGATGCTCTTCTTCTTCTCATCTTACAGAGGCACCCAGGGGCTTGGTGACTTCCCCAAGGCCACACAGCCTGCTAACTGTGCTAAGTGGTGACCCGTTCCCTTGAATGGTAACCACGCCATCTGGCTCAAAACTACTGGCCAGCACTGCCTCTCACAGAGACTCCTGTCCCATCCAATGTGGATAAATAAGCATAGATAAGAGAGAGGCGGAAGGAAGGCCCAGCCACCCACCCAGCTGCAGAGTCCCTGCCTTTAATCCTCAGAACCTGCCTGTCCCTGAGGGCAGATGTAATGAAAGAAGGTTTGAATCTTCTAGTTTTATCTGAAAGGACACAGCTGGCCCTGAATGCCGTTCACCCAATAACCCACACGGGAGAGACTCCAGATGTTGTCTTAATGCCCGAGCCTCAGCTCCCACTTACCCTCTTTCCTGGGCTTTGATCGCATGAGTCTTAATCCCCGCTGGTGACCTGGCCTCCATCCACCTGTTTCCGTCCACTATCTGGGAAGGCAGCAATGCCAACCTCTTCGGAATTCTTTGGCCTAAACACCTGTTCCCATCAACGATTCCTGTTCCTGAAACCTCCTGCCTTCCCAAGGGATGGCACCAACACAGCTGGAGTGAGGCTGTCACTGCTCCCTCCAGCAAATGTCCCCAAATCATCAAAAAAAAGGAAAGCTTAGTTAATATCTTGCAATTAAAAGTCAGGAGATGTGTCTGCTTAATAACAAATTAGATGATTTCTTCCAAAGTGGACAAAATATGATTAAAAGTTGAGATTCTTATTACACATCGAGAAAACTTAGCTCCCTACAAAAACAAAGAGTTTTGCTGTAGTTCATTCCAAGGCTTTGCAATGCAAACAACCATGAATGAAGACTTAGGAGCCTGCCTGGATGGTGGCTCTGAGCATGGGCTAAGCCCCCAGCAGGCTGAATTAGAGCTTACTAGCTGTGTGGCTTTGTCCTCCAACCTCTCTGAGTCTTATTCTCTTCCCTCCAAAGTGGGGCAGGAATCATAACCACAGATGCTGGGATGCTGCACGAGAGAAACTCTTGGGGATCAATTCCTGTCACTAACGCTAGCTGCTCTCAGCCACTCTTCTCTTTAGACCTCAGCAAGACCAGCGGGGCTCAGTCATGCCCGTCTGTACCCACAGCTGTCAATCCCAGGTCGAGGGCTTAGGTCAGGGAGAAGATGAAACGAGCCCAAGGAGGGAGGAATAGAAATAGGGCCACGGGGCAGAGAAGCAGAAGGTGCTGGGGTTGGGAGGAACTGGTGCTGTGGTCCCCCCTTCAGCTCTTTCTTGGACAGACACTCAAGAGTGTCCCATGGGGATACCCACGGTGTGTCTGCTCCTGCACAGCCCCTCTGGATGCCGATAGAGTCGGTTTGACGTTTGACCTGCCTCACGGGCCTTGCTTCACTCTTCCTGCGCATCTGGCCTGTCCTCCGTGAGCTCCGCAGCCAGGGTGCATGGTCTTTGAATTTCTGTGGAGTGTGCCCTTCCCATCCACGTTTGTATCTTGACAGTGTGGAGGAAAGAGTGAGGCTTCCTTCCCCTGGCAGCTGAGCCCTGAGGCTCCTGTACTGGCCTGTCTTGAAAACTGCCCCCGAGTTGCTTGTATAACAAATAAGGTTCCAGATTTCAAAGCTTCATAGACCACTGTGGGGGATGGGAACAGCCTTGAGAAATCACCCGCTTCAAACCGATTCTCTGTTCTCTGAAGCCACATAAACGGATGCAGCATCAATGACTTTATCTTTTTTTAACTGCACCCTCTGCAGGCAGAGAAAGGGGCAGGGTTGAATTCCGCTGCATGCTGTCCTCTGCCGACCTTTTCTGTCCGTGCAGGTGAAAGGTGCAAAGTCTCCGTGGGTGAGGCAGGCAAGGTGCAGAGGGCTTCGGTGTGGGCGGGGGTGTTAGTCCCTAAGCTCATGGGCCCCCAGATAACTGAGAGCTGACTCAGTGCTCCCTGGTTTGGACTTAATGTAGTCTAAAGAGATGAAAACTCCTGGTAAGTCTTTCCCTGGCCCTCCCGCCTCTGTGGTCACCTCACCCAGCCACCACTGACCTTCTCTGGAGGAAAATAAACTCCAAACTCTTGACATTCAGTTCACCTAGAGTTGCAAAATGAAAGTTTAAACGGGAAGAAGCGTTCACTGTGAAGGGAAGGCACCTGCAAGCCCTGGCGTCTGGGCAGAGGGGAGACTTAGAAGTTTGGGAGCCGGGTTCCCTGTCACTTTTGCAGGTGGCAAGTGAATTTTCACTCAGAGAAAATCAAATCACTTTAGAAGGTGCCTAATGTGGGAAGAAGATGGGGGTTAGATCACCGAGGTCAGGTCTGTTGTGTGACACCTGAAACGGTTTTCCTGAATTCGGAGTGCCCAGGCCGGGTCTTTTTGTACTTCATTTTGTTTTGTTTTTTGTTTTTGAGACAGGGTGTCATTTGGTCACCCAGCCGGGAGTGCAGCGGCGCAATCACTGCCCACTGTAGCCTCCATCTCCCATGCTCAAGGATCCTCCCGCCTCAGTCTCCCAAGTAGCTGGGACCACAGGCATGGGCCACCACACCCAGCTAATTTGTTTTTTTGGTTTTTTGTTTTTTTGTAGAGATGGGGGTCTCGCCATGTTGTCCAGGCTGGTGTTGAACTCCTGAGTTCAAGTGATCCTCCTGCTTTGGCTCCCCAAAGTGCTGGGATTACAGGTATGAGCCACGGTATCTGGTCCAGTCTGGTTTTTAAATGGAGATGACAGTGAGCCCAGGGGAGTGTTGGTAAGGCCTGAACACCGAGCTGCCGCCTTCCCTGCAGGCCTGGTTTTGTAAATATCAGTCTGGTAGCGGATCCCTTTCCCCCAGGGAGCTTCACAAATCATACATTAACCAGAGCTCCTGAAACAGAAGGCCAGACGGGACATATTACAGCAGGAACTGGCTCACCACCATCCAGGGTCCCGCATCCCAGGAGGCTGTTTAAATCAACACACAGACTATGCAGGTAAAGTATCCATGCAGGTCCCAAGGTGGCCTCACTCTCTGTGGACCCTGGGGCTCTGTGGCCCGTGGGCACCCCTCACAGCTGGTCTCTTTCTGGAGGATTCTCCCTGCTGAATGTGTGCTTCCTTAGGGCAGGGCCACCTCTCAGCCAAGTCTGGGGAGTGATGGGGTGAGGCGTGGGTGGGAGAAGCCTCTGGGTTGGCCAGCCCTCAGCAGGCATCTGATTTCATGATCATCTGGGCTCTCCATGCATGAGCTGTCTCGGTGGTTGACTTGGGGTGGTTCAGATGAACTCCAGAGTGAGCTGGCATCTCTGATCCTCCCTTAGAGCACCTCCAGTCTTACCCCGAGAATTCTTGGTACCTTCCGGGTGCATTCAGCTTCCAGAGCTTGTGGAAGGGCTGCAGGAGGCTGTGCTCTGTGGATTTAATTAATGAATCTGTTCCAAGGCTCTTGAAAAAAACATGTGATCAGGGACTAACTGGGGGAGAGTCGGGAAGGAGAAAGATGGGATAGAAATGGAGTCTACACGGTCTCCCTCCCGCATGAAGCACGCATTGGTCCCAGAGAGGCCAAGGCCTCTTTCCCTCCTCCTGCAGCTCCTTGGGGCTGAGGCAGGTGGCTCGGGCAGTTCCAAATTATTCTGTCCCATCTCGCAGTGCAGGGAGTGGATGCCAGGCAGCATCACTGCCTAGGGGCAGGCAGGGTGTCTGGAGGACAGCTGTAATTCAGGGAGGCCCCAAACATTTGGCATTTCCGAGGATGCTGGAGAGCCAAGGATGCTGGAGAGGGCTATGCCTGAGCTTGGCTTTTCCAATCTGGTTTAGTGAATTTCCAAGCTGGTTTAGTGAATTCCCCAGTGGTGCTTACAAGCCCCTGGGCCTGCAGACTGAGAGCATCCCGTGAGGTGGGGCCCCTGCTGTGTGCAGCCCAGCGCCCGTCCTCCCTCACTGCTCTCTCCATCCTCTAGCCCTTTAAGTGGTGGCATCCCGAGCGTGTTTTACATTTTGTGCCCTTAGCCCTTTCCCCCACTCCTTCCTCCGTGGGCTGTCTCTGTCGGCTGGAGCAGTCCAGTGGCTGGGAGTGAGGCCTCTGGAGCCAGAACGTCTTGGGGTTGAGTCTCTGTTGCACCACTTTGGTGGGACTGTGTGTGAATTGACCTTCTGGGGCCTGGGTGCCCTCATCACCACCCTGGGTTGTGAGGATCCAATAGAGTGATGTTGTAGGCCCGTCCCACGGGGCCTGGCCAGCCGCTATCCATCCCCAGGTGCTTCCTGATGGTGCCGTGGATGACAGCACTCTAGTGAACGTACTGTCAAATGCATCGTCCATGAGCAAGCGTGCAGCCAGCATTCCTGACTTACACGGGGGATGCTGGCCCGCCCCACGCCCTGTCCATCCACATTCCACCAGCTGGAACCTCGGTGCCTGTGGGGCCTCCCTGACACCACCCAGGTACGGGGGGAGCACATGGCTTTAGATGAATCTGGATTTCCTTCCTGGCTTCAGCACTTAGCCGTGTGACACTGAGGTGATTAACTCCCCCGAGACTCCATTTCCTCCATAAACGTCCCCAGTTCCTGGCCTTGAGAAAGCACGTGGGTGATGGTGTTTCCTTCTCCTTTCCTTTCTTGCTCCGGTGGCAGCTGTCTGCAATACTCTGGGGACCTTGTGGCAGTTTTTCAGTGATTGTAAACTTCTTATTTGGGTTGATTTTGACTCTTACAGGTGTCTTTCCCCCAGCGAACTTCCCAGCTCCTCGGTGGGAGGGTCTAACCTGCCCTCTCCCCAGTGCGATATTTCATGTCACCTTCTGGGAACTGCCTGGCTGTGGCTCGACGCACGGTGATGGGGACCTCACCACTGTCCTGCCCATGTGTCAGAGGTGAACACCCCTGCAGCCCCTCCTTTCACGGAAAGTCCATTCCTTATCTGCCCATTTCTGCTGTCAGCAAATACTCACAGGGCAGGACAGGATTGCTGTCCTAGAGACTAGAAACTATCAGAGGATAATCATAGGATGGAGAGGCAAGCACTAACGGAACAAAGAACTGGGGCTTGGGGGTGCCCAAGAGGCGCAGATGGCCCAGAAGTGGGTCAGGTGGGATAGGCGTCCTCCCGCAGCCGAGTCAGCTCTGGCCGGGGAGTCAGGAAGGAGAGGAGGTTTCATTCCCGTTCTGTTGTCATTGGCTGTGTGACCTTGGCAAGCCAGTAGCTTCTTCAGTCACATTCCCAGGGTGAAGGTCATGGCCTCTTGCCTCCCTGGGAGAAGGCAGTCTGAGCCTTGGGTCTGGAGGGAGATAGAGAAAGGACCGAGTAACTCCAGCCTTTCATTTTGCAGATGAGGCCCCGGGAAGTGACGTCCGTGGTCAGAGCGGGAGGGGTGTGGGAATCGCGAGCTTTCTGTGTTTGGCCATGGCTGTTGGCTCCCACCTGCTGTGATTTAAGATGCCAGGACAGGGGTTCTGACTGTGGCTTTTTTGCACCTGGTCCACTGCTGGGCTTCTAGGTTGTCTCCTCTCACAGCGAGCCGGAGAGGACCACCGGCCCTGGGGAGACAGGAGCACTGGCCCTGGGGAGACAGACAGGCTCTTGAGCAGAACTTGCTGGTACTGGGTGAATAGTGTGCCCCAAATTAAGGTCCATCCCCAAACCTCAGAATGTGACCTTATATAGAAATAGGGTCTCTGCAGATGTCATTGGTGAGGTTGGGGTGAGGTCACCCTGGAGTAGGGTGAGCCCTCAGTACAATGGCTGGTGTCCTTGTAGGAGGAGCAGAGGCACAGAGAGACACCCAGAGAAGATAGCCATGCAACAGCAGAGGGGAGGCTGGAGCCAAGGACCCCCGGGATTGCCGGCCACACCAGAACTGGGCCAGGTGCAGGGCGATCCTCCCTGCAGACTTCAGAGGGGGTGAGGCCCTGACACCCTCATCTAGGACTTCCAGCCTCTAGAGCTGAGAGGGAAGGAATGTCCACTGTTAAAGGTGCCCAGTCTGTGGGACGTCATTCTGGTGGCCACAGGAGACTCATACAGCGCTTGGAGGAGGGGGTCAGTGGACAGCCAGAAGGGCAGCAAGGCCAGCAGCTCCAGAGCTGCCACCTCCGCTGTGGCATCACTTTGCTTATTTTGGTGCCCGTGTGTCCTCACCTGTCTGCCCTGAGGGGGGGGAAGTGCAAAGCCCAGGGATGGGGGGAAGTGAGTGAGGATGCTGCAGCCTGCCCTGCTTTTCCTTCCAGCCACTCCCCAGCCCCAGCCCCCACCTAAAAATACCTCCCCGGGCCTGCCTTGGTGTTTTGAGAATGTCGTGCCCATGTGGCACGGTCAAGTCATGTGGCCACAGGAGGGGATGAGGAGGAAGTTTAGTGCACTCTGGGCCATGGTGGGGGGTGCCAGGGCGGTCAGGAGGCAGCAGACAAGAGCAAGGGGAGTGCCTGGGCAGGAGTGGGGCTTCCGTGAAAAAGGAAGGGCAGGGAGGTGTATGCTTTAGGACTGGCCAGTTGGAATCATCTCAGCAGGTTTGGCTGTGGGTGGGGGTGGTCCCTAGTCACCCAGGACCTGGCGCTGTGATGGTCAGGGCAGGGGAATATCGCCCGGGGAGTTTAGGGCCAGAGAGAGGAGGTATGCTGGCTAGTTTGCGTATGAAAGGCATGCTCTGAGCCCTCGCTGTATCAGAATTGGCCAGCCCCTGGAGGGGCAGGCTCTCCCCAGCCAGAAAGCTTTTCTAAGATGTCAAAACATAATACACAGAAAATTTAGAAAATATATACAATACACACAGGTATTACTCTCACGGAGACCTGCAGTGGGCGGGGCTGCAGAGCCAGAGCTCGGGGTCACCTGTGCCCCCTGAGTCCCCGGCATCTCAGTGGTGACTTTGGCCAGCACAACGTGGGCTGTGGAGCTGCAGAGCTCTGCCTCTCCGTGGGGCGGGCGTGCAGGCTGGTTCCGAGGGCAGCGCAGGGGCTGGGGCAGGAGCCCGGCCTGTGATGATGGGGGGCTTCAGTTTTGTCTGCAGAGCTCTGCTTGCAGGTGCCCGCAGTGCAGAGACCACAGGGGTCCCCGCGCCGCCGGATGCCCGAGGATGTGAGACTGTGCACCATCTGCCCGCTGCCCGCTGCCACGTCCGTGTGCTCGGGGCAGGGAAGAGCTCAAGCCAGTGACCTTGAAAGAGGGAACACAGCTGAGAAACGTGTCAGATGCCCTTCCGGGCTGGCGGCGCTGGCTGCACATCTGTCTGGAGTGCGTGGATGCCAGAAGTCACTGTCCATGGGGTGACAGCGCAGCCTGGAGCTGATGAGAGGCTGGGTGCGCGCTGCACGTCTCCAGCAGGTCCCCACAGCAGGCTCTGCTGCAGGCATCTGGGCGGAACTGAGACTGGACAGACCGAGGCTGCCAGCAGAGGGAGGGGCAGGAGGCCTGTCCCAGGGAGGCACAGAGGGGGTGCGGCAGGGCCTCCCCCAGCCTCTCCCTCGCCTGGCACCCCCACCTTCCCTCCTTTCCTCGTGATCGCCTTCCCTTCCCTTTCCTTTCTTCTTCCCTTCAGAAGGAGGAGCTGTGGGCAGAGGGACTTTGGAAAGCATGGCGTTACTTACCTTTCACACCTCTCAGGGCTTACGCCATCCTCCTGCGAATGATGAAAGACATCATCCCTGCCTCCAGCTGGGCCTCGGAAGAGAGCACTGATTTACAGAACGGGAGCTTTCCCCTTAGCGTGGCCCCCAGGTCAGAGTTTCCCAGACGGAGGGCCTTGGAAGATTGGCTTCTCTCGGTGTTTCTGGCAGACCAGGCAGAAAGTGAGGGGCAGCTCGTGTTGGAAAGAGTTCGGGACACGCCGCCACCCGTGACCTCTCCTAGAGGTGACGGCATATGTGTGAGCAGAGGGAAGGCTCCGAGCAGCCCCGGAGGAAGTACACATGCGTGGCTTTATCTAACCAGACATTTCCCTTGGAGTCCTTTCCCCCACGGAGGGTGGACTGACACCTCAGAACCCTGTGTTCTGGAGACCCTGGGGGGATCCTCCCTGGCAGCCCTGCGGGGAAACAGTCTCTGGGTGCAGAGCAGCGGTGCCTGTGCTTTTTGTGTTTATGAGTCACTCATCGAGCAGTCTTTGCCCAATGAAAGGTTTGAGGAGCTGTTACTTGGGCCAAGTCCTGGGGAAGTGATGAAATAGAGACGGTTTGTCTTCAGTGCTGGCAACCTCCCCTTTTTAGTCACTTCTTTCCTGTCTCCAGAGAGGGTTTCCTCTCTGGTCATCCACTTGCTCAGGCATCAGTGTTCTGATTCTGCCCAAACTTTCCTCTCTTTTAAATTATCCTTCATGGCTAGGATGGGAGTACTTGTTTATACTAATGTGTAAATGACTAACCAGCTAATATTGCTTATATTCTGTGTGGGCAGGAGGCTTTGCATAGGCCTCTCACATGTCCCGAGGTTTGCCTTTAGGCAGAGGACCGTCTCCTCTGACAGCGTTAACTTAATGCACCTGCTACGCTTAATGAATACTTAGGCTTGATGAATACGCAGATGCGCCAGATCAGTTCTGGGTAAAGGACAAACACCGTGAGCAGGACAGGTGGGGTCTGGAGGGGGAGGCAGATGCACCAAGGCAAGGGGAAATACCTAAAGACTGTTAGTGTCAGCACAGCGTCGCTTCAGGCCGAGTAAGCAATGCCCATCCAGAAAGTGGCAGATGGTGGCGTGTGGAGCAAGACATGGAGAGAGAAGATGAAAGATGCTCAGATCGGGGCTCGGCAAACTTTCTCTACAAAGGCCAGATGACAAATAAAGGAACGGTGGCTGTGTGGGCCACCCAGGGCCTGCCTGAATCATTGTCTTTGTTTTCTGACAACCCTTCAGGGATGTAGGCACCACAGTCGGCTTGCCTGGGGCCGCCTTTGGCCCAGCTCCCTGGCTAGACGATGGAATTTTGCCCACTGGAGGGCACTGTTTTTAGAGAAAGTTCCTGGTTTCCTTCAAAGGAATTAAAACACAAATGTAAAACGTATTGGTGGACGTCCAGGCAGGAGAAGGAGGCAAGTTCCTGTTGGCAGCTGTGGTGGTGAGTGTCACCTTGTCATGCTTATAAGCTAATATTGCTTATATTCTGTGTGGGCAGGAGGCTTTGCATAGACATCTCACATGTCCTGAGGTCTGTCTTTAGGCAGAGGACTGTCTCCTCTGACAGCGTTAACTCAATGTACCTGCTACGCTATTGATAGTATAAATAGTAGATACACTATTTATAGTGTTTAACACCTATAACCAATTGCCTTTCAGTAAACAGATGGCCCTCCACAGCGTGGGTGGGCCTCACCCAATCAGCTGAAGGTCTAAAGGCAAAGACTGAGGTCTCCCTAGGGAGGAGGAATTCTGTCTCAAGCTGATAATGTAGGAACCCAGCCAGAGTTCCCCACTGGCTACCCAGCAGAACGCGGGCTCAGGACCTCAGCATCAACTCTTACCTGAATCTCAGCCGGCAAGACTGTTCAACAGATTTCAGTCCCGCCAGTCCCCACAATCAGTGAGTGAATTTTTGTTAAAATAAATATCTCTCTTCCTCTTGACAAAGATACAGACATATAGATGTGTGCACGTTTGTGTGCACACACACACACACACACACACACACCCTATTAGCTTTGCTTCCCTGCAGAACCCTGCCTAACAGGCAGCTTAGACAACAGCTGTTAGTCCAAATGATGTATTGTAAATCATATGGGGGTGTTGAACCTGCACACCGCAGGCAGGAGAGTCCGGGGCTGCTGGGCAAAGCAGTGTGGCAGGGGCTGGAGCCAGGACCAGCCTTGCCCCTCACGGCCACGGAAGGTTGTGCAGCCTGGCTGAGGGGCACTGCCTCCTGCAATTCAGGGACCAGGTGCCTCAGCCTGTCAGGAGGAGGGGCAAGGGGAATGCTACAAGAAACGCTCCTTTCCCCTCCGCCGTCCTGGTGGTCTAGAAGGTGGATCCCTGACCCCAAATACTAGGCCCATCATATGTTGTTCAAAGGCTTTGAACCCAGATTCAAGTTCAGCTATCCCTGAGCAGGTCCCGTCCTGTCCTTTGAAGTCAGCTTTTCTTTTCTCAAGTATGTTCTACTGTAGAACCGAGAAAAGGGTGCAGGCCCAGGGTTTGTGTTCAGTGTGGCAGAGACGGCAGGTGTCCCTTTAGTCAGGGAACTACATGTTAGGGGCACACATTGCCATCTCCTCTGCAGTTAGGTGAGGTCTAAGGGCTACACTTTGGAGAGTGGATGGTAAGTGGATGGAATCTGCTCTTGTTCCACTGTCCTGTGGACTGGCGGTGGCCGTCTCCACCGGGGGCAGCCTTGGGGACAGACCCCCAGTCACGCAACCTCGACTTTTACTTGAGAGACAAGTCCCAGCCTTTCTGCCCTCTGGGGGGCTCGCCTGGGGGTGCCCTGCCTGGCTCGCCAGCCCCTCCCATCTTCTGCATCTGCTGGCACCTCGGTGGGGATTCTGTGTTGGCTGAATAGTGAAATGGGACCTGAAGCAGGGCACACTTGCTGGGTACCCTTGGGAAGGCGGGATCGATGGGGCAGGGCCAGGGCTCAGGCATGTGATGTCACGCCTCCCAGGTGCCCCCACTATTCCTTTTGTCCATCATCATCATCATCATCTTCGTCTTGGGCTTCTGTGACCCTGGTGAGCTCCCTGCCCCATGTCCCTGCCTTCCCAGCAGGAGACAGGGGCTGGGCAGCACCAGAAACACACAAGCCCTGGGATTCCCAACCTTCTGTCCTGCCCTCGGGCTCCATGCCCACAGCCTGAGCGTGACAGGATGTGTCTGACAGCATGAAGGGATAGTGTGCCTGTGTGTGCAAGTATGTGCACGTCATGTGTGTGCAAGTGTATCACATATGTGCGTGTGTGCATGTGAATGTGTGTGTCGTGTGCGTGTGTGCCTGCATGGCATATTGGTGCATGCAAGTGTGTGCATGTCTTATGTGTGTGCAAGTCTGTGTCATGTATGTGCATGTGTGTGCACGTGCGTGTGTGCATGCCGTGTGTGCGTGCAGGTGAGTGTGTGTGCACGTGTGTGTGCATGCTGTGTGTGTGCGAGTGAGTGTGTGTGAGTGTGTGCATGCCATGGGTGTGTGCAGGTGAGTGTGTGTGCACGCAAGTGTGTGTGCATGCCGTGTTGTGCATGCCGTGTGTGTGCGAGTGTGTGCGCACCTACATGGTGTGTCTGTGCATGCAAGTGTGTGTGCATGTCTGTGTGTGCATGCCATGTGTGGTGTGTGCAGGTGAGTGTGTGTTTGCGAGTGTGTGTGCACCTACATGGCATGTCTGTCCATGTAAGTGTGTGTGCATGCTGTGTGCATGTGCAGGTGAGTGTGTGTGTGCGAGTGTGTGTACATGCTGTGTGTGTGTGCAGGTGTGTGTGTGCACCTGCATGGCGTGTCTGTGCATGCAAGTGTGTGTACGTGTGTGTGTGTGCACCTGCATGGCCTGTCTGTGCATGCAAGTGTTTGTGCATGCAAGTGTGTGTGCAGGTGTGTGTGTGTGTGAACTTGCATGGCATGTCTGTGCATGCAAATGTGTGTGTATGTGTGTGCTTTGACTGGACCTTACTATGCCAAAATAGAGAATCTGTTTAATTCAGTAAGAGAGACAGTGCTAATTTAGTGGGAACACAAAAGTCAGTCCCCTTAAAAAAAATCTGAGTTACCGTCTTCATCCAGCCAGCTGGTATTAGTTCAGGTAAACAACTGGGATTGGCGATTGCAGATGGGGGTCCTGGGGCCAAGAGGACAGGATAGTTGGCCACAAGAAAGATACTTGCTGATTGGTTCTCCTTAGAGCTGAGCAGCAATAAATGCCTCGTAGAATTATTATATCGAGGGAATGAATTTTAAAAATTTATGCTTCCCCGTGTTCTTCTCTTTGTCACATGATTCTTTAAAAATATCATTCTCAAAAGCCCATCTTAAATATTTAACAAGATCATTCCTGATGAAAATCTAATAAAAGTTGGGGGCTGCCTTTCACATAATGTATTTGCTGTATAACCCCAGGTGGGGAAATTCCAGAGGGCACTTGAGCCTCTCCTGTGTGGGCCGGTCTGTTCATCTTCTCTGAGTACCCCAGCCCCACACCCGTTGCAGGAACGCGAGATGTGTCTCTTGCCCTTCAGCGGGGAGGCAGGACACCCGAGTCCAAGGATGGGGATCCCATTTCCTGGGGACCACAGTTTTCACCCCATCTCCCCTACAAGCAGCTGGCTGGTAAGATCACACTTACCAAATGGTTTGGTTAGGATAAGGAGTGCAGCCAGGTGTCCCCTGAGTTCTAGTGTCTGGGGTCCTGGCCTGCAGCCCCGGAGTCTGAAGAGCCAAGCAGAGACATGTGGTTGGTGGGGTGGAGGTGGGGTCTCCCAGGGAGGCAAGCTTGCTGCCTGACTTGATCATTCCTAAAGACGAGGGCTTGGCTTTATGCCTGGACATCTTTGGAGCATCTTGGGCAAGATTGCCTTTGCTCTGGAGAAGATAATTCTTGTCATAGTGTCCTTTGGGAATGGAGTCAGCGTCTGAGAATAAAGCGCAACTTAAGCGTGATCCTGGGGTGTCCTGTCCAGTGGGTTAATGGCACTGATGTTTTCACAGTGGAGTATTTCTGCTAGCTTCAGTTGCTTTTAAATTGTTAAAAACATTGGAACGGTCGGTGCCTTGAACGTTTTCAACTAGTTCCTCCTAAGACCCAGGAGAACACTTGTAGCCTAAAAAATGGCAGAGAGACAAATTAAATGATAATATTGCACCTGCTCCAATCTGTCATTTAGACGCTCTTAATGAAAAAACAATGAGTGACTTCGCCTTTCTACTGTGCTGGAAGCTTTCGCCACAGTTATTTAGGTTACCAATAAAATGCCACAATCCCCATCCCTGGACACACACACACAGACACACACATGCACAGCACTGCCACCCACAAAAGGCTGCGGTTAAACCCAATGCATTTTCCACCCCAGGCTTCCCCTGTTCTCCCAGGACAATGGAAAAGCTCCCGGCATTTGGGGGTGCAGCTCCCCTTTAAGGTGCCCCCCCAGATCAGGATGATGACAGTGTCTGCTGTAGGTCTAGCCCCTCCCCTGGCTCTTTATATATGAGGTTGCACCAACAGAGTTGCAGACATCAGCCTTTTTGCACCTCAAAATGGCCCTTTAATGGGGACCGGCTGGTCCTTGTCCCACTCGGCCCTCACAGCAGCCCTGAGGGCACCAGTTGCCACTTGGACAGCTGAGGAAACTCAGAGGGGTAACTGCCCACGTTCAGCTGGTGACGAACGGCAGAGGCTGGAGTTGAGTCCCACATCTGCCTTTTCCTGCCTGTGCGGTCTGAGCGGCTGTGGAGTTCTCTGGGCCTCAGTCTTCTCATCTGAGAAAGAGGATAAAGACAGCCCTCCTCTTACAGGACTGTCATGAAGCTTAGCCGAGGTCACGCATGTTAGTGTGAGCCACGTTCCTGGTGCTGCGATGCCCCAAGGCGGGGCTCGACCCACTGCTGTTCCATTTCATTCACGGTGTTCATCCAGGTAAGCCTCGCCCCGGTACACATCAGGAGGTGAAAGGAGTCAGAGAGGGATGGCTCCTCCCCAGACTGAGCCGTCCAGCATCCTCCTGGGTCCTCGCTCATGTCCGTGTCCCCTGCACACCAGCAGAGCAAGGGGCAAGATGTGCCACCCTATACATACCCCAGCCGGAAGCTTCTCGGGCCACTTCTGCTACTGTCCTGGGCCACATGTTCCCTTAGCTACATGGAGACTGGGGAGCGAAATCTTTCACAGAGTATCCGGGGCAGCCTAGATGGTTCTAGAAGGAAAAGTGGATACTAGAGGACAAGTGGCAGTCTCTGGTGCAGCCACAAATGCATCAGGTGGCTGGACTGATCTAACTGAATAGGCACAGTAACTTGTCCACATGTTCACAGCTGCCTCTGAGGGGGTCTCTGCCTCTTGGTCCCACCCCAAAATGGAGCTTCCTCCAGTCCAAAGCAGTCTCAGACCCAAAAGTGTGAGGGAGGCTCTTCCCTCCACTCCTGCAGTGGGACCTTTGCCGGTGTGGCAGGAGCAGCACCATGACGGCTGTGATGAGGCCTGGGGCTGTGCAGACCCAGGAGGGCCCTGGCTGGGCTGAGCTGTGGCTGAGGGTCCCTAATGGGTCCTGCCCAAGGTCTTAGGTGCCCAGCCGCCTTCCTCATGCCTCCCCAGGCTTTCCTCCTCCATTTCACCTTCGCTGTCCATCCTGTGGAGGAAGAAACCAAGAGACACTCACAGAAAGGGTCTTAGGGGTAAGAGACAAATGCCCAGTTCAGGGGGAGCGTATGGGCTTCCTGCAACTACCACGCAAAGCACCACAGACCATGTGGCCTCAGCAGAAATGGATCATCTCACGATTCTGGAAGCCGGATATCCAAGAGCAAGGCGTCGCAGGGCCACAGTCTCTCCAGGGCACCAGGGAGGGGGTCTGTCCCATCCTCTCTGGCTGCCAGTGGCTCCCTGGCTGGCCACAGCATCACTCCACTATTCCTCTGGCAGTCTCCTCATGCGTTCCTGTGTCCATATTTCCACTTGTTACCAAGACGCCGGCACACTGGATTTGGGGCCACCGTATTCCAGGATGACCTCATCTGAACTTCTTACAGTGCCAAAGACCCTATTTCCAAATAAGCTCATGTTCTAGGTGCTGGGGAGTTACGCTGTTAACATATAAATTTTAGGGGGAACACATTTAACCCATAGCAAAGGTTCTATCTAGGGTGGGGGAACGGGGAGAGGCCAGGAGGAGGGGAGCCCAAGGGGGCTGAGCTGTGTTGCACGTTCTGTTTCTTAACAGGGCGGGAACAACTTGTATCCATTTCATTATTCTTTGTATGTTTTATTTGTCTTAATGAAGTAAAGAATGGAAAATATATAAACCCACCACAATAAAGGGAAGAGGAGGAAACAACACCTAATGCAATAACGAGCACTGGGTTGTGTGGCCCAGGAAGCCGGGAGGGGAGCCCGGCCGAGGAGACCGCAGGAAGCCGGGAGGGGAGGCCGGCCGGGGAGACCGCAGGAAGCCGGGAGGGGAGGCCGGCCGGGGAGACCGCAGGAAGCCGGGAGGGGAGGCCGGCCCGGGAGACCGCAGGAAGCCGGGAGGGGAGGCCGGCCGGGGAGACCGCAGGAAGCCGGGAGGGGAGGCCGGCCCGGGAGACCGCAGGAAGCCGGGAGGGGAGGCCGGCCGGGGAGACCGCAGGAAGCCGGGAGGGGAGGCCGGCCCGGGAGACCGCAGGAAGCCGGGAGGGGAGGCCGGCCGGGGAGACCGCAGGAAGCCGGGAGGGGAGGCCGGCCCGGGAGACCGCAGGAAGCCGGGAGGGGAGGCCGGCCCGGGAGACCGCAGGAAGCCGGGAGGGGAGGCCGGCCGGGGAGACCGCAGGAAGCCGGGAGGGGAGGCCGGCCGGGGAGACCGCAGGAAGCCGGGAGCGGAAGTCGGCCCGGGAGACCGCAGGAAGCCGGGAGGGGAGGCCGGCCGGGGAGACCTCAGGAAGCCGGGAGGGGAGGCCGGCCCGGGAGACCGCAGGAAGCCGGAAGCCGGGTCTCTAGGAAGCCGAGGGAGTGTGTGAGCCCAGCAGGCCGGGAAACTGGGACCCGAGACCCCCGAGGGACAGCATGAGAGGGAAGAGGAAGAGTGGCTGGACGTCTTTCGGGGAGCAGTTAGGCGCTGGCATGGTCTTCCAACCCTGCTCCGGCCGACGACGAGGGCATTGGTTTCGGGAGAAATTGAACCAGAAACGCTCTGTCCTGGGAGCAGCAGTCACGGGACCGGGGTTCAGGGTAGGGCCCAGGCTGAAAGTGGGGATTCGGGGAAAGTCTACCCACTGAGTGAGGCCCAGCACACGCGGGGTGAAGAACCCCAAAGTCTTGCTCCGGCCCTGAAGTGGCCTTGAGCTTCCGCACAGCGACACTGCAGGTCAGAAGCCTGTGCAGCGGCGTCTTCAAACATTTCAGGGAAATGCCTTCCGGGCTGGAAACCTGCTCCAGCCGCGTACTCCTTGACCCTACTGGTGGAGCTCCGATGATGGCCGAGCCTGCACTTGCGAGGTCTCTGCACCCTCTCTGAGCTTCCTGCGGGAGGGGGGCGGGGCCGGCTACGCTGCATGGGGAGCAGCTGGGTTTCCAAGGCAGGAGAACCCCAGGACGACGCGGAGGAAGCCTCCAGGACGGAGGTGGTGAAAGGAGATCTGCAGGCTGTGTGAAGGACACTCATGCCTTGCCTTCCAGAGTCCCTCCTTCGCTTCTCAGCAGTTTTGGTGGCTGGCTCCAGACTCCGTGGCTCTCCTGCTCTCTCCACCTCCCAGGTCTGTCATTGCCTACAAAGGGCAAAGTGTGGTGCCCGGTGGCAGGACGAGGCAAGAATGAGCGTCGTCATCTCCTCCCACAGGCACCGAGAGTTTTGGCCCTGTTGTTTTTGTGCAGGAAGAATTCCCCAGCCTTCTCTTTTGTTTTTCCCCCTTACTAATATTATTTTCCAGCTGTTTACCCCCACGAATGAAAAAAAGTGTATTTTTCTTCATTACTGCGCCTGCTACCAAAGTGACGCATTTACAAATTCATTTTGGCAGAGGCTGCAGCATCTGTTATAATTTTTACCTGGTCCCCAAGGGCAAAGCTTCTTGCCTTGCTGGCTTCAAATTATTGTTGGTAAGTATCTTCTCTCTCTTCCTAGGTTTTGACAGTAGGCAGGAGCATCTGGGGATTAATGGAAGGCCCCATTCTCCACCAGGTCAGACAGACGGGTTCGCAGCCAGACACCTGAAGGCAAGTAAGGCCACCTGGCCAGAGGTCCTGGCATGGGGCAGGCAGTGAGCAGGGTGGGACATACCTGGCAGCCCTTTCCCTCTGCAACTGCACCACTCAGCCCTGACAGTGGTGCTATGTGGGTGCTCTCTCTATGTGGGTGCTCTCTCTATGAGTGCTCTATGTAGGTGCTCTCTCTATGTGGGTGCTCTCTCTATGTGAGTGCTCTCTATGTAGGTGCTCTCTCTATGTGGGTGCTCTCTCTATGTGGGTGCACTCTCTATGTGGGTGCACTCTCTATGTGAGTGTTCTCTATGTAGGTGCTCTCTCTATGGGGTACTCTGTGGGTGATCTCTCTATGTGGGTGCTCTCTGTGAGTGCTTTCTCTATGTAGGTGCTCTATGTGGGTGCTCTATGTGGGTGCTCTCTCTAGGTGCTCTATGTGAGTGCTCTCTAGGTGCTCTCTCTAGGTGCTCTCTCTATGTGAGTGCTCTATGTAGGTGCTCTCTCTGAGTGCTCTCTCTATGTGGGTGCTCTCTATGTGAGTGCTCTATGTGGGTGCTCTCTCTAGGTGCTCTATGTGAGTGCTCTCTATGTAGGTGCTCTATGGGAGTGCTCTCTATGTGGGTGCTCTGAGTGCTCTCTCTATGTGGGTGTTCTCTCTATGTGGGTGCTCTCTGTATGTAGGTGCTCTATGCGAGTGCTCTATGTGAGTGCTCTATTTATGTAGGTGCTCTATCTATGTGAGTGCTCTATGTAGGTGTTCTCTATGTGAGTGCTCTCTCTATGTGGGTGCTCTCTCTATGTAGGTGCTCTATATGGGTGCTCTCTCTATGTGGGTACCCTATGTGGGTGCTCTCTATGTGTGCTCTCTATGTGAGTGCTCTATGTAGGTGCTCTCTCTATGTGCGTGCTCTCTCTATGTAGATGCTCTCTCTATGTGGGTGCTCTCTCTATGTGGATGCTCTCTCTATGTGGGTGCTCTATGTAGGTGCTCTATGTGAGTGCTATGTAGGTGCTCTCTGTATGTGAGTGCTCTCTATGTAGATGCTCTATTTGGGTGCTCTCTCTATGTGGGTGCTCTCTCTATATGGGTGCTCTCTCTATGTGGGTGCTCTCTCTATGTAGGTGCTCTTTTTGTGGGTGCTCTTTATGTGGGTGCTCTATGTGAGTGCTCTCTCTATGTGGGTGCTCTCTCTATGTGGGTGCTCTATGTGTGTGCTCTCTCTATGTGAGTGCTCTATGTGAGTGCTCTCTCTATGTGGGTGCTCTCTCTATGTGGGTGCTCTCTCTATGTGAGTGCTCTCTATGTAGGTGCTCTCTCTATGTGGGTGCTCTCTCTATGTGGGTGCACTCTCTATGTGAGTGTTCTCTATGTAGGTGCTCTCTGGGGTACTCTATGTGAGTGATCTCTCTATGTGGGTGCTCTCTGTGAGTGCTTTCTCTATGTAGGTGCTCTATGTGGGTGCTCTATGTGGGTGCTCTCTCTATGTAGGTGCTCTATGTGAGTGCTCTCTAGGTGCTCTCTCTATGTAGGTGCTCTCTCTATGTGAGTGCTCTATGTAGGTGCTCTCTCTGAGTGCTCTCTCTGTGTGAGTGCTCTATGTGGGTGCTCTCTCTAGGTGCTCTATGTGAGTGCTCTCTATGTAGGTGCTCTATGGGAGTGCTCTCTATGCGGGTGCTCTGAGTGCTCTCTCTATGTGGGTGTTCTCTCTATGTGGGTGCTCTCTCTATGTAGGTGCTCTATGCGAGTGCTCTATGTGAGTGCTCTGTTTATGTAGGTGCTCTCTCTATGTGAGTGCTCTATGTAGGTGTTCTCTGTGAGTGCTCTCTCTATGTGGGTGCTCTCTCTATGTAGGTGCTCTATATGGGTGCTCTCTCTATGTGGGTACTCTGTGGGTGCTCTCTGTGTGTGCTCTCTATGTGAGTGCTCTATGTAGGTGCTCTCTCTATGTGAGTGCTCTCTCTATGTAGATGCTCTCTCTATGTGGGTGCTCTCTCTTTGTGGATGCTCTCTCTATGTGGGTGCTCTCTCTATGTAGGTGCTCTCTCTATGTGAGTGCTATGTAGGTGCTCTCTGTATGTGAGTGCTCTCTATGTAGATGCTCTATTTGGGTGCTCTCTCTATGTGGGTGCTCTCTCTATATGGGTGCTCTCTCTATGTGGGTGCTCTCTATGTAGGTGCTCTTTTTGTGGGTGCTCTCTCTATGTGGGTGCTCTCTATGTGGGTGCTCTCTCTGTGAGTGCTCTCTCTATGGGTGCTCTATGTGAGTGCTCTTTCTATGTGGGTGCTCTCTCTGTGTGAGTGCTCTCTCTATGTGAGTGCTCTCTCTAGGTGCTCTATGTGAGTGGTCTATGGGGGTGCTCTCTCTATGGAGGTGCTCTATGTGAGTGCTGTCTCTATGGGGGTGCTCCCTCTGTGTGGGTGCTCTATGGGGGTGCGCTATGTGAGTGCTCTGTCTATGGGATGCTCCCTCTGTGTGGGTGCTCTCTCTGTGGGGGTGCTCCCTCTGTGTGGGGGCTCTATGGGGTGCTCTCTCTATGGGGGTATTTTCTCTAGTGGGTGCTCTGTGTGAGTGCTGTGTCTATAGGGTGCTCCCTCTGTGTGGGTGCTGTCTCTATGGGTGCTCTCTCTAAGGGATGCTCTCTCTATAGGGGTGCTCCCTCTGTGTGGGGGCTTTCTCTATGGTGGTGCTCTCTCTATAGGGATGCTCTCTATGGGGGTGCTTTCTTTAGGGGGGTGCTCTATGTGAGTGCTCCCTCTGTGTGCGTGCTCCCTCTGTGGGTGGTTTCGCTAAGGGGTGCTCTCTCTAAGGGGTGCTGTCTCTATGGGGGTGCTCCCTCTGTGTGGGGGCTTTCTATGGTGGTGCTCTCTATAGGGATGCTCTCTATGTGGGTGCTTTCTTTAGGGGGTGCTCTATGTGAGTGCTCCCTCTGTGTGGATGCTGCCTCTGTGTGGGTGCTTTCGCTAAGGGGTGCTCTCTCTAAGGGGTGCTGTCTCTATGGGGGTGCTCCCTCTGTGTGGGGGCTTTCTCTATGGTGGTGCTCTCTAGGGGTGCTCTCTCTATGGGGTGCTCTCTCTATAAGGGTGCTCTCTCTATAAGGGTGCTCTCTCTATGGGGGTGCTTTCTCTAGGGGGGTGCTCTATGTGAGTGCTGTCTCTATGGGGGTGCTCCCTCTGTGTGGGTGCTCTCTCTATGCAGATGCTCTATATGGGTGCTCTGTGGGAGTGCTCTCTATGTGGGCACTCTCTTTAGTGAGTGCTCTATGTGAGTGCTCTCTCTGTGGGTGCTCCCTCTATGTGGGTGCTCTCTGTATGTGGGTGCTCTCTTTACTGAGTGCTGTATGTGGGTGCTCTCTCTATGGGAGTGCTCTCTGTGTAGATGCTCTAGTGAGTGCTCTCTTTATGTGAGCGCCCTCTTTATGTGAGTGCTCTATGTATGTAGGTGCTCTCTTTATGTGGGTGCTGTCTTTAGTGAGTGCCCCCTCAATGTGTTACTTGCTCTATGCGATGCTCTCTTATGTGACTCTGCAGTCCCTGGAACCACTGAAGGGGCGGATGGTTGTTATAATCGGATGAGAGCAGCTAGTTAAAAAAGCAGATTGCAAGGCGGCTGGGGACTGAGTGGACCCGGTGGCTATTTCTATTACATTTGTAATTTGACCTTCCAGTTTTTTACGTTTCAGCCACTTACGTGTCATCCCTGCTCTCAAAGCTTCATTTTCAGCAATCTAGAAAACAAGCCCCAAGTCCCTGTCTCTTGTAACCTCAGTGAATACATTGCCGAAAGCTCCGTCTAGTGTGTATACAGCTTAAGGAAAGACAACCGACGTACACGCTGCATTTCTCAGCGACGAAATTCCCACTGCCTTGTGCCTTGAAGTCAGTCGCCGGCAGGGCTCCGCGCTCTCTCTAGGGTGGGCGGGAGTCGGAGCGCGCGGCGCGCGGATGGCCGCCAGGGGGCGCTGGTGCGGCGCGGCGGGGGCGAAGGGGCGGGGACTAGCCCAGGGCGCCACTCAGTCCCCGCGCGGGAAGCTTTGGGGCGCGCTGCCCTGCGGCGTGGGGCGCGGCGGCGTCCGACTGCGGGGTGACCGCCCCTCCTCGGGCCGGGGCCTCAGCAGCCGCCCTGGCCCCTGGATTGCGCTGGCGGGACAGGTGTGTGGGAGGAGGAGGCTGAAAGCGCCCTCCCACTAAGGACACACGGGCGCAGGGGAGCCCCGGGAGGGCCACGGGGGAGCCCCGGGAGGGCCACGGGAGAGCCCCAGAAAGGTCCCAGGAAGGACTCGGGAGAGCCCCAGGAAGCTCCAGGGAGAGCCCCAAGAAGGTTCCGGGAGAGCCCCCAGGAAGACCCCGGGAGAGCCCCAGGGAGGTCCCGGGAGGGCCCCAGGAAGACCCTGGCAGAGCCCGAGGAAGATCCCGAGAAAGCCCCAGGAAGGTCCCGAGAGAGCCCCAGGAAGGCCCCAGGAAGGTCCCGGGAGAGCCCCAGGGAGGTCCCAGGAGGGCCCCAGGAAGCGCCCGGCAAAGCCCCAGAAAAGGGAAAGCGCAGAACCAGCCCCAGGTCGGGAGGCCCCGCAGCAACAGGAGTGGTGTCAAGGGGAGGTTGCCTGCACCACGGCCGGCCGTAGGGCCCCACAGTGTAGGGTGTGGGTTTTTTCATTGTTTTGTTGTTGTTGTTGTTTATTTGTTTGTTTTTTGAGACAGTCTCGCGCTGTCGCCCAGGTTGTTGTGCAGTGGTGCGATCTTGGCTCCCTGCAACCTCCACCTCCCAGGTTCAAGCGATTCTCCTGCCTCAGCCTCCCGAGTAGCTGGGACTACAGGCACATGCCATCACGCCCAGCTATTTTTTGTATTTTTAGTAGAGACAGGGTTTCACCATGTTGGCCAGGATGGTCTCAGTCTCTTGACCTCATGATCCACCTGCCTCGACCTCCCAAAGTGCTGGGATCACAGGCATGAGCCACTGCGCCCAGCCTAGGGTGTGGTTTTATGAGGCACGATGCCCAGGTAATATCCCCAGGTGGGCCGCAGGTCACTAAAGGTGCGTTTCTGCCATTGGTGAGGTGGGAGAAAGGCCCTGTGCCTCACAGTGGGCAGATCTTTCTGGAATGCGAGCTGAGGCCGTTGAAGCGCCTGCTGTGTGTGGGGCAGAGACAGGTGACAAGCCTTGGCCTGCCTTTGAATCCCTGTCTTTGGCTCCAGGGGCCACTGGCAGTGTCTGAAGCTGATTTGGTTGCAGGAGGGGCTGCCACAGGCATCTAAACGGGCAGAGGCCAGGGATGCAGGCAGGCCCACCGCCATGCACACGATGGCCCCACAGAGAGGCCCCCAGCCCTGCACAGGACAGCCCCACACAGTTATCCTGTTCAAATGCCACTGAGGCGAGGCTGAATATCCTGGTCAAGAGAGACAAAGACAGGCATCCACAGAAATGCTCTGATGGGTTCCCAGGGGCATGGGGACAGGGTGAGGAGCCACTCAGCCGTACAGTATAGCCGTCCCCCTGGCAGTGTGGGCATTGGCCCTGTTCCCTGGGCTCCAGGACAGTTACTTGCAGATTTCTTGTTGCATTTGGACTCTGTTTACCATCACTCCATGGATATTAACAGGGTGCCTACACTACAAGTTCAGATCGCACGAGGGAGACCAGGTCCCCTTCCATCTGTTAGGACCGCAGTGGGGAGAGCTACAGTGGCCCCTCAGGCTTGGATTATGCCAGGTGAAACCCCAGTAGTTGCTGTGATCTGGCTGCGTGAAGTGCATGTTCTGAGTGGGTTAAGCAAGACAGATCGTACAGAGTTATTGGTGTTCAAAGATGAGTTAAACAAAAGAAATCAGTAGGGTTACTAAAGTAGAAATAGTTAAAACAGAACAACAGAAAACCAAGCTTGTAAACTGAATGCAGAATCACAAAGTTTGTGGAAAGAGGTGATGCATGATTCAAAAATCTATCAACATACCAGGAATTTGGAAGTGGGGAGTGAGAAAGAAGTAGAGGAAAGTGAAGATATTTGAACTATATTGGGCAGTGGGGGTTGGGGAGCTCTTGCTAACAAATATTAAAGAGGCAGATGGTAAAGAATGGTTTAGAAAAATGTCAAGGTTACTACTTTAAAAGTACAGAGAGCTTTCACATCACGAAAGATGATACGAACAAAATAACAGCCCTCCATAGCTTTCTCCCGCTGCCTCACAAAATACCGCAGACTGGGTGGCTTGAACCACAGACACTTATTCCTCAGGCTCTGGAGGTTGGAGGCCTGAGGGGTGGGTGCCAGCATGGCTGGGCTCTCGCGAGGCCCCTCTTCCAGGCTCACAGAAGGCCACCTTCTTGCCCTGCCCTCCTCAGTGGCCTTTCTTGGTGCCAGCATCGGAGGAGAGAATGAGCGAGCTCTCTGGTGTCCCTTGTTATGAGAGCACTAATCTCGTGGGATCAGGGCCCACCCTTATGGCCTCGTGTAACCTTAATGGCTGCCTTACTTCACGTACAGCCATACCGGGGTTTGAGGCTCCAGCATGGGAATTTTGGGGCCTCGCCAACATTCAGTCCATGGGAGGCCCCTAGGACGAAATGCTGGGCTTGAAGGAAACTGCATAAAGCAAAACAGAGACATCTCGGAGCAAGGGAGCTGGGGACCCACAGCCACACAAGGGAGCCGGGGAAACCACAGCCACGCAGACCATTGGTGTTTCTTGTTGTGATCAAGAGACAGAGTTTTTAAAGCAATGTTACACATAAACATCAAAACAATATTGAACTTCCAGGGAAGAGAATGGGTTAAGTGGGTTAGAATTTCCAAGATGTTAGGGGCTGAATTGTGTCTCCATAAATCCAAAGGATGAAGTCCTAACCCCTAAGACCTCAGAAGGTGACCTTATAGGGAGATAGGGTCTTTACAGAGGTCATCAAGTTAAGATGAAGTTGTTAGGGTGAGCCCTAGTCCAGTATGACTGGTGTCCTTAAACATGGGGGACATTGGACACAGACACCCACAGGGAGAGCCCTGCGGGAAGGTAAAAATAGCTGTCTGCAAGCCCCGGGGGGAGGCCACAGAATGTGGCTGTATTTGGAGCTAGAGCCATTCAAGAGGAAATTAAGGTCAAATGGGTTCACTGGGGTGGACCCTAATCCCATAGGACTGGTGTCCTTAGAAGAAGAGGAGATAAGGACACAGACACACAGAGGCATGACCATGTGAGGACCCAGGGAGATGGCATCTGACTGCAAGCCACAGAGAGAGGCCTCGGGAGAAAACAGCCCTGCCCAACCTTGATCTTGGACTTCCAGCCTCCAGAACTGAGAGGAGATACGTTTGTGATGTCTGAGCCCCCTGCATGTGGTGCGTTGCTAGGGAGTGTTTGAAAGCTCTTTCACCACGTCACAGCAGGTGGGTCTCAGGCTCTTGGTTTTCACTGTGTCACAGCAGGTGGGTCTCAGGCTCTTGGTTTTCACTGTGTCACAGCAGGTGGGTCTCAGGCTCTTGGTTTTCACTGTGTCACAGCAGGTGGATCTCAGGCTCTTGGTTTTCACTGTGTCACAGCAGGTGGGTCTCAGGCTCTTGGTTTTCACTGTGTCACAGCAGGTGGGTCTCAGGCTCTTGGTTTTCACTGTGTCACAGCAGGTGGGTCTCAGGCTCTTGGTTTTCACTGTGTCACAGCAGGTGGGTCTCAGGCTCTTGGTTTTCACTGTGTCACAGCAGGTGGGTCTCAGGCTCTTGGTTTTCACTGTGTCACAGCAGGTGGGTCTCAGGCTCTTGGTTTTCACTGTGTCAAAGCAGGTGGGTCTCAGGCTCTTGGTTTTCACTGTGTCAAAGCAGGTGGTTCGCAGGCTCTTGGTTTTCACCATGTCAAAGTGGGTGGGTCTCAGGCCCCTATTTTGCTGTTTTGTGGATTTTTATGTGTGCTAATACATGGAAGAGACCTAAACATACTTTTAGGCTGTGAGGAAGAAGCCAGCAGACAAGGGTAGCCTAAAATACTGGTGAGATGAACCCCATGTGGTCCATCTGCATGGCAGAGGGGTGCTCAGCCACGGGACCCAACCCACGCTGTGCAGCAGAGGAGTGCTCAGCCACGGGACCCGACCCACGCTATACGGCAGAGGAGTGCTCAGCCACGGGGAGGGACCTGAACCACGCTACAGCAGGAGTGAGCTCAGAGGACATGACCCAGTCACGGAAGGGCAAGTATTGAATGATCCCACTCATGGCAGGTCCCTAGAGTTGTCACATTCACAGAAACAGAAGGTAGAATGGTGGGTGCTGGGGCTGGGGAGGCAGAGTGGGGAGTTACTGCTTAGTGGGTGTCGTTTCCATTTAGGAGATGGAAGAAAGTTCTGGAGGCAGATGGTGGGGAAGAATGCACATTTCTGTGAATGGATTTTGTGCCCTTGAACGGTGCATTCGAAGCTGGTCAATTCTCTGTTAGATACGCTTCACCACAGCCGCAGGAAAGTGACACCAAATGCTGGTGACAGAGTGACACTCCCAGAGCATCCTAGGCAGAGTGGGCACCAAGAAAGGCAGTGAGTTCCCTGTCCCCGTCAGGAAGCAAGGAGGCCGTTCTGCACAGCGGGGTGCTGGACACAGACCTCCGCAACCTCTTCCATCCCTGGGGTCCTGTGGTTCTGTGCCTCACACTGTCCCGTGTGCCTCACACGGGACAGTGGGCCAAGCCAGTCAAACAGATCAGACACAGGCCTGTGCCAGGTGTGTGGCCACAGGCTCAGAGGAAAGAAGACCCTGCGGTCCAGGGATGGGTGTCTGCTGCCACGCATGACAGGGTCCCCTGGAAGTGGACAGGGCTCTGGGCTGCAGCCACAGGCCAGGGTTGGGGCAGCATCCAGCGGACTCTCCTCTCCGTTGTGACCTGGGAAAGCAGGCGTCACAGCCTTTAACCCGCTGCCTCGGGCCAGTATGTCTGCTGGCTCCCTTCTCCGCTGCTCTTCTCCTTCTCTGCCCCCTTCTCCCATCGGGCCCTGTCGCTTTGAAAGGCTATGGACAGTCCCTTTGCTGGGAACGAGGCCCCACAGGCAGACGCCATATTCACAGATGCCTTCTTGGGCCCATTGTGGTCTCCTGAATTGGCTGAGTCTCAAGGCCTTTGATGAAAAGGTAGCTGGAGCAAGCGGCTAAAATAGCAGTCAGTGGCAGCCCCAGAGCGGGGTCTGAAGCTGGAGTGCATGATGGGCGCTTAGCTGTGGGCTTAGAGGGTGGGTGCGGGCTGGTGTGTGCCTGGGCAGCTGGGCGGGGTGTCTCCCCTGACATGGGACAGGCCAGCTGGCCCCACTGCGGCGCGCAGCAGGCCTGGATCCAGCAGTTCCCGTGGGAAGAAGGGGCTGAGGAGGGCCCCTCTGGGTCAGCCCAGGAGGACTCCGGCCGGGTCACACCTCCAGAAGGGACCCGCTTTCTCCAGGCCCCAGAGGCTGCTGAACAGCCTACCCCCTCCCTGGGCTGCCCTGGGCAAGAGCAGCCCTCACCCGTGACAGACGCGCCTGGCTTCCCCGTGTGTCTTGGGAGGCGGGAGGTGATGCTGACCCTCGCTCGGGAGGCGGGAGGTGATGCTGACTCTCGCTCGTTCTTTTGTTGTCCTTATGGTCATCACCGTGGGAAAGACCTACTCGTGGGAGAATAAAGAATCTGCTCCCAACCCCACTCCTGAAATTTAATTTTAAAAAACGTACTCAGGATAAAACCCTTCTTGCTGTCTGAGAGGATGTGGCTTCTCCAAGCACAGCCTGCCGAGGCTCTGTTTGCTGTGTGGGGAAGATGAGCCCGTGCTCGAGGCCGCCCCAGAGATGGAAGCCAGACTGAGCCGGGACTGAGTCTGGTGGCAGCCAGGCTTGGGGGCAAAGACCACCTGGTCTCATTTCTAGTCCCTGGGGCCCCAGGAAAATCCCAAAGGGAGCCAGGGGGCACAGCCATAGCATTCGCTTGCACCTTGTGACATAGCAGTAAGTGTACTTCCTGCAGGGGAAGCCCATGAGAAAGGAAGAAGAAAGAGAGTAAATGAAAGCCACAGAAAGAAAAACTGCAAGGGGGGTGACAGTCCGGGGGTGGCACAGCAAACCACAGCCAGACGGGGGCTGACAACCACAGAGGCATGGCTTCTCACTGTTCAGGGGGCCAAGAGGCCAGCACCAAGGTCTTGGTGAGAGGTGGTTCCCCCTTGGGGGGGCTCTGAGGGCCAATCTTCTCTGTGCTTCTGTCCTGGCCGGATCCCCTGCACGCGCCTCTGTCCCGGCCGCTGGCCGCCCTGCACGCGCTTCTGTCCCGGCTCCAGGCCTCCGTAAATGCACCTCTGTCCCAGCTGCTGACCTCCCTGCACGCGCCTCTGTCCTGGCTCCAGGCCTCCGTACACGCGCCTCTGTCCCGGCCGCTGGCCTTCCTGCACGCGCCTCTGTGGTGGCTGTTGGCCTCCCTGCACACGCCTCTGTGCCTGCCTCTGGCCTCCGTAAATGTGCCTCTGTCCCAGCCGCTGGCCTCCCTGCACGCGCCTCTGTGCCTGCCTCTGGCCTCCGTAAATGAGTCTCTGTCCTGGCCACTGGCCCCCCTGCATGTGCCTCTGTCCCGGCCACTGACCGCGGTATACGTGCCTCTGTCCCGGCCGCTGGCCTCCCTGCATGCGCCTCTGTCTTGGCCGCTGGCCTCCCTGCACGTGCCTCTGCGCCTGCCTCTGGCCTCCGTAAATGTGCCTCTGTCCCGGCCGCTGGCCTTCCTGCATGCGCCTCTGTCTTGGCCGCTGGCCTCCCTGCACGTGCCTCTGTGCCTGCCTCTGGCCTCCGTAAATGTGCCTCTGTCCCAGCCGCTGGCCTCCCTGCATGCTCCTCTGTGCCCGCCTCTGGCCTCCGTAAATGAGTCTCTGTCCTGGCCACCGGCCCTCCTACATGTGCCTCTGTCCCGGCCGCTGGCCTCCCTGCACGCGCCTCTCTCCCGGCTGCTGGCCTTGCCACATTGCTTGGCGTTCCTTGGTTTGCAGCTCTGTAACTCCCCTCTCCTTAGCCACCGTCACATGGCTGGCATCCCTCTGTGTGTCTGTCTCTGTGTGGCATCCCCTCTCCGTGTGTCTCTCTTCTAAGATTGCTGGCATACTGTGCAAACACCCTTCTACTCCATGTGACCTCATCTTAACTAACTGTGTCTGCAAGGACCTTCTTTCCACACAAAGCCACTTTCTCAGGTGCCAGGAGTTAGGTTTTCAAAAAACCTTTTAGGGGGACACAATTCCACCCCAAAAGAAAGAAAGAGAAGACAAGAAACAGCATAAAAAAGAAAGAAAAGAAAAATGAGGGCAAGGGATGCATTCGGTGTGAAATTTCAGCCCAGGACTTTTGGGGTGTATAAGGAGAGATAGAATCTAGTTCTAGGTGGGTCCTTCCTGGGGGCCCTCTATGCTCTACCCCCTCAGGAGCACACTTTGGGTTGCTGAGTGAGCAGAACTGGCCACTGGCAAGCCCGGCCCTCCCCCCTCGGGCCCTGGGAGCCACATATATAAATACAGCCTGTGCCCAGTAAGATACAAGAAACGATAGATCGGTTTCCACACCCCATGCCCTTCAGTCACCCCCCCCCAACCACAAACAAGAGCCAGATGGCCACAAGGCCATGTAAGCAGCTTGTCTTCCAAAAGCCACCTTGTGTCTGCAGGACGCGGAGCACCCGGCAGCCCGGGCTGGTCCTCCTCGCCGGCACTCCTCGGCTTTGCCTGATGAACACCAACACGGTTTTAAGCTTCCATCCAGCATTTGCAGCTTACTCGTGAGATGCCAAACTGGTAGGTTTAAACCCAGTTAGGTCACTTTCTAGCAACATGACTTTGATCTGGCTGAGTTTTCTCCATCTGTGACGTGGGGAAAAGAGTTTCAACCTTACAGGATGTGTTGAGAATTCAAAGGAATGTGTGTGTAAAGTGCGCCAGCCTCACTGAAAATTGAAGCTGTCCATGCCGCCGTCCTCATCAGAGCAACACAACCATGCACCACGTTGGTCTTCTTGTTGGCTGTGGTTGACTTGGCACAGCAGGAGGTCTTGGGAAGAGTGGACGACTCTCCCACTCGAAGCAGGCTGCTCAGGTCTGACAACGCCTGCTTTGGAAACAGGCACCAAGAGCTCACCTCTAGCCCAGTTTTCACCAAGCACCTTTGGTTGTGTCAGCACTGTGGTGGGTGATAGGACAGGCAGGGAGAGGGTGGGAGCCCAGGACACACTTTCATCTTTAGGAACTATATAGGAGTCTCCAGCTCTTTTAATTAGATTATAACTCTTGCTAGTACTGTTTGTCTGCTTTTTAATAAAATTCTACAAATGGGTTGAGAGCTGTGAAGGGTCTGAGATCTTACTCTACTTGCGGGCTAACAAGTTAGGCTGCCATAGTTTTGTGGATGCTGGCAAAAGACACAAGACTGCTGCATCAGAGACAAGGATGGTGTTATTACTCACAGTCACAGCAGCAGGCAGAGTACTAGCCGTTTTTGTCTAAGTTATTTAAGGCCTAATCCCCACAGAACGAGACCTGCACTCACTGTGGATTCCGGGACAGGAGAGGATCCTCCAGCTTAGGGAACCAGGATCTTTTCTCTGCAGGGGAAACTTCATATTCCAAACCAGGGTTGTCTGCAGACATCCGTGACAAGACATCCTGGGGCAGAGGTTATTGAGATCTTTGCTTTCAGGATGTACAGACAGTCAGGAGACCCGTGGAAAATTGTGTCCCTACAAAATATAACATTGTTGGCTACTATTTATTAGTAATGGCAAAAATTGCAATTACTTTTGCACCAACCACATGGAAGAAATCATGCCCTTCATGAACATTCAGAGCAATGAGGACTCAGAGTAATGAGGACTGAGGGCAATGAGGACTGAGGGTAATGAGGACTGAGAGCAATGAGGACTGAGATCAATGAGGACTGAGGGCAATGAGGACTGAGGGCAATGAGGACTGAGATCAATGAGGACTGAGAGCAATGAGGATTGAGGGGAATGAGGACTGAGATCACTGAGGACTGAGGGCAATGAGGACTGAGAGCAATGAGGATTGAGATCAATGAGGACTGACGGTAATGAGCACTGAGATCAATGAGGACTGAGGGTAATGAGCACTAAAATCAATAAGGACTGAGATCAATGAGGACTGAGATCAATGAGGACTGAGGGCAATGAGGACTGAGGGGAATGAGGACTGAGGGGAATGAGGACTGAGATCAATGAGGACTGAGGTCAATGAGGACTGAGAGCAATGAGGACTGAGATCAATGAGGACTGACGGTAATGAGCACTGAGATCAATGAGGATGAGGGTAATGAGCACTAAAATCAATAAGGACTGAGATCAATGAGGACTGAGATCAATGAGTACTGAGGGCAATGAGGACTGAGGGGAATGAGGACTGAGGGCAATGAGGACTGAGGGGAATGAGGACTGAGGGCAATGAGGACTGAGATCAATGAGGACTGAGGGGAATGAGGACTGAGATCAATGAGGACTGAGGGCAATGAGGACTGAGGGCAATGAGGACTGAGAGCAATGAGGACTGAGATCAATGAGGACTGACGGTAATGAGCAAAGAGATCAATGAGGACTGAGGGTAATGAGCACTGAGATCAATGAGGACTGAGATCAATGAGGACTGAGATCAATGAGGACTGAGGGCAATGAGGACTGAGGGGAATGAGGTCTGAGGGCAATGAGGACTGAGGGCAATGAGGACTGAGATCAATGAGGACTGAGGGCAATGAGGACTGAGATCAATGAGGACTGAGGGCAATGAGGACTGAGGGGAATGAAGACTGAGGGCAATGAGGACTGAGGGGAATGAGGACTGAGATCATTGAGGACTGGGGGGAATGAGGACTGAGGGGAATGAGGACTGAGGGGAATGAGGACTGCGGGCAATGACGACTGAGGGGAATGAGGACTGAAAGCAATGAGGACTGAGGGGAATGAGGACTGAAAGCAGTGAGGACTGAAAGCAATGAGGACTGAGATCAATGAGGACCGAGGGGAATGAGGACCGAGGGCAATGAGGACCGAGGGCAATGAGGACTGAGATCAATGAGGACTGAGGGCAATGAGGACTGAGGGCAATGAGAACTGAGATCAATGAGGACTGAGGGCAATGAGGACTGAGAGCAATGAGGACTGAGATCAATGAGGACTGAGGGGATTGAGGACTGAGATCAATGAGGACTGAGGGCAATGAGGACTGAGGGGAATGAGGACTGATGGCAATGAGGACTGAGATCAATGAGGACTGAGGACAATGAGGACTGAGGGGAATGAGGACCGAGATCAATGAGGACTGAGATCAATGAGGACTGAGATCAATGAGGAATGAGATCAATGAGGACCGAGGGCAATGAGGACCAAGGGGAATGAGGACCGAGGGGAATGAGGACTGAGGGGAATGAGGACCGAGATCAATGACGACTGAGATCAATGACGACTGAGAGCAATGAGGACTGAGAGCAATGAGGACTGAGGGCAATGAGCACTGAGATCAATGAGGACTGAGATCAATGAGGACTGAGATCAATGATGACTGAGGGCAATGAGGACTGAGGGGAATGAGGACTGAGGGCAATGAGGACTGAGATCAATGACGACTGAGGGCAATGAGGACTGAGATTAATGAGGACCGAGGGCAATGAGGACTGAGGGGAATGAGGACTGAGGGGAATGAGGACCGAGATCAATGAGGACTGAGGGCAACGAAGAGCGAGATCAATGAGGACTGAGGGCAATGAGGACCGAGATCAATGAGGACTGAGATCAGTGAGGACCAAGGGCAATGAGGACCGAGGGGAATGAGGACCGAGATCAATGAGGACTGAGATCAATGAGGACTGAGAGCAATGAGGACTGAGATCAGTGAGGACTGAGAGTAATGAGGACTGAGGGGAATGAAGATTGGAACCACCTGGGGAGAAAGGCTGGGTGGCTGTGGGCGTGCAGAGCCAGGCTTTGCAGAGTGGGACGCATCCACAATCTCGTCTTCTGCTGACAGCCCAGTGAAGGGCCTCTGAACCCAGCTGGGCATTGGACTCTGCAGGCATCCAGGTGAGAGGTGAGAGCTCTACGCAGGTTGTTTATTCTGTCTTAGGCTGCAGATCTGCCGTGTGCTCCCCTCCACTCTCAACAACAGCCCGTTCCCTCTCTTCCGCCAGATGTTCACTGATCAGGCTCAGATTACCCAACAGAGATGGGAGATTGGTGCCGGCCCTGCACAGCATGCCTCGAAGGAAGCCCTGTGGCGAGAGATGAACCTAGCTCAACTTCCATTCTGCTGCTGGCGCCTGCCCCGGTAACCCGCATGTTACACGCAGGTCTCTGTCCTCAGAACTCCTGCACACATGTCCGAGTGCTGAGGCTTTTACTTTGTAGTGTATTGCAAATATCTTTCATTGAAAACAAATATTCATCTACCGTGGAATAGCTAACATTCAGTTTAGTGTTCCAATATGTGGGCGACAGCTCACTTAGCCAGTCATGCTCAGCTGGCCAGCGTTTGACCTCTTCCCTGCAGCTTTGTCGTCTCTTAGCTTCTGTGATGTTGAGTTTTCCCGGACCTCTCTCTGCCTCTCTGATGCCTTCTGTCTCCTCAGAACACACCTTTGCTTGTTCCCTCTGTCTGCCAAGTGTCTTCCCCAATGCCTTGCTTCCTTCTTCCCCGTGTTCTCACTCTCTCAGGGGCCCCATCTGTGTGCGGGTTGCACCTGCAGCTTCCTGGGGGCATCTAGGACATCCTGTCCTCCTCTCATCCTCAGCTCCTCTGCCACTGAGCTCCCATTCCCATTGTAAAGCCAGGATTTCCATCAGAGAATCCCCATTTTTCCCACCTTCTGGGTGGGCCATCCAGAAACTTCACATGCAGAACAGTGGGAGACAGAAAGCACCCAGTAAGTGGGTGCTGAATAAATGAATAAATGCAGCCCACGGCCAAGAGGGACTTGTGCATTGTGCACATATTAGATCTGTTCTTGGAGCGACTGCATTTGCTGTCCTCTGAAGCCTTGCACCTCTGTCTTGAACCTGCACTCGCCCCCACCATTCCAGGTTAGCCGATCTGTTTTGTAGCCAGGGGTCTTGATTCCTAGCAGAAGAAATCACTCTGCTCAGCTTACACGGATAACAAAGGTACTGGAAGAGTGTGGGATCTGGAAGACGTGGGGACCGAGGGCACCGGGGTTAGATTCCAGATAGACACGGAAGGTTCAGATGCAGGCACGGTGTTCATTCCCACGGTCATGCCACACCCATCACGCATGCCTGCTCCCTCGTCCCCACTCACTGGAGTCTCACGAGCTGCAGCCAGCCCTGCCTGCTGTGGAGGTCTTCCCTCATCACTCTGGTCTGCGTCTCTTTCTTTTCTATTTCCCATTGCAACTTATTTGTTTCTTCACATAAGGAGCCCATTCCTTAAGACAGGTCTTACACTTTTTAGATTCCCCCCACCAAGCTGGGCAGATGCTCCTGCCACGTCACTCTCCGAGGTCTTCATTGACTGACTGCACAGGGTGGCGTGGCCGTAGACCTATCTCTAGGTGAGGCCCACTCATCAACATTCGTCTTTCCTTTCTCCACAGCAGCAGAAATGGAGCTGGGTCCTGGAGGCCTCATTTTCCAGCCTCCCTTGTAGCTGGTTGTGACGTGTGGCTGTTATCCTGAGGGCAATGTCACTAGAAGCCTCTATGAGTTTCCGGGTCTTCCGGAGCAAAGCCCCACAGCCTGCAGGCTTCAACGACAGAAATATCTGTTCTCCCGGCTCTGGAGGCTGGAAGTCTGAGACCAAGGTGTCTGCAGGGCTGGTTCCTCTCCTTCCTTACAGACAGTGTCTTTTGCTGGGTCGTCCCACTCTGTGTATCTGTATCCTAATCTCCTCTCCTCATAAGGACATCAGTCGTATTGGTTTAGGGCCCACTCCTGTGACCTCATTTAACTTAATCGCCTCTTCAAAGGCCCCATCTGCAAATACAGTCCCATTCTGAGGTCCTGGGATGAGGATTTAATGTGAAAATCTTGGGGGGCAAAGCACTAACAAAGCAGTCTGTGCGATTTCCATATTGCTGGCCTAAGAGATCTCCTTCTTGGATTCCAGCTGCAGCCCTTCCTCCTGGCTGGAATGGCATCCACTGGGGTGGCCTTGGAAGCCGCGGGGTCAAGACGGCAGAGGCTCTGTCCACTGAGCTCTGTCCACTACCTGCCAGCGGGGACGCTCACCTCTGCCAGCTGTGCGAGTGGGAAGTACCTTCTTTGTTCTTTCAGCTGTGCTTTCGTTGGGGTCTCTTGTTAGAGGGGCTCCTCCTAGCCTAATGAAAACACCTGGTGCAAATGGAATAGGGAAATGTTCACAGGAGAAGTGCAGCTCAGGGTAACTGAATTCATTACCTGCTATTCTCTGAGTACGCTGGCAAAGGCAGGCAACATTGTAATGGCAATGATGCCCCCAAGCCATCTGTGTCTCCAATGAATCCTGGAAATAAATTGAACTGGCAGGAGAACATCAGACAGAAGGAAGTGCTTGACAGGAGCAGTCGTGGGTATATCTAAGCTTCCTGGAAATGTGCTATAAGTGAAGTTTTGTTTTCTCTTTTTCCCATTCTCCATAATTAAAATATTATGTTAAAATATTTTAATACATAAAAATATATGTAACATGTAAGTTCCAAAACATACTCATATAATGAACCCCTGGAACCAACTTCTCAACTAAGGACTGAAGTGTAGCCAGTAGCTTGCATGTACCTAGGAGTCCCATCCCTGTACTCCGCCAGAGGTGACCATGATTACCGCGGCACAATGATTGTGTCCGTTGTGTGTCTGGACTAGTGAGTGTTTGCTGCTTCTGAAAGACCATCAATATAACAAAGGTAATTTACAGCAAGAGGCACTTAAGGTTAATGGTGTAGCTCTTGGAAACACTCAGTGAAGACTTTGATGAGTGCTCTGGAATGGTGGGGAGGCACAGGGCCCTTAGAATAAGAAGCTTGTGTGTTTTTGTTTATACACTTTTGACTTCTAGAAAAGTTTACTTATTGTGCCTACATTGCTTCTCCAGTGCACTTCTGTTAGTGCTATGCAGAGCTGTTGAACCTTCTTTCTTTTCTTTTTGGCATCTCTTTCAAGATGAGAGATTCTGGCATCCACCCTACTGCTCAATTAATGATGATTTTTACCAATTTTAGAGATGCAAACAAAATTAGTAACTCTATTGTAATCTTTGAAATTTCACGTCACCTATCGGGAAAATGGAATTCTCCTTAGACTTGGCTTGCCTTCCCTGGCTGTGTGTTGATGAACATTGCAAATGCGTCACAGTTTGTAAACCCATTTCAAATCCATCACTTTAACGAACAGACGTTTTACAAATAAAGCAATAATCTCGCGAAATTACATGATGGGTCCTGATGTAGTGAGAGTCAGAGATTAGACCCAAAATCAAATGCACTCCCCTCTGTGATTTTTTTCCCTGCTGATGTTGACCCCCAGTTGGAGTGCTTGGTCAGCAGGAAGTATTCTGATGTTCTGGAGGGGCGGGAGTTGCCAGGGTGTATTAGTGTCTTGTGGCTGCTAAAGAAAGTACTATAAATTGGGTGGCTTAAAACAACAGAAGTTCTTCTCTTAGTCTAGAGGCTGGAAGTTGAAAGCATATCCAGGGTAGAATTGGAGGCGTCAGCAGGGCCGTGCTCCCTTGGGAGACTCCAGGAGAGAATCTGTTCGCTGTCTCTTCTGCTTCTGGGAGCTGCTGCCATTGCTGGGCTTGTGGCCGCATAGCTCCAGTGTTCAAGGCCTGGATCTTCACATCTCTCTCTGCCCCATCTTCTCATGGCCTTCTTCTCTGAGTGGATCTCTGTCAAATTTCCCTCTGCCTCCCTCTTAGAAAGACCCATGTGATTGCATTTAAGGCCCACCTAGATACCCACCCCGCCACCTGAAGATCCTTCATTTAATCATAGTCTGCAAAGCCCCTATTTACCACATAAGGCAATACTCACAGGTTCCAGAGATGAGGATGTGGGTGTCTTTGAGGAGAGGGAAAGATGAGAATGTGGGTGTCTTTGGGGAGGGAGAGATGAGGATGTGTGTGTCTTTGGGGAGGGAGAGAAGAGGATGTGGGTGTCTTTGGGGAGAGGGAGAGATGAGGATGTGGGTGTCTTTGGGGAGGGAGAGATGAGGATGTGAGTGTCTTTGGGGAGAGGGAGAGATGAGGATGTGGGTGTCTTTGGGGAGGGAGAGATGAGGATGTGAGTGTCTTTGGGGAGAGGGAGAGATGAGGATGTGGGTGTCTTTGGGGAGGGAGAGATGAGGATGTGAGTGTCTTTGGGTGGAGGGAGAGATGAGGATGTGGGTGTCTTTGGGGAGGGAGAGATGAGGATGTGAGTGTCTTTGGGGAGAGGGAGAGATGAGGATGTGGGTGTCTTTGGGGAGGGAGAGATGAGGATGTGAGTGTCTTTGGGGAGAGAGAGAGATGAGGATGTGAGTGTCTTTGCGGAGAGGGAGAGATGAGGATTTGGGCGTCTTTGTCGAGGGAGAGATGAGGATGCGATTTTCTTTGGGGAGAGGGAGAGATGAGGATGTGGGTGTCTTTGGGGGGAGGGAGAGATGAGGATGTGGGCGTCTGGGGGGGGGGAGAGATGAGGATGTGGGTGTCTTTGGGGAGTGAGAGTTGAGGATGTGGGTGTCTTTGGGGAGAGGGAGAGATGAGGCTGTGGTTTCTTTGGGGAGAGGAGAAGATGGGGATGTGAGTGTCTTGGGGAGGGAGAGATGACCATGTGAGTGTCTTTGGGGAGAGGGAGAGATGAGTTTTTCGTGTCTTTGGGGAGGGAGAGATGAGGATGTGAGTGTCTTTGGGGAGAGGGAGAGATGAGGATGTGGGTGTCTTTGGGGAGGGAGAGATCAGGATGTGAGTGTCTTTGGGGAGGGAGAGATGAGAATGTGGGTGTCTTTGGGGAGGGAGAGATGAGGATGTGGGTGTCTTTGGGGAGGGAAAGATGAGGCTGTGAGTGTCTTTGTGGAGGGAGAGATGATGTGGGTGTCTCTGGGAGGAGGGAGAGATGAGGATGTAGGTGTCTTTGGGGAGAGGGAGAGATGAGGATGTGGGTGTCTTTGGGGAGGGAGAGATGAGGATGTGGGTGTCTTTGGGGAGAGGGAGAGATGAGGATGTGGGTGTCTTTGGGGAGGGAGAGATGAGGATGTGTGTGTCTTTGGGGAGAGGGAGAGATGAGGATGTGGTTGTCTCTGGGGGGAGGGAGAGATGAGGATGTGGGTGTCTTTGGGGAGAGGGAGAGATGAGGATGTGGGTGTCTTTGGGGAGGGAGAGATGAGGATGTGGGTGTCTCTGGGGGGAGGGGAGAGATGAGGATGTGAATGTCTTTGGGGAGGGAGAGATGAGGATGTGGGTGTCTTTGGGGAGGGAGAGATGAGGATGTGGGTGTCTTTGGGGAGAGGGAGAGATGAGGATGTGGGTGTCTTTGGGGAGGGAGAGATGAGGATGTGGGTGTCTTTGGGGAGAGGGAGAGCCACCACACACAGTGAATCAATTCTTTAAAAAGCAAATTTCTTATTCGTAATCACGATAATAATCCTTAACAGCTATTTTGAAAGTTGGGACAATTTGAAAAGTTACTTTCCCGATGGAAGTGAGATTAGAATACTTTAGATGATAAACCAACCAAGGGCAAGAACACTGGAAAAAGGTAACTCTGGATTCAGGCAACAGACACACTAGACAGCCTTGGGAGCCCGTGTCAGATGGTACAATGCTGTGGCTGCTCACCTGGCTGAGGGCCACACACCTTTCAGGTAGCAGAGGTGCCTGAGAGACCCTGCTCCCCTAGTCTAGGCACATGCCTCCAGTCTGGACACACACCCGGGGTGGTCTGAGCAGGGGTCTGCTTGGCCTAAGCCAATCAGCAGTGCCCACCCCGTCTCTGGGAAGGGACCTGGGGAGGCTCAGCGGCGGAGTGCCCAGTGATCCTCCGCATGACGCTTGGACCCATCCCACCCAGGACAGAGGATGGTGGCCTGTGGACCGTGCACCCAAGGCCTTGGAGAGGGAGGGCTGGGGCTGGCATGGGAGGCATGCTTAGGGATCCTGTAGGGGGAGGGACTGCAAAACGGGGCTTGGTGTGGTTGGGATGGGGCTCAGGGCTGTGAGAGTGGCTAGGAGGTGTATTTAGGGCGGGGCTGGTAGGCAGGGCTAGGAGGTGTTTGGGGGTGGGGCCGTGCCCATGGCCAGGCTGTGCACAGGGAGCCCAGGTGCCTGGCTGTGGTTAGGGTGCAGGTTGGGAGGGTGTGATTTGGGCATGGGACTGGGAGGGGGTTTCAGGTCTGGGTCTGGTCGGAGGTCAGAGGTGGGGGTGGAGGTTGGGATCATGGGTGGGGCTGGTGCAGCTGGTGTGGTAAGGGCAGGGTCAGGGCCGGGACAGGGTCAGGGTTGGGGGAGAGAGGGGGGCACTGGGGTATCTCCCAGTTAACTCCCTTCGGTGGTACAGAGTGTCTTTGTTATCATTACCAGTCTTCAGGAGTCCCCATCACTGGCTCCCACCACGGTGAGATGTCTGTCCTGGCACATGAGTCCTGAAGTCGCCCCTGACTTGAGGTGACCTGGGCCAACTTTCAGCTTTCTGTCCAGGTGGAGGAGGGAGGAAGGAATCTCATACCATTACTCTATGCAGTAGCTCAGAGATAATATACTTAATTTTGTAGCTATATAAATCTGTGTGATAAAGACTCCAGAAATAGCAAGGACTCATGGCCGTAAGAACATCCTTTTAGAAACACTGAATGTGCATGCTTTCCACCTTCTCTGTGGTGTTGCAGGCCTGGCATTCTGGTGGCCAGTGTGCCTGCTTTCCTGGGGTTCCCTGCAGTCTTGTGGGTGCCTGCTGTCTTGGGGGCCCCTGCTGTCTTGGTGCCTGCTGTCTTGGGGCTCCCTGAGGTCTCGAGGGTGCCTGCTGTCTTGGGGGCCCCTGCAGTCTTGGTGGCGCCTGCTGTCTTAGGTGCCCCTGCTGTCTGGGGGTTCCCTGCTGTCTTGGGTGTATCTGCTTTCTTGGGGACCCCGGCCATGAGAGAATGTACAGAACCCCTTCTGAAAGGACCCAGGGCCCTGCACATGGGGCCTCTGCTTCTTGGGTGAGCAGGGGGCAGGGGCCCCATATGGTTGCCCCCTAGGAAGGCACAGCTTCTGGCGGGGTCTCCTCTCGCCTCCCTGCCACGTCTCCAGATGTTTAATGGCCCCCCACTGTAAGCATAAGAAACAAAGAAGGAGGTTTCTCTTGGGGAGTGTTTTGTGGGGCTGGGCAGGGTTTAAGTGACTGAGGGTCGAGTCTGCTCGGCCCTCTCCTCATGTGTGTTTCTGCAGCCACCACTGACCATGGAGCGAGAGTGGGTGGGCACAGACCAGAGCAGGGCGCAAATTCATCAGGGAATAGCCCGGGCTGGCTGCTTCTCAGCTTCCCCTGTTTGACAGATTTATCCAAGTAACTGCTAAGATCTATGCTGGGGTCGGAATGTGCCCTGCAGATTTCACGTGCTGAAACTTAATTGCCACCGTGATGATACTAGGAGGTGAGGCCTTTAGGGGTGATTAAGTCAGGAGGGCTCTGCCCTGGTGGGTGGGATTCGTGTTTTGTAAAGGAAGCTTCACGCAGGGTTTACCCCTTCGCTCTTTTGCTTTCACCACGTGAGGACACAGCGTCCCAGCCACCGTCCTGGAAGCAGAGATTGGGCCCTCTCCAGACACTCAACCTGTGAGAAGGAGGTTTCTATTATTACAGCTTACCCAGGTGGTGGTGTTTTGTTACAGCAGCAGGAACAGGCTAAGACAAGAGAAATAGCTCGAAAAACCACCCTCAACAGAGCACAGTCTTGAATTTGTTTCCTAATTGCTCTGGGTCTAATGGTCTATGGGCCTGAGCCTGGCCAAGCTCCATGGCTCCCCAGAGTACTTGGAGCCAGTGCCGGGGCCTGGTGGAGAGAGGGCTCCGTTGTGATCTGGGATTGTGTCTGTAAAGCTCCAGCCACCACTTCGTTCCCCATCTCAGATCCTGGTAACGTGACCTTCAGGGTTTTCAAAGCAGGGACAAAACTTGTGATGATGCATCTTTGTTCTTTTTTGTTTGTTTGTTTTTGAGACAGGCTCTCACTCTGTAACCCAGGCTAGAGTGCAGTGGCATGAACACGGCTCACTGCAACCTCCACCTCCTGGGCTCATGTGATCCTCCCACCTCAGCCTCCTAAGTAGCTGGAACCATAGGCGAGCACCACCACACCTGGCTAACTTTTTGTATTTTGGGGAGAGACGGGGTTTCACCATATCGGCCAGGCTGGTCTCGAACTCCTGAGCTCAAGTAATCTGCCTGCCTCTACCTCCCAAACACTGGGATTACAGGCGTGAGCCACCATGCCCAGCAGATGATGCACCTTTGACCAAAAAGCACTTCTGGGTAGAAGTCTGAGTGAGTCAGAGTTATGGAGTTAATTTTAATTCATCCACAGTAGTCAGGTAGCTGGAAAATTACCTGGGCTCTGTGGCCAGAGGGCTGAACTCCAGCCTAGGTGATAGATAGATGTCTGTTCCAGCTTTTCACATGTCTTTTTTCCATTAATAGAAGCAGTGGGAAGTCAACCAGACATTCAGCCTAGTTCTGGGGCTCAGGGATTCCTTTACTTGGGATGGTCTAGATTCTGGAAGGCCATTTTTAAATTTAATATTACAGAAAATACAGCCCCTGGTGGCCTTTCCACCAAATTGGAATATGAGTCCATCCTCTGTAGCTTTTAATCCAGGCACTCCTTTGATCTCTGCTCAGTTTGTTCCATAGGGTTGCTCAAAGGTTATCTATGTTAAAAATGTGTAGAGGCAAGTAACTATTCTTTAATCTGACCAGTGTTCAAGACTCAGACTGGCTGAATTTTGACCCCAGCTCTGCCATTTGCTGACTGTGTGACCTTGGGCAAGTTACTCAACCTCTCTGTGCCCTGTTTTCTCATCTTAAAATGGGAGTAATCCTACTTCATAGGTTATGATGAGGATTGAATGAGATAATACAGACAAAGGGTTAGAACAGTGCCTGACACGCATCGAGCCCCCAGTGAATGAAGCCGTGCTTGGGATTACTGTTGCCATGTTCAGTGTTACGCAGGACGCCTTGGCAGTTCTGGCCTCCACAGTAGCCGCCTTAGAAGTCACTGGAATGACCCATGGCTTAGATAAGACTTTCATCACCAGCACCTGCAGCACGCTTAGCCTTTAGCTTCCAGAACAAACACCGGTATTGCTTAGGGTACCCAGCAGCGGCGCAGATGCCCTGGCCGTCCACTTAGAGCCCTTTCCATCTGCTGACGGGACTCTTCTCAGCTTCTTCTGACATTCTTGGTTACACAACAGAGTACGCAGCTGAGGTTACCAGGTGCGCCTTAACATACGGGTCTTCAGAATCACTGGACGAGGGGTAGAAGCACCAGGAGGGGAGATTAGGTGGTACTTTGTTCTGCTTAATTCCAAGTTCTTGGTTCAGATCCAACTTTTCTTTATGTTTCCACCATTTACCTTCAACTAAGAATGTAATCCAACAGAAACATCCTTATTTTTGGTTCCTCATTCATTTGCTCATCCATTCAGCAAACATGTGCGTGCTGATTATCTCTACTAAGTAATGCAATAATGCATTGTGTTTATACAGCTGAAAGATCTATCCTGGTGATTTTGTTTTTAAACTAAGAACTGTCTGCTCTAAAGGGGAATTGAAGTGTTTATCTGCAGAGACAGACAGCTTCGTGCAACTCTGGGGCAGTTGATTCTGTGTTATCTTCATCATACTTGGCCTTTGTAAATAAAAGAAACCCAGGTGCCGTGGAGGAAGAGAGAGGCAGACACAGCGAGGCTGCAGTGTTAGGTATTGTTTATCACTCCAACCCAGATGCTTGAGAGTGAAGGGGGAGCAGCTAATCATTACACCCAGACAGAAGGCACAAGCTGGGACCGTCCCAAGCACAGAGGGCATATGGTCGCCCTGTACATAAAAGACAAAGGGTTTATGTTCCTAACATACAAATAGGCCCTGGAAGTTAGAAATAGCAACAATTAAGAATAAACAACCATGTAGAAAAATAGATCAGCAACCAGCACCCTCATCAATCAGCAGCCATCAACATAGAGACAAGATCCTTCATGAGCAAAGGAATTACTACTCGCTGACATCTCAGGTGATTGCTAGCCTTTTTTAGCAATAAAGTATTTTTAAATTAAAAAAATGAAAAATAGATCAGAAAATTAATCAGAAAAAGACAAATGGCTAATAAACAAATGACTAGTGATCAGAGAAATGCAAGATAAAAATCAGAAAACATTTTTACCTGTAGACTGGCAAAAAGTTAAAAGCTGCTCAGTATTGGCAAGGTTTATTAGTTCATTTTCACATTGCTATAAAGAAGTTTCCAAGACTGAGTAATTCATAAAGGAATGAGATTTAATTGACTCACAGTTCCACATGGCTGGGGAAGCCTCAGGAACTTACAATCATGGTGAAAGTGGAAGCAGGCACTTCTTACATGGCAGCAGGCAAGACAGAGAGAGAAAGAGAGAGAGAGACAGCAGGAAAAACTACCATTTGTAAAACCATCAAATCTCTTGAGAATTCACTCACTACCACAAAAACAGCATGAAGGAAAGTGCCCCCATAGTCCAACCCCACTTCCCTCCCTTGATTACAATTCAAGATAAGATTTGGGTGGGGACACAGAGCCCAGCCATATCACAAGGGTTCAAGGCTGTGTAATGGGGAAGTAAATAGGAACAAAATATTTGAAGGGAAATTTCACAGCATCTGTTAAAACTGAGTTATGCAAATGATGTAAGTTCAGAAATTTCCCTTCTAGAGCTCTAGCAGTAGAGATAATGAGTCAAGTTCCACAAGGATCTATGGACAAGTATCTATGCCTTGGCAATGCTGATTAGAGTGAACAACTGGAATCAACTTAAATGCTCTCAGAAGGAGATGTTTAAATAGTTTAAAATCCATTCCATAAAATTGCATGCTGCTAATAAGAGGAAAGAGATTGTCACACAAAGAATGACATAGGTAGTTTGCATCCGACAAACCATGCCTCTTCTGAGTCTCTCAGCCTTTCTGTCCCTAGAAACATTGGCCATTTGCTCACCGTGGAGACCTTCCTGACTGCATGCCCGGAGCCTCAGGTTCCTCTCGCCCTTTCTGGACACTCCCCAGTTGGAGGACATGGGAGCTGCTTCCTGTAGGAGTTGCCAAAGTGTCCAAGCAACACAGCTCAGAGACCAGGCGACATGACTCATGACTCCTGCAGCTCCAGCTGCATCTGATGGGAGGTAGGAGTGAGCAGCCAAAAAGATCTCTCTCGCCCTGCTTCCAATGGGCCGTTCTCAGGCATGGTTTTTCCATATGAACTGTGTGGAGATGCCCCTCTGGCTGAGCGCCTGGTCTGTATCTCTGTGGCTCGTAACGAAGCAGTGCTCAGCCTGCAGCGGTCTCAGCCTGCATGGTCTTCCCTGGCTTCCCTGCCTTGATGCCCTGTCCTCACCATGCTGCTCTGGGATGGCACCTTCCAAGGAAGTGTTAGCACTTAAGCCTTGCCTTGGGCTCTCTTTTCCTTTTTTTTTTTTTTTTTTTTTTTTTTTTGAGATGGAGTCTCGCTCTGTTGCCCAGGCTGGAGTTGTAGTAGCACGATCTTGGCTCACTGCAACCTCCGCCTCCCAGGTTCAAGCAATTCTCCTGCCTCAGCCTCCTGAGTAGCTGGGATTACAGGTGCCCACCACCATGCCCAGCTAATTTTTTGTATTTTTAGTAGAGACAGGGTTTCACCATGTTGGCCAGGCTGGTCTCAAACTCCTGACCTCAGGTGAGCCACCTACCTTTGCCTCCCAAAGTGCTGGGATTACAGGCGTGAGCCACCACGCCTGGCCTTGGGCTCTCTTTTCTAAGTAACATGGACTTAGCCACTTTCTCAAGGAGATTTCTAGTTCAACCATCCTACTTAAAATCACAGCCCACCTTCCCATCTGCCCTCCTAATTCTTCTCACTCTGCTGTACTTTTTCTTTTATGTCCACAGTACCTATCAGGTCCTAATTTACTATACCATTTACTTACTTATTAGCCTGGTGTTTACTGTCTGTTTCCCCCTGCTAGAAAAGAAGCTTCAACAAGGCAGGGACAGGCTAGGTGCAGTGGCTCACACCTGTAATCCCAGCACTTTGGGAGGCCAAGGCAGGTGGATCGCTTGAGCCCAGGAGTTAAAGACCAGCCTTGGCAACATGACAAAACCTTGTCTCCACAAAAAATATCCAAAAATTAGCCAAGCATGGTGGTGTGTGCCTGTGGTCCCAGCTACTTGGGAGGCTGATGTGGGAGTATCACCAGAGTCCAGGGAAGTCAAGGCTGCAGTGAACCGTGATTACACCACTGCACTCCAGCCTGAACCATAGAGTGAGACCCCATCTCAACTCACCAATATATCCCAAGTGCCTAGAACAGTTCCTGGAATGTAGTAGGCACTTATTGAACTCTCACTGAATACATGGATGGATGAATCTGTATGTTTGACTCATGATGATATATTGTTGAGTAAAAATCATCATTTTCAACATCCTATGATCATGGATCAGAGGACTTAATTAAGTCCTTAAGTTAGGATGTCAATACTACCCAAAGCAATCTACAGATTCAACATAATCGCTGTCAAAATCTCAATGACATTTTTTGCAGAAATTGAAAAAGTCATCCTAAGATTTATAGGGAAGTTCAAGGGACCCCACATAGCCAAACAAAATTGAAAAAGAACAAAGTTAGAGGACTTACACTTCCTGATTTCAAAATATATTAAAAAACTATATTATTGTAATCCCAGCACTTTGGGAGGCCAAGCTGGGCAGATCACCTGAAGTCAGGAGTTCGAGACCAGCCTGGCCAACATGGTGAAACCCCGTCTCTACTGAAAATACAAAATTAGTTGGGCATGCTGGTGCATGCCTGTAATCCCAGCTTCTTGGGAGACTGAGGCAGGAGAATTGCTTGAATCAGGGAGGCAGAGGTTCCAATGAGCCAAGATCATGCCACTGCACTCTGCCTGGGTGAGAGAGTGAGACTTCATCTCGAAAAAAACAAAGCTATAGTAAGAAAAACAGTATAGTACCAACATAAAGAGAGACATATAGACAAATGGGATAGAAGAGAAAGCCCAGAAAACTCTCGTGTATATGGTCAAAATGATGATCTTTGATCTTTCACAAGGATGTCAAGACCATTTAATAAGAAAAGGACAGTTTGTCCAACAAATGGTGCTAGAAAAACTGGATATTCACAAGCAAAAGGATAAATTTGGATCCTAACTTTATACCACATACAAAAATGAAGTCAAAATGGGTTAAAGACCTAATCATAAGACCCAAAACTAAAAAAGCCTTGGAAGAAAACATAGGAGAAAAACTTTGTGACACTGGACTTGGCAGTGATTTCTTGGATATTACACCAAAAGCACAGGCAAAAAAGCAAAAATAGACAAATAAGACCACATCAAACTTAAGAAACTTTTATGTATCAAAGGATACAATCAACAAAGTGAAAAAACAACCTATGAATGGGAGAAAATATTTGTGAATCATATATCTGATAAAGGGTTAAGATCCAAATATATAAAGAACTCCTTCAATTCAACAATAAAAAATTAAGTAACCTGATTTAAAAAATGGGTAAAGGACTTGAATAGACATTTCTACAAAGATGATATAAAATGATCAACAAGACTATGAAAAAAGGCTCAGCATCACTAATGATCAGAGGACTGCAAATCAAAACCATAATGAGATACCACTTCACGCCCATTAGGATGGTTACTGTCAAAAAAAAACCCCCAAAAGACAACAAGTGTTGGTGAGGGTGTGCAGAAGTTGGAACCCTTGTATGCTCTTGGTGGGAATGAAAAGTGGTGCAACCAGTATAAAACAGTATGACAGCTTCTCAAAAAATTAAAAATAGAACTACCATATGATTCCGCAATCCCACTTGTGGGTATATATCCAAAAGAATTGGAAGCAGGGTCTCAAAAAGATATTTGCATACCCATGTTCATAGCAGCATTATTCACAAAAGCCCAGAAGTAGAAGCAAATCAAATGTCTGTTGGTGGGTGACTGGTTAAATACAATGTGGTGTATACATACAATGGAACACTATGCAGCCTTACAAAGGAAGAAATTCTGACATGCTACAACCTGGATGAACCTTGAGGATGTTATGTTATGTGAAATAAGCCAGTCACAGAAGGACAGATACAGTATGATTATATAGGATATCTAGATGAGTCAAATTCATAGATAGAGAAAACAGAATGATGGTTACCAGGGAATAGTGGAAGGTGGCAAAGAGGAGTTGTTATTTAATGAGTATACACTTTCAGATTTGTAAGACAAAAAAGTTCTGAAGATATGTTTCCCAGTACTCTAAATATACTTAAAAATACTGGACTATACACTTGAAAATTGTTAAGATAGTAAAGTTTATGACAGGTATATTTTACTACAATAAAAACAGCACAGGCTTTCTTTCAATAAAAACAGCACAGGCTTTCTTTCTTTCTTTTTGAGACAGTCTCGCTCTGTCACCAGGCTGGAGTGCAGTGGCGCGATCTTGGCTCACTGCAACATCTGCCTCCTGGGTTCAAAAGATTCTCCTGCCTCAGCCTCCTGAGTAGCCGGGACTACAGGTGCATGCCACCATGCCCAGCTAATTTTTGTATTTTTAGCAGAAGATGGGGTTTCACCATGTTGGCCAGGATGGTCTCGATCTCTTGCCCTCATGATCTGCCCACCTCAGCCTCCCAAAGTGCTGGGATTGCAGGCATGAGCCACTGCACCCAGCCAAATTATTTTTACCATTATAGTGCATCCATTATTCTGATTTTTTGTGTGTGTGTATTGATGAAGACCTGGAAGAATACACACCACATTGTAAATAGTATTTACCCCGGCGGAGAAGAGAATTCCAGTTTTCACTTTATCCATTTTGATATTATTTGACGTTTCCAGAAGAAAAGTATATTACTATTGCAGTTTTAAAAACTATAAACATAAGTTTAACTATTTGAACAGTTTAAATAGGTAAAGAGTTAGATGATACCTGGCTACCTAACTAAAGACAAATGCATGCCTGGGAGTGCTGAAGCTCAGTACATTTTTCCATCTTAAGAAGAATTGTTATTTTTCACTTCTAGCACCCTGAGCCCTTAGGCTTCAGGGTTATAATTCTAGAAATCGGAATTAGGGTTCTGTAAATGTGAGCTGTAAAATTCTCCTGATGCGCCTTTCTGTGGATTGACATAGACACGAAGCAAAGCAGGGCAGAGCGAATAATAAGAATAAAGAGATGATGATGATGATGGTGGAAATCCTGATAGTGATGATTATGATGGTGGTGATTATGATGATATGATGATGTGATTATGATTGATGATGGTGATAGTGATGGTGATGGTGATGATGACGATGATGGTGATAATAATGATAATGGTGGTGATAGTGATAGTGATGACAATGATTATGATGGTAATAGTGATGGTTATGATGATGGTGGTGATGATGATGATAGTGATGTTGATGATGACAGTGATGGCATTGATGATGATGGTGATGATGAAAGTGATGGTGATGATGATGGCGGTGCTGATAGTTATGATGGTGGTGATGATCATGATGGTGATGATGGTGATGATAATGATGATGATGATGATGGTGATGGTGATAGTGATGATGAGATGGTGATGATAGTGATGGTGATGGTGATGATGATTATAATGATGATGATCATCCTGATAATAGTGATGATGGTGGATGATATGATGGTGATGATGGTGATAGTGATGGTGATGATGATGATGATAGTGATGTGATGATAGTGAAGGTGATGGTGATGATGATGGTGACAATGATGGTGATAATGATGGTGATGATAGTGATGGTGATGATGATAGTGATGACAATGGTCATAGCTAACATTTATTGAGCTTACACTCTTGTCAGGTAATCACAGCCCCATGAGGAAGGTACTATTATTATTCCCATCTTACAGAAAACAAAAATGGGATACTGAGAGGTCATGAGCCCAAGCTCATGTAGCTATGAAGGGATGGAGCCCTGGACTTGAGCCTGGTCTCAGGAAGGATGTCCCAGCTCTCTCTTTCCTTGTCTCCACTGTAGGACTTGACCTGAGGCTTGCAGAGGCACTGAGGAGGCCTCCTCAGCTGAGAGAGGGAAGGAGTTAGCCAGGTAAATAAAGCAGAGCACTCTGGGACTAGGATACCTTCAGGCAGAGGGAGCAGGCCTCATGGTCCTGTGCCAAGGGTCTAGTCATAGCACCCCAAAGCTCTGGGGAGACACCCTCAGAACCCTGGAGGGCAGTTCGATGTACCTGCCTTCCAGTAGCCACAGGACTTCAGTTATCAGGAAGGTCTAGGGAGACAGGTAAGGCTCCACTGCAGAAGGGCACCCACCTGCAGGGACAGGCACCAGGACCAGTGCACTGCAGGGTCTAATTATGTGAACTGGACACACGGGGCTCACAGTGAGAGCACAACAGGGTTAGGTCTCCCTCATTAAAAGATCACAACTGGGTGCCCTAGTGCAGGGGATGGAAGACAATGGGGAGTGCAAGGCACAGTGGCTGGAGGCAGGCAGGGCAAGGGCACTGGAGCTTCTGGGCTGTGAAGTGGTGGTGGGGAAGGAGTGGATGTGGACAAGTCCGAAGACACTCTGGTCTCTGATGTGACTGCGTTCCAAATAACAGGGGGCATTCCAGCCACAGAGTCCACAGTGGGAGTGCCCTTTGGGCCCCCTGGGAAGGAAAGCTGCTGGGCCATGGCCCACAGGGGAGGGCCGGCTGCCAACCTTGCTTGAGTCTGAGTGTGGTGCCCCCAAGGCCCACGTGCCTCTGCTTTCGGTTCTTTCTATTTTGTTTGTTTCCTTGAGTCGGTTGCGTAGGGGCTGGCTGCTGAAAGGAGGTGGACTGATCTGCTCAGCAGGGGAATTTGACACTGGGTGTTGAAATTCTGCTGTTTAGTGCTGATTTTCATCTGAGCCAAGTATGTTTACACAGGACTAGCAAACTTTCCCCTGCTTGCTAAGGAGAGCCCTTCAGCAACTGTCTTCCATGGCCCTGGTTCTCCGTGTCCTGGTGTCCTCACCCTGGGTGGAAATAAGTGCTTCCACATGAGGACATTTTCCAAATAACAGAATCTTTTGCTTCAAGTAGTAGACTCTTAGATTTTAACCATTTTTAATGGAACTATTTCTGAAATCCTTTGCGTCTTTCTCCTGCCTTACATAGAACACCCTGATGACGAGCGTACCCTGAGGCCATCAGGAGCCTCTGCCTCCCATGCTCTGCCCCCTGCCCTTGCTCAGGCCTCAGCAGGCTTCACCTACACCCACTGCAGCTGCGCATTCATGCCATGGATGGGGCGTCTCTCCCCACCTCCCTCGTTGCCCGCACAGTTGTTGAGGGAAGTTCTGGGTGCAGAGCCGCCTCTTTTGAGGCTCCTCCAGACAATTATCTCAGAACCTATAATTGTGTCCACACTCCTTGGGAAGCAGGGGCGTTGCAGCTGCCCTTTCTTCCTTCCTGTTTGAAGCTGGACACCCAAGCGGGCTTGATGCCTCCTCAGGATGCATGGTCTTCAAGCTGGGACTGAGGTCGTGGTGCATTCTTAGTCCCCTGGGGCTGCCCCAAGAAAGTACCGCAGACCACCTGGCTTAAACACCAGACATTTGTTGTCACACAGCTCTGGGAACCAGAGGTCTGAGCTGGAGGTATGGGCTGTGCTTGCTTCCTTCAAAGGCGCAGGGAAGAGTGTGTCCCAGCCTCTCCCCATCTGTGGCAACGGCAGGCATTCCCAGACTTGCAGCTGCACCTCTCGATCCTCTGTCTTCATGTGGTATTCCTTCTGTGTCTCTTCATGTCGTCTGCCTCTGTGCGTGCCTGTCCAAGTTTTCCCCTTTTATAAGGACCCTAATTTCTTCATCTTAAATTGCTTAATTTTGCAAAGATCCTATCTCCAAATAGCATCACATTCTTTGACATTGGAGGTTAGGACTTGGACATATCTTCTTGTGGGGGAGGACACAATTTAACCCATAACACAGAGTGAAGAACATGAGATCCCAGAGCAATATGACCCAGGATGGACAAACTCCCAGCCTGTGGATTCAACACAGGAGGCACGCTGACACTGACGGGACGCTTCTCCCAGCTCCACTTTCTTCCTACTGCCCAGAGAGCCAAGGGGACACTAAATTCAGGTGCTAGGTAGGCTAGCACCTGAATTTGGTGGGTGGTTATAGGCTATTTTAACTTAAAAATTGGTTTAATAATGCTCAGCACCTGAACGTTTAACAGCCAACCTCCCTCTCTCTCCCCCTCTCTTCCTTTTGTTTTTATTCTTTCATTTCTTCATTCATAAATTTCTTTTGAATATCTAGTATGGAGAAAACCTGGGGTTACTAAGATGAAACAGTGTCCCTAAAGCATTTTATTTTTCATTATTATTACTTTTTATTATACTTTAAGTTCTGTGTTACATGTGCAGAACGTGCAGGTTTGTTACATAGGTATACACATGCCATGGTGGTTTGCTGCATCCATCAACCCGTCACCTACATTGGGTATTTCTCCTAATGTTATCACTCCCCCAGCTCTCTGGCCCCCGACAGGCCCCAGTGTGTGATGTTCCCCTCCCTGTGTCCATGTGTTCTCATTGTTCAACTCCCAATTATGAGTGAGAACATGCAGTGTTTGGTTTTCTGATCTTGTGATAATTTGCTGAGAATGATGGTTTCCAGCTTCATCCATGTCCCTGCAAAGGACATGAACTCATCCTTTTTTATGGTTGTATAGTATTCCATGGTATATATGTGCCACATTTTCTTAATCCAGTCTATCATTGATGGACATTTGGATTGGTTCCAAGTCTTTGCTATTGTGAACAGTGCCACAATAAACATACATGTGCATGTGTCTTTATAGTAGAATGATTTATAATCCTTTGGGTATATGCCCAGTAATGGGATTGCCGGGTCAAATGGTATTTCTGGTTCTAGGCCCTTGAGGAATCGCCACACTGTCTTCCACAATGGTTGAACTAGTTTACACTCCCACCAACAGTGTGAAAGCGTTCCTATTTCTCCACATCCTCTCCAGCATCTGTTGTTTCCTGACTTTTTAATGATCACCATTCTAACTGGCATGAGATGATATCTCATTGTGGTTTTGATTTGCATTTCTCTGATGACCAGTGATGATGAGCATTTTTTCATACGTCTGTTGGCTGCATAAATGTCTTCTTTTGAGAAGTGTCTGTTCATATCCTTTGCCCATTTTTTGATGGGGTAGTTTGTTTTTTTCTTGTAAATTTGTTTAAGTTTTTTGTAGATTCTGGATGTTAGCCCTTTGTCAGATGGGTAGATTGCAGAAATTTTCTCCCATTCTATAGGTTGCCTGTTCACCCTGATGATAGTTTCTTTTGCTGTGCAGAAGCTCTTTAGTTTAATTAGATTCATTTGTCAATTTTGGCTTTTGTTTCCATTGCTTTTGGTGTTTTAGACATGGAGTCTTTGTCCATGCCTATGTCCTGAATGGTATTGCCCAGGTTTTCTTCTAGGATTTTGATGGTCCTAGGTCTTACGTTTAAGTCTTTGATCCATCTTGAGTTGATTCCCCAAAGCATTTTAAGTCTCCAGAAGTGTAACCAGGATCTCCAGTGAACAGGTAGATTTCTGACAGCTCCTATTTGGGCAGGAACCTGCTTTGCACACTGCTGGGCTCCCAGAGCACAGCATGATTCCTGGCACACAGTAAGTGTTCAAGAACATTTCCCCCACAGTTTCAAAATGAACAATCAAATAATTGCAAATACCTGTATGTGGAGCTTAGGAAATGCAACAATTTCATTCAGGAGAAACCTTAGGAAAGGGCTTTTCCATGTGCCCAGCCTAATAAAAGGACTCACGATTTATTTCCAGTCCTGGCAAGATTAATACGGTGCAAACTCTCCCTCCTGGTGGATGCGTTAAACTCTGAAACGGTCTTCCACATAATTTGCTGGCATGCTGACCTTTCTTCAGGCAGCTCCTACAGCTGGCTGGATGTTTGAGGAAGACATGAAGAGCAGTGTGTGATGAGGCAAAGGCAGGAAGCCCCAGAGCCGGCCCAGCAAGCCGGGCTTGTGGAGGGGGATTGATTACACGCAGGCTCGCACACCACTCCTGGGCTGGCAAGGACAGGGAACAGGCGGTAGGAAGTGGCTTTTTAGGAGCAAGGTTGGTGCAGGTCCGTGGACACTGCTACCCTCCTGACCCTGGGATCTTTCTCTCGCAGTCATCTGCTCACATGCACCCTGCCCTAGCTGGGTGTTTGCAACTAACGTGATTGATGCAGAATGAGGAGAAAAGGGGAGGCCAAATGTCCACATTAGCCTGGGTCAGCAGGCCCCTGGGCACTAAAGAAAATAGGGATGGGTTTGAAAGCAGTTGATGGCAAATGAGACCTAATTTGAAGGGCAGGGACAGATATCACATACCGAAGCAAGCAGCCTTCCTCCTTGAAAAGATGGAATTTCTGAGGAATCAGTGTGTACCCGGGAAGGGCAGGCTGGCAGGTGGGAATGGGCGAAGGCTCTGAGGGATTCAAGGACTCTGTACTGGTGCTGCCCGTGGGGTGCTTCCTCCTGGGCCTGTGGGTGTCACACTGGCCACCCACAAGCAGATGCCGGGCACCAGTGCAGTGGGGCGGGAGGGTGTGGACGGTTCAGCACACTTCCAACCCCATTCCTGGGAAAAAGAATCCCTAATCCTGTAACAGCTCGTATTGGTGTTAAAACAAATCCTGCCACTGAAACTCATCCACTCTACTTGGAGGAGTCCTCCCTGGATCTTGACCCAGATTTTCATTGTATGATTGATTCTAACAGCTTTATTTATCTCATTCCCCACAGATTGGAGATCACAAATCAGAAGGGGACTCAAGGGCTGTTGGCAACAGGATGGGACTGGGGACAGCCCATGTGCCTGCCTCTGTCATGATAGGCACCCAGAAATATTTCCTGGATGGCCAGTGACCAAGTGGGGGATGTCATCTCTTCACACGCTTCCAGCACACACGTGTGATGAAGCAGGATCCAGGCTGTGGCGAGGCACCAGGATAGGACAAGCAAGGAGGCGGCTCCTCTCTGCCGGGAATCTGGCCTGCGGGAGGAAAGCAGCCTGACAGTGCCCACTCTGGTGGCCACTGTGACAAGGGCTCTGCAGCCCGGAGGAACTCTGGGAGGTTTGATGTGAAGAGGAGAGCCAGGGATGACCCTTTGGTGAGGTCTGAGGGATGAACTGGAAGACACCTATGATTTTAAATGAAAAACTTGCCTGAGAGAAGACACAGAAAAAAATACGAAGAGCTAGGTTCTGATGAGGAAATTACTTCTGTGGACCCAGCGCTTTTGACTTCATCTTCCTTCTGTTCCTGAACTTGGGAACGTGGAGAACAATGAGGAAAAAAGGGTGTCAAAGCACTCAGAAAAATTAAGTGTCGAATACGTGGAAATAGTAATAAAAAAACCACTTTTCATGTTATGTGACCATTTGTCTTGAAGACTACAAACGTAGACTGGCACTACCATACCTAACGCACGATCTCAGCCGTTTATTCTTCCCTGAGAAAACTGGGGCAAGAAGAGAAAGTAACATTTATTGAGAGCTTATCTTGTGCCAGGCACTATTAGGTGTTTTTATAAATGCTCAGGGAAGCCATTCTTCAGGTATGAATCTTACCAAGATGTATAAAGTCTGCAGGGCACTATGTTTGGGTATTAGGACTTGGATCTATTTCATGCACCTTTTTCTTTGCATATTTTGACTACATTTAGGGATCAATATGCAATCCCTCCTGTGACTAATTTATTGCTTACAAGCTCACCTCAGTCCAAGAGTAAATAAAATGGTGGATTAGTGAGGACTAGGTCAGCTTATTGCATAATATACATTAAGGCTAAATTTTAGTATCTTTATTAATATTTTACAGCATTAACACTTTTCAAAGAGAATATCCCTAGAAGGGTATGCTAAAGTTACATTATTACAAAGAGATGATCTGAAACTCTGAGAAAGTGAACATTCTTAGTAAAAGGTCTGTTTTAACAGGTAAAGTAGAAAAGGCAAGTTTAGATTTATAATTGCTCCCTTCTCTCGTTTCTTTTTACCACCAGGATAAAGGAAATGTCTATAATTCAAGGATAGGGAGAGTGCCAGGTCACCAAATGATTATATCTAATTCATTTAAACCAATCTGCCGGAAATCTTGCTTAGGTTAAGATCACAGGTGGCTTTTAAAACTAGCCAAACAAACATCTTTGAATCTATCTTGAGTTCCTATTTACTCAGCCTTGCTCATTCAGTTGAAAAGACGTGAACAAGGAAATCTTCTGTAAATTACACACCTTACCCTTAATGAAATGGTTTCATTCCATCACTTGCTCAATAGATCAGAAAAATTCCAGGAAACGTTTAACCTCCAAAACTTATTCTAAAGCATGAATAGGCCAGACGCCGTGGCTCACGTCTGCAATCCCAGCAGTTTGGGAGGTCGAGGCGGGCAGATCACTTGAGGTCAGGAGTTCGAGACCAGCCTGGCCAGCATGGTGAAACTCCATCTCTACTAAAAATACAAAAAAATTACCCAGGTGTGGTGGTGAATGCCTGTATTCCCAGCTACCTGGGAGGCTGAGGCAGGAGAATGGCTTGAACCCAGGAGGCGGAGGTTGCAGTGAGCCAAGATCGCACCACTGCACTCCAGCCTGGGCAACAGAGCAAGACTCTGTCTCAAAAAACGAATAAACATGAACTTAGACTAGTTCAGCAGGCATTCCTATACTTGATCCACATAAATTGGGTTAATCTCAGGCAAACCTCAAGTCTCTGTAATGAGGGAAATGTTTTTATCATGAGATCTACCAGTTTTTCCATACATGGATGTTTCATGTTTTAAATGTAGTAGAAACCTATTGGTTTGGATCTGTGTTATAAAATGGATTGGTACATATAAGGTAAGGCCTTTCTCTGCTAGTACTGACATGCGATTTCACAACTACAAGTAATGTGAAGCCTGCCTAGCATTAATGTTCCTGGTGCTCAACGCATCTCTTCAGTTCTCATCCCATCGTGATAACCTGTGAGTGCAAGTAACTCCAGCCACGCCGGCTGGCAGCAGGGAAGCTGCCCCTGTGACAGGCCAGGCATGCCCGCTCCTCCTGCCTGAAAACCGGGTGCCTGTGGTGAGGAGGGGTAAGGTGGCAGGTTCAATTCAGCTCGTGCTGCACTTAAAACTTTCTACCATAAGAAAAACACATACTGTTGACCCTTAAACAACACAGGGTTTGAACCTGTGGGTCCACTTATATACATGGAGCTTTTCCAACCAAACATGGTTTATTTGCTGAATGTGAAACCCACGTATACGGAGGGCTGACTTTTAGTGTACGCAGGTTCCGTAGGGCCAAGTGCCAGACTTGAGTATGCAGATTTTCGCATACGTGGGGTATCCTGGAACCAATGTCCTGTGTATATTGAAGGATGATTCAAATACTTCCCAAGAGGTTGTGTCAAAATTCAGTAAAATTTGAAGAACTGCAAAATATTTCTCCATTACAAATTCTAACATCCTACACAGAGACCACCACCCCAACTGTTTTTTAAAAAGCAAACATAAATACAACACTTGGTTTTGAACCTTTAATAAAAGTAAAAAATGAATGCAAAAAGAACACAATGTTGAAAACTTAGTATGAATGTGAACCTCACTAGATGTTCAAATCTGGTAGAGTGCAAATTTTGTTCATACTATTTTACATTTTTACAAACTCAAATCACTTTGGTTCATATATTTTCTATAAACTATTGGCAAAAAAATCCTCAAATTTACATTCTTTTGGCTACATTATTTCTAACAGATATAGATTTACTTCCGGTTTCGGAGAGAAAGACTTATTGTGTGTGCGTGATCAAGTCTGTTTTAAAGATTCACTCGCTGCTTTCATCTAATAACTTCTGGTTTTTCATAAAATGCTGACATCTTCATTGGAAATTTTTTTCATGTAACTGTTTTCATTTTCAGAAAATATATAAGGGGGTCATTCCAAAGTTCAGAATGATCCTATTTTTTTAAAAAACAAAATTCCTGTAAAACAAATTAACTCCAGGAACTTAAAATTTACTCCAAGACATTTCCCTCAAAACAAAGCAAAAAACCCCAGCAAAGATCGTTACATCACAAAACCAAACACAAAGACCAGCGCTCACAGGCAAGTTCCTCTAAGCTTCCATTCTGCTGACTGGTGGCTTCCATTTAAAAGGAGTCTTTTAATCAAGCCACTTTCACAGAATTTAAAACAAACCAAACACATGTAAATTGCAAAATACAAAAAGGTAAATTTATAAGTAAAAATGACCAAACCCACAAAACTGGAGTATTTCGAAGGTTGAGGGTTCAGTGGAGGGTGTAACACGAAAGGAACTTCACAACTGAAAGAAATCATTGCCGAGTTTCCTCCAGGCAGCACTGAAATGAATGGAGAACCTTCTCTCGAACATCTCACACGTTAAAAAAAATAAATATTTAAGAGATACAAGGCTCAGATTGGTTTTCATATACATTGCACTTGAAGTTTAAGACCCAATACTTGCAAATTAGGTCTGGTATGGTCTATGCCATTAAATGAATACATTGTGCTCACCAATATCATTGACTAGAAACACCACACGTTTAATGCAGTGCCATATGCACTCTCCTTTTTACAAGGCAATCACAGATTGCAAATTCCATAGGGCTGTGGCAAAAAACAGTCATCTCTATTCTGTAGTAACAAACAAACAATTTTGGCTCACTAAGATTGAAATACATGGCAGACAGGTATTCATTCTTAGATGACTATGGATTTCGAAATAAACTTCATAAACTGAGGTGAAAATTCCAATATATCGCAGTGTGGGAACCAAGACTTTTCATTGCCTTTTGCTCAGTAAGATTGTCTACACAAACTGCCACGGGAGGAATGACAAGCAGTTGACCCACTGGTGATACACACACGTGTGACCATGTAAACACGCCACTGCAGGACGGACGAGCGTGACCGTGAAGCGTGGCCACGCCGCGACCCCACTTAGAGTGTGACCTCTCTATAATCACTGCTGCTTTTCTTGTTTTGTTTTTTTTTTTAAACACAGCCCTATTTTTAAAAATCTTTTGGATAAATATTATTCCTATTACACCATACTTCATGTTTGTTAAGCACCATCAACCTACCTCCTTTGGGCACTGACACAAAACTGCGGGTTGGTAATTGAGTCTTAGTTCAAGGCTTTGAAATATGGCAACTTGTTTTAATCACATGAATGAAATCGAATACTTGGGAAGCTGCCACCTGCCTGAACCCACGTAGCCTGGGCAGAATGCTCCAGGGCACAGACAGGCGCCAGTGCGGGCAGTCAAGGGAAGACTTCAGGGTAAGTCATCATTCTCCACCTCCCTATTCTAGACTAGGTGAAGAGTTTTTTCCAGGAGTCATTTGTACAGTCAGCCCGATCTAAATAGATTACTTAAGAAAAAAGATAATCTTTGTCATAATCCACAGTCAGATTTTCTTCCAAAATCTTCCTTGCTCTCAGAATCGGTGGTTTTGAAGACTCAATCACTATGGGGCTTTTCAGGAACACCCTATGTGTAGAAAGGAAAAAAAAAAGGAAAGAGAAAATTAGCACTAAATGTATAAATATTTTAATTACCAATTAAGTAGGTCCTAACATGGGAAAGATTGACACTTTCTTTGACTGAAGCAACAAGATTGAGAGGTGGGACATGTGCAGAGAACTGGAGACCGAGGCCAGCTCTCCCAGCTCCCCTGCACCGTCTTCATGGCTCTGGCCCCGTGAGCCACAGCTCTCACCTGCAAAATTAGGATAATTCTCTGCCTCAGGTGAAATTACGCTGCTGAGGCCCTTATATAAAGCCTGTTATATAAGTGTAAGATATTGGTGAAAGTTTAACTAAATTAATATCTATATAAAGGAAACACCCAATTTTATCAAAGCATGGTGATGCTTAGGGTATGATAGGTTCCTGAAAGTTCTAACTGCAATTTAAGGGATTGAACCTTTATCTGAAGGGAGGTTTCTGCCACAAACCTTTATTAGTATCTGATGCCTGTGTTATAACCCACCTTACCAGCAGTTTGTTGAAACAGACATTGGAAATAGGTCATGCTTTGTAATACTGAAGCTCTGTGTGCCCTCAATTCACACAGAGCTTCACAGTTGGGAAATCCTTTCTACATGTTCTTCCTCATCTGACCCTCACAGAGCTTCTGAGAGGTAGACACTACAGTTACTACTATGACCAGGCACCTCAGGGTAAATTCTTAATGGAGAACAGTATTTCACTGATGAAGAAGCAAAGCCAGAGAGATTAAATGACCTTCCTGAGGCCACGGAGCTTCTGCTAAAGGGCAAAAGAGAAACCTCCATACAGAATTTTTTTCCCTCAGAATCGTGACTTCCCACGTTACTTAATTGCCCTCCACTCACTTTAAGAGGAAGGAGCTGAGCTCCTCACCTTCAGCAATGACGGAGATTACTCATCCAGAAAACAGCAAGAGCCTCTCATCTGAACAGACAGGTAAGAAAGTCATGAGTCTGGGTTGAGTCACCCAGGTATGCCAGTTACTACCCTGGGGACACACACAATAAGACCTTCTAGGAAACATACATGCTTTTAGGAATTGATCATGTGAAAGCACTGCCAATTTTTAGATATGAACACTGGGAGGGTTCTATACAAACTGCGGTGAGAAAACAAAAGAGCAAACTCTTGGCAGCAACCTGGAAAGAAAACTGGTCATCACATTTGACTCCCTGTTCACTAATGTGCTGATAAATAAATGGGAAGTGGACTTTTAGAATCCCTGGTCGACAGAGGCCACAGTGAGGCCTGGCAAAGACGCCAGAGACGAACGACAGCCAGCCCGGGCGGACCTGACACGTGGCACAGGGACTTCCAGCAGTGTTGCCTAATGGTGGCACATTGTAAATGGCAACCCAGACACCAACACAGGCTGCTGTAAACCTGCTTCCAGGGTGAAGGCAGGTGCGAGCTATGTGTTGAAAGGGCAGTGTGGTATGCTAATGAGAAGCACGGTGCCACGTCGACCTCTGCCACCCACTTGGCCAAGTTGTTTAATCTTCCTAAGCTGCAATTTCCCCTTTTAAAAATGGGCTAATAATAGTTTCTACTTCAAAGACTTGTGTTATGAGGACTAAACTGGCTAACAATGGAAACGCTCAGCACAATGCCTCCTGTGCAGCAGTAAGAGCCCAACAAATGTAAACCCTCAATAACAATAATAGTATTATTATCATTAGCAGCTGAATTGGGTCAATCAAAAACAGGAACGGCAAATCAAATCCCAAGCTGACACTGAGGTGGGCGGGACTCTGCCTCCAGGTGGCCCAGTGGGGCCGGGCAGTGGCAGCAGGACAGGCTTGATTGCTGTTGGCAGTTTGCAGCTTACTCTTGAGAAAGGACTTGAAGCTACAAACAGCAACAACTACAAGTTCTATAAATGATGGTTACAGACTCATTTTCTTTTAAACATACAGGCTGGGCCGGGCGCGGTGGCTCATGCCTGTAATCCCAGCACTTTGGGAGGCAGAGGCAGGTGGATCACCTGAGGTCAGGAGTTCGAGACCAGCCTGGCCAACGTGGCGAAACCCCGTCTCTACTAAAAACAGAAAAATTAGCCAGGTGCGGTGGTGGGCGCCTGTGATCCCAGCTACTTGGGAGGCTGAGGCAGGATAATCATTTGAACCTGGGAGACGGTTCAAATGCAGTGAGCCAAGATTGTGCCACTGCACTTTAGTCTGGGTGACAAAGCAAGACTCCGTCTCAAAAAAAGTAAAAATAAAAACAAACAAAAAGCAAACAAAAAAACCGTAACAGGCTGATAACAAATGTTTCTGCTGTATTTTCGGACACAAAGGACAACGGCATGTGTGGGGGGAAATACCACATAGAAAAAGCTAGGAGACCATATAACTTGAAGCAAAGCCAACTTGTAACTTTTGAGCATGGTTATTCTTGCAAGTAACTATGTTTCTTCTTAAGGGAGGGAAGCATAAGTTAGAACAAAGGCATCTGAAGAGAACTGAGACAGCTAAGAAGGAGAGGGTGTGGAGTGCACTGGGCAAAACCATCAGCACCAAACACAGACCTCAAATTACCCTGGATCTGGGCGGGTCTGGTCCCGGTGCTGAACTGAGCCTCGGAATCTCTTCACCTTCAGACTGTCAACAACTTCACTCTCGTCATCTCCCTTCACAAAGCCTTACTTGGTGTAGGTTTCAACCTTAAACCAATAGCTCTTAGACACTATCCCTGGAACATTCAGCCACTTCCATTTTGTGAGTCAACAGTATGACAAGAGTGGAATGTGGGGAAGGCTGCCCTGGGAGAAAACACGCACCACGAATGCAACCTGGGGCACAGCCTGAGGAACGGATGCAGCAGGAGGGAGGGGACTGCACTGTGAAGCCCCTGGGCCATTTCCGGGGTTTGATGGATAGAAATGAGTTTGCAAATTTTGAAGTGAAAAAAAGAGTAACAGTTGGGATCCAGAGGTAAGGATTTAAGTATTTATGAATAAAAACAGTGGTAGGCGGGTTAGGCTTAGAACCTCAGAGGTCAGTTTCATGTGATAGCCCAGCAGGGAAGGGGATTAAGGTGGTGATCTCTCTTCTCCAGTTTTTTTTTTTTTTTTTGAGACAGAGTCTTGCTCTGTCACCCAGGCTGGAATGCAGTGGCACAATCTCGGCTCATTGCAAGCTCTGCCTCCCGGGTTCACGCCATTCTCCTGCCTCAGCATCCCAAGCAGCTGGGACTACAGGTGCCCACCACCACGCCTGGCTATTTTTTTTTTTTTTTTGTATTTTTAGTACAGACGGGGTTTCACTGTGTTAGCCAGGATGGTCTCGATCTCCTGACCTCGTGATCCGCCCGCCTCAGCCTCCCAAAGTGCTGGGATTAAAGGCGTGAGCCACCGCGCCCAGCCTCTCTCCTCCAGTTTTAAGATACGAGAACATCCAAACATTTTCCCCCAAGCTTAAAGAATAAAAAGGATGAAGAGAAAGCTGAAGTAAGGAGAATTATAATTACACCAACTATCCTATTTTGAGTTATCTTTAACATTTTTTTCTGTAAGCAAAGGAGCACAGCAGGGATTACTTAATGAAACTATCTTCAAAACGAAAATGTTTCCTCCAACCATTTCTAGATGTTTAGAACTTATGAATGTTGTGAAATTTCTACCTCCACCAAAATAATGCTTATTTCTTAAAACCGATTTAAAAAGCCTTGACATATAACAGCACCAACCTATCAAACAGAAATAACCAACTCTTTAAATGTTATTCAAGTTGTAGTTATAATGTGTAATTAGTCAATCTGGTTGAGGACAATTTTATTCTAAAAACCTTCTTAGGAATTCTCTCCCAAAGAGTACCGAAACAAAAATCTCAAAGCAAGAAAGCAATGATGGAGTTGCCAGCTCTCCTTTGAAGACTATTAACGGGGATGATGGCGAATGCATGAAAACAACATACTATTTCCATGTGGGACCATCCGACCAGATTTTTAATATTAAAAAAAGCAAGGCCAGGCTCACGCCTATAATCCCAGTGCTTTGGGAGGCCAAGGTGGGAGGATGGCTTGAGCCCACGAGTTCGAGCCCGGCCTGGACAAGGCAGGGAGATAACATCTCCACAAAAAGCAAAAAAGTTAGCCGGGTATGGTGGCATGTGCCTGTAATCCCAGCTACTCGGGACGCTGAAGCGGGAGGATTGCTTGAGTCCGGGAGCTCAAGGTTACAGTGAGCTATGATGGCACCACTGCACTCCAGAGCTCTGTCTCAAAAAAAAAAAAAAAAAAAAAAGGCAAGCAAAGTCCTTTCTTCTCCATCATGAGAAATTTGGCAGCAGAGAGTCAGTAACCAGTGGAAGACTGCAAATTCTACCTGTAATTACTTCTGGTTTTGTGAAACAGCCAAGTGGTCTTCAAATTCAACTCCTCACAGAAGGGTATCAGCTGGCAAAAATAAATGTACTGTTTTAAAAATAGCATGAGGTACTAAGATAAGTTTTCCCAGAGCTTATCTCCGAGAGCAACAGCTCTAGGTTTTTGTTGTTTTTTTTAATTTACTTTCTTTCAGCCTGCCAAAGTCAACTCAAAATAACATTTAAAAGTCCACCTCTATGTTTTTAAATTGAAGTGCTAAGATGTCAATTTTTAACTAATGAGAACTGCTAAAGCCATCCTGGAGTTCACTACCTTTCCGTCTCCCTCAGGGGGGCTGTGAGAGAAGCTCTGCGGGGTAGCACTGCTTTCTCCTGCAGCTGAGAACAGATGCAATGTTCAGGCAGGACAGTCCGTCTACATGGTGACCCGGCCACGTGCAGCGGTGCTCTCATCACCACTTCTCCATGCCCAGGGCCACCTGCCCCACAGAAAGGTGCTGCCTGCCTGAACCAGGCTGTCCCCTTGCCCACCCACATTAGTCCCTGCCCTGGCCCGAGACAGACTCTGCAGCCTCAGGCTCGATTTGCTTGACTGTGGACTAAGAGGCCAGCATCATCTGCATCCACTCTGATTTTGTGAAAAGAAACACTGGTGGACTGATGCTCAGGGAGCAAAGTATCACTGCATGAGGTCATCCAGATCTGCTTCCGATGGTGAAGGAGGAGGGGACACTCACACACCAGTCACTTTCTCTACTGCTTACTACAGAAATTTCAAGAATTCAGAACACTGACCACATCTGCAATTCAAAGGGGCAGTGCGAGGGCTCTAGTTCCTTTTCTAGATCAAATATTATGAATTTTTATAATTTAGCAAAGAATTACCTGGGTATCATTACCTATTTTTTTAAATATAAGCTTTTCTCAGTAGTTGTCACTCAAGTCTGAACCAGAATATATGAACGCAAATTTGAATGTATCATGTAAAGTCATTCTATCAAGGTAAAGAGACGCAAGTTTTAGAAGATAATATGATCATTTCACTTACCATAGCTAACTGTCGTCCTATGTTCCCCACCGTGACGCCTCCTGAGAAAAATATACAAGGGAGCCAAGAACGAATATAGAGGAAATCTGGGGATGTATACCTGGAGCGAGAAAAGAAACTGTACCTTAGCAGTCAATTTCACCTGGCTCAATTCTACATCACAGATTCTCTGTAGTGGGGATATGCAGAACGCATATCAACCATCCAATGTTACGAATGTTCATATTTGTTTGGTTGTAACTGCTACTACTTGGTTTTCCTTTGCGTTACATTAAGTTATGGATAGCAGCATTTTTGAGAATTTCATGCCTAAATCTGTATCATTCTATATAAAAAACAAATAAAATATGAAAATATCTAAGCTTAGTGGATGTTTTAATGAAAGTTAAGTAAGCTTTCCAAAGCCAATATTTGAAAACACACACTTACTGATAGACACCATTATACACGAGAAACTGCGTGATCAGCGTAGCTAGAAAAGCTATGGTGATCCCCAGCCCAAGGCCACTTCTGGAACGATCAAATGTCCACCAAAGGCCCAAAGATAGGGCTGCTAAAGTCAAGGACAGCTGGACATTATTGGCAAAATCCAATTTCTGGTGATATAAAAGTTAAGGAAAAGTTTGCTGACTCTTATTAAGATAAAAAAACGTAAAACCACAAGGGTTAAAAACATGGGTATTTTATTATTGTACCACAGATAATTCACTGTCCATAAAAACTGTGTAATAAGCTAAAGAAAGGATTTGTTGGATACAGGTTACAGTAATCATTAAGATCACCTGAAATCTCCCTGCCATCACTGAGTCAAAAACTTAACCATAAGAATAAACTTGCTGAAAGCTATATATAAAGTGCTTATATATATTTATATAAATATATATTTATTATATATATTATATATATTTAAAAATATATATAATATATATAAAAATATAAATAAATATATATTTATTTTGACCATAAAACAATATATTTTACTATGAAGTCATCGATAGCCCCATTCTTCTTTCTCTTTTTAGTAATCTGAAATGGGTAGGTACCACCATCATGTCTGTATTATGACATGGAGTCATTTGAGTATATAACAAAACAAAACGCTTCAATATATAACCTAAGAAGATACTCTGGACGTAGCACAGAAAATTAAGGATACAGCACTGGCGTGGTTAATGCCAACAAAAACTGCTATGCAGCGCATGACACTGGCCCATTCTCTCTTAAATTTGTGGGGTTCTCCGAGGTGACTGTCGATACAGGGGTACAGTAGGCCAACAACAGCTGTTTTAAAAAAGTTGACAATGTTAGAATACAGCAGATTCAAGTTCCAGAATTTCAACGTGGTCATTAGTAACACAGTACATTACTCAAACCAGTCCTTTTCCTAGAAAAAATTATCAGCTATAACTTCAGAGTGATTTTATATTCTTGTTCTCTTTGAGTACCACTCCCACAAAATTGTACTGTTTGGAAAAGTTTTTTAAAAATCACTATTATTTAGTGTAGTTGAACATGTCTCAGTAAACACAGGAAGGAATCAAGCAGGGATTATTCATATTAATATGAGCAATATGTAACCTTATATTTAATATCCACATTTGCCTAAAGCACACAGAACTTAAATGACTATGTAGTTCACCTTGTCTTTTCATCCGGTGTGATTTCTATCTTACAATAAAAAGGTTAGCATCTGTCCACACCCTGTCACATCACAGCTCTGACACTCCTGCCACCACCCAGTACTGGGGCTGGGCACGTGATGAGATACATATTTGCTGATGTGACTTTGACAGTCTGGGTCACATGCTCCTAGAGTGGCCCTGGAGTTGATTTTCGGGGGTTCTAGCATGTTCTGTACGAGGCACTGAGCACCTACTGTGCACACATGCACATGGGCAAGTACGGGGCGAGACAGCCCCACACAGGCTTCGCTTATTCTCCATCTGGTTCCCGCATGGTCAAGCCTCAAGCTGCGGAAAGAACACCAGACCAAGAAGAGAAAACTCAGCCTCAAATCCCAGCTTGCCCTCTGATGGGACGTGGCTCTGCATGTTTGTTTTCTCATGTGTAAAATTATAAGGATTATGTAACTGGGACACAGAGAAAGAGATCACTGTGGTCTGGAATAGTTATTCTTTATAGACACGAACTTGGAATTTGGACAGGTGGGAAGGAATGGCATTCCAAAAGAGAAGTAAAATGGCAAAGATGAAGGCAGGAATGAATGTCTGTAGGGGGGAGTGGGGTGCCGGCCCGTGGGGTTGGATGCTGGGACACAAGGGTCACTGTGTCCCAGGGCTCTTGAGAACCCTGCAATTGTTTCACCTCAGTGTAGTATGAAAGAAATATACATTTTAGGTTCAACTGAGAAACAAGAAACACAGTTTGCATCAAACATTCAGATAAAAAATGTTGTTTTCAATTTATTATACTTCATCAGGTTCTAATTTTGGAGTTCTGAAAAATGGACCCCCCAAATTAACTTTACTTCACTATAGCTTAATAAATAAATAGGTAAAAAACATACTATGAAAAATTTTACTTATGCTCTTGGCTGATGGTTTAAAAAAAAGTAGAATATGAGAGTATGAGAAATTGTCCAGATATTCCTAGAAACCCTTGAGGATCCAATTACAAATACTGAAGGCTAAACTATTTCATTTCTAAGATCAAGTTTTTGGTTAAAGGAAAGAAACTATTCTGCCAAATGTATATGAAACATGGAATTTTAAATCTAGATATAGTTCTCAAAAAATGTTCAATTAGTACAGCCACATAAAGTGTTTCGAAAAACGAAAGAGGATCCCGTCCCTCCGAGAACAAATATGAAAACATTCTACCCACTACTTAATAATTACAGACACCTGTCCTAGTTCTTCAACACGGAGCCCTCTGTTAATCTGCTACAAACCTCTCTGCTGCTTGCTGTTTTCAGTGAGTCAACTGAGGCAATGTGTTTCCACAGTGCAGGAGACACACCTACCAAGGCAGCAGGAGCAGTTACCAACGATGGCTTGGCCCCTTTCTACCTGCGCACCCTTGGATGTGACTTCACCTGTGATTCAGTTGCCACATCTATAAATGAAGCTACACATGGTATTGCTGTAAGGAATGAACACAGCAAAGCATCTGAAGCCTATGGTCAGCAGTCAGCTGACAAACGTCAGCCACAAAGCAAACAGGATGCTCCCTGCACTGCACTGGAGTCACTGACATACTGGTTTGTTTTCCCCACCAGACTCTAAGCTGCTTAAGGATAGGGGCTTGTGGTGCTCACTTTTGGATTAACATTTCAACAGCTTATAGAGTTGAGGTTGCAGAAAGCACCCGACAAGCTCGTTAAATAAACAAATGCTGTGTGACTACAGGAGCAGTAAGTGATCTGCTGAGCCAAGATCAACTCAACATTTCTATAAAAGCGGTTCAATGATAGCCAAGAAAGTCTAGTACACACACCCAGCAGTCCCCGTGTCCACAGTTCAGACTGACTCAGTGTTACGTTGTACAGCATCTATGCTACTGCTTGGGTGTACGAAAATCTAAACGCCGTAAGGGGGTTACTCTTTTCCTTAAGAACGTAATCTACAGAGCTCTAACAGTTCAGGGTGTAGGCGGTTTGGCTTCAGACCACAGTTTACTCAGCGACCCGGCAAAAGGAAGTGCTGAGAAGTTGCTCCCCTGGCAACCGCCTCCTGAACCCATGTGACGGGTTTGTTTTCAGTTATCCAGCAGGGTAGCATGTTTGCTGCCGCGACCAATGGCCTTTCAGTCCCGCTGCTCACCAGTTCCCCAGGCGGCCAATCCGGGGCGGCTGGCGCGGGATGACAGCTGGGGCTGTACCCGGACGCCAGGAGGGAAGGGCCCTCAGTCAGCTTGGCACAGCACCTGCTTGAACAGCCAATTATCTCCCTGCCTCATCTCCATCACTGTGCTTCCTCAAACTTCAGAGAGCTGTGGCCCGAACCCGCCCTCGGGGGTGCCAGGTCCTCTCTACCCCTCCTTCATTTCTCTAAATCCCAAGACTGGAGATGCACACTTTCAATCTGTGGATAGTTCCAGTTTCAAATGCATGTTTCTTATAGGCTGAAAAGTACTTTCAACCGAAAAGACACCCTTTTTACTTCCAGAAGAACCAGGAGGGGTACTCACCAGCTGCTGTCCCGCAGCAGGGAGGGACCCACCAGGCGGAGGAAAAGATGGTGGCGATCACCTCCTCGGGGAAGAGAGTGACATTCCTCTGGATCTGCAGCAGGTTGAGCACCAGGGCTAGGACCACCCCAACCGAGAAGAGCACGAGGCTCCTCTGCAACAGGCGATGATGCCAGGTGTTGGGGTAGGGGCTGCCGGGCTCGGGGCCGCTCATCGCAGCACTGCGGCCCCTGGGCGCGGGGTCAGCGTCCGGGGCACCGTGGGCCGCCAGCAGGGAGGGCCCGGACACGGAAACGTTGATCATCTCCCCAACCTTGGCCGCCAGCCCCGCGGCGCTGGCTCGCGGGGGGCCTCGGCGCCTCGCGCTGTGCGCACAGGAGCAGCTCCAGAAGTGGTCGTGCAATCTGGGCATCGGTCACACGCGTCCAAGAGGCGCTTCCTGGAAGAAGGGGGTCATCAAGTTCACTCAGAAGAGACAAAGAGCGAGGAAGGCCCCGCGGGACGCGAACCCCGGCACCCGGGCCAGGCGGCAGCGCCGCCCCCCAAGGTTAGACCCCCGTGCGCCCGCCCGGGGCCAGCGGCGGACGGGACCCGCGCTCACAGCGAGCAGCATCCCCGGCCCCAGCGGGACCCGCGTCCCAAAGACCCAACAGGGCCCGCGCCCGCCTACCTCCGGGGAGGACCGGCTGCTGCGCGACCAAAGCCCGCCCGCGACCCCTATCCCAGCCGGCCGCGTACCTGGCCGAGAGGCGCCCGCCCGCCGGCTCTCCGAACGGAGGCGGGGCGGGGGAAAGGAGGAGTCACGGCCCGGGACGGCCGCAGCGCCTGGCGGGCGCGCGGGTTTATATGGCGGGCCGCGGGGCCCGCATCACGTGAGCCTGCCCGGCCTACCCACCGCCCGCGCGCACCGCCCAGGGGCGTGGCCTGAGCTTGCCCCGCCCCGCCCGCGAGCCCGTCCGCACGCGGTCTGGTGAGGCGGCCGCAACCAATGGGAGGCCGGCGGCCCATATGACGTGCGCACACGCCACCGCCGGCCCGCGCGCACTCGGGCGGGAGCCTCGGCACGGACTGCGGGGCGCGTGGCGGCTGCGGGGCACGCGGGCCCGAGCGGGACTGGCCGGCTGCGAGTGGGCGGCCGCGGAGCTGGGGCCTGGGAGGGGACGGTCCTGCCGGGAGGAGGCGGAGGCAGGACAGGGTGGGGTTGCGGGCCCGGCGCCGCCCCTCCCGGCTCCTGGCTCCCCTCGCCTGGTGTCCCGCGCCTGGCCGGGAGGCGGCGGGTCTCGATCGCGCGGGCCTCCCTGGAGGGGCGCGGGCTCTGGCGGCGGGGAGGCCCCTGCTCAGCGCAATGGCGGGCTTGCATCCTTGGGTGATTTTTTCGGGCCCCTTGTGGCCTTTGCTCACGCCTAGAGAGCAAACCACCCGCACCACCCAGGAGCAGATAAAATCGAGACCACAGCCTCCAAGGGAGCGCGCCTCCATCCTGTTTGCCCCTCGGGTCGCCGTCTGAGGGCGGGCCCGTGCCCGCTCAGAGCCTACATCCGAGTCGTATAAAGCGCTGACAGCAGAGAAAGCTGCGGCTTTGCTCCGTGCAGATGAGCAGGGGCTGAGGGAGGACGCTGTGCTCTCAGTAGCCGCGCTTGGCCCGGGGACCCTGCAGGCTTAGAAACGTGAGTCACGCCTGCAGCGTGGCGAGGAAACGCCGTTGATGTGGCATCCTCAGCCTGGGGTTGTGGCTTTAAGCCAGAAGGTCAAAAAAAGAAGTCTTCCTGAGCTGAGACTGCCCTGAGTCGCTTTAGGGGCGAAATTCCGAGCATCCGGTTGCATTTCCTGAGGATGACACGCGTGGTGGGTGTGGACGGCCTACAGGGGTCCATCCTCAGCGGCCCCTCTGCAGGGCAGTCTCGCTCTCACTCTCCCAGCTGACTCCTCTCAAGCCTGTTAACCATTGTACACGTTCCCAAGGACTCCAAGCAGGTTGGACTTCAGGGAACATTGCAGTTTGGGTCTTGGCCATTGTTTACACTCCACCTTGCATAAGTGCTTGAGGATCACACAACCAGATACGTAGATCATCCGTAGATCATCGCAGTCACATCGAAGATTTGTTTATAATAGGAAAAAAAAAAGCTACCCACTGTCATGCGCTGGGAAACTAGTGAGCTGAAGGATGACCCATCTGTAAATGGGGTGCTCCCTAATGGACAGGGCACCTTTCAGAAGCCTGTGCTGTGTCTCCTCGACCCCACTGTGAGCTCCCCGTCCCGCACGCTGATCTAAATCAAGCTGCTAACCTCATGGAGAGGCGTCCGCACGGGAGCCCCGGCCCTGAGATGCGGGGCAGTCACCCATTCAATTAGGAAACACCAGCAAGTGCCAGAAGCTTCTCATTAGCAGGTCAGCTTTCAATAACTGGTTTATCCAGGTGTGTGAGACCCGATAAGCAGAAGGGAAAGCTCTTAGCGACCTATCCAGCTGCTCTGCACTGGGCTCCTGACATCCCAGAAATCAGTACATCTGTCTTCTGGGGTCCAAGAGGTATTTCAGTTTCTCTGGCTTTGTTTCCCGTCATTTGTACCTGGCCCTGCAGACTACCCCAGTATTTCCATCATAATACCCCTGTGGGCAGGTGCATACCTCATGACAATATTTAATATTAATAGATTTATGTGTTGTCTCCAGAATGGAAAGGGGCTGTCTATTCCTTGAGCTAGTTGGCTTGCTAAAGACTATTGACTTCATTCTTCTTTTCCTATCTACCTAATAAACCAGTGTTCATACAACCCAGCCTCTCTGACTCTGTCCCTCCTCTCATCTGTACTGGGACATTATGAACCATGGAAGATCCTGGAGTCATAGAGGCACCCTGTGGCTCTGTGGCTGTTGCACTTACACCGACCAAGATGTCCCGTGGGAATGTGGGAAGGTTGCCCGTGGGGTTCCTGCTGAGGGCCTCCAGCGTGGCCTCTGAGTCGTAGGTAGAGATTGTCACTGCGTTCCCAATGTGTGTTTGCCCAGGTGCCTGTGGAGTCTGGCCCCATGAAGAAATGCAGCCTGGGGTAAAGACAGTGGGAGAGTTTGAGTTTACCCCCTTGAATACCCCCTTTGAAGACCGAGCCTCCATATCAGTAACCACATTCCAAGATTTTCAGGGGTTGAAATTTGCTTATCCTCAAGCAAAGCTGTTGTTGATTTTGTTTCCCTGCTAATCGTGGGCCGTGTGTTGAAGATAATGGGGTTCATTCTCTTCAGCCCCTGTCAGCCACTCTGAGTTCAGCATTTAGGGAAATCTGCTCATGATGGCACCGTTTAGTTCTTAATTGCCCCACAATACAGAAATCATCACAGATGTGGCCTTACTCTAGGGGAGTTGACTATTGTTGAGTTAAACACCTCGCCGTGCCTTCCCAGATCACTAAGTAACCCTCAGACTGGTGGCCTCTGTACTGAACAGGCTGGCGGAAGGGAGCACAGGACGGCTGTAGCTCTTTCGGATACGGAAGAATCATGCACTCATAAAGGCCTAAAGACTGGGAGGTGTCACGTAGTGAGCAATCTTGCCTTTAGTCTGTTCTTACTGTTCTTTTTATTATAACATTAATAACCATTTGTAAGAAATATTCTTAAGATAAAGTAGATTACCAAATATATATTTTTTCATATAAAAGCATCACATGCTCATTGTAAAACATCGTGGAAAAATATATTTTAAAGAAATAGTCTATAATCCTACCAACTAGAGATGACCATTGTTAACATTTTGAGGTATGTATTTCCAAATATTTTTTCTATCCATAAATGTGTTTAAAAAAACACAAATAGGATCAACTTCACATTAGTGGAACCAGTTATTAAGTGATCATGAACGTCTTTTAAAGGCAATCAATACAGACTACGCCATTTTTTAATAGCTTTAGTGAGGGCGAATTCATGCATTGTGCAATTCACCCATTTAAACGGTGAATTCAGTGTTTTTTTGTGTATTCACAGAGTTGTACAACTATCATCACAGTCCATTTTAGAACATTTTCATCACCCCAGAAAAGACCTTCATATGCTTTAGTTATTGCCTCCTTATCCCGACTTCCACCCCCAGCCCACGGCAACCACTGATCTACTTCCTGTCTCTATGGATTTCCTGTTCTGGACATTCGTATGAATGGAATCGTATAATATGTGATGTTTTGTGACTGGCTTTGTTGACATAATGTTTTCAAGGTTCATCCATGTCATAGCATATGTCAGCACTTCATCCCTTTTTATGGCTGAATAATGTTCCATTGTATGGAGAGGCCACATTTTGATTATCCGTTCACCAGCTAGTGGACGTTTGGGTTGTTCTCACTTTTCGGCTATTACGAATGATGTTGCTATAAATGTGCACAAGCTCATCCATGTGGGTGTAGCTCTTCATTTCTCTTGGGTGGAGTTACTAGGAGTGCACTTGCTGGGTCACATGGTAACTCTATGTTTAATCATTTGAGGAACTGCTGGACTTTTTCCAAAGCAGCTGCATGATTTTAAACCTCCATCAGCAGGGTATGAGGGTTCTGATTTCTCCACATCTTTGCCAACACTTGTTATTCCTTGAGTTTTTGATTCTAGCCATCTCAGTGGATGTGAAGTGGTATGTCATCGTTTTCAAAAGCAGAATAGTGTTTGTCTATGAAGGGAAGTGCCTTAGCTTACTTGCCATGAAAGCACAATCCCCCAAGAGTGAGGGAAAGAGGTGAGTGAAGCAGTGAAGGAGAAGCTATGGTGAGGGTCACCTCACTGAGCCGACCATGGCTGTTGCGTGACATGTGGTTGCTAGTCACACAGGGTACCTTCTGTACAGGCTGTGGAGACCCACCATGCCTTGCAAGAACAGTCCTTTGGGGGAAAAGAAAGAAAAGAAATGCATCTGGTAGCTCTCTATCTTCCGTCTCTTACTGGCCCCAGTTTACCCCTCCTTCATTAACTCTTTCAGTTTTCCTGATTCTAATACAGTCATACACTGCACGATGACATTTCCATCAGTGATAGGCTGCATATACGATGGTGGGCCCATGTAATGCCATATGTTTACTGCACCTCTTCTACGTTTAGATATGTGTAGATGCACACATCCTCGCCATTGGGTTCCACTTGCCCACAGTATGCAGTACAGTCACATGCTGCACAGGTGTACGAGGAATGCCCTCCAGCCTAGGTGTGTAGTGGGCTCTACTGTCTCAATTTATGTAAATGCACTCAATGGTGTCTGCATGAAAAATCTCCTAACAATGCATTTCTCAGAATACATGCTCGTTGTTACGCGACACATGACTATACTCAGCCCCACGCTGCGGCTGATGGGACAACCAGATTCCACAGCCAACAGTGGACTCATCCTCAGAGCCCCAAGTGGTAAGAAGACCCCAGAGCTGCTTCTGCAAGTCAAGTTGGTCAGACTGTCCATGCCTATATTGATCACTGGAAAGGGGAGTAGAACAGTTATGATTGGCAGAGAGATGACCCTCCAATGTGAAGAGCTGTTGGTGAATCCATCGCAGAGACCACTGCAGATGGTGACTCTGCATTGGAGTGGAGGGTGGGCCAAGGCAGACTGTGTAGGATGAGAAGTCAGTGTGCCTCGTACAGCCCTGAGGCTGGAGCAGAGGAAAGGGGCTGCCAGGGGCAGTGGCAGAAGGTCCAGTAAGATAGGAAGAAAGTGTGCGACCAAGAAATCCGGGGGGGGGATGTTCTGGAAAGGAGAAAGTGGCAGCCATGGCATGCAAGACAGAGACCAATCATGTCTGGGGGTCCTGTGATGTGGTCAGCAGGAAGCTCGGTGTGAGTGGCCTGAGTCACGGGGGAAGCTGCGCTTCCATGAGATAAGGAGACAAGGAAAATGAGGCTGCCAGTGAAGATCCCTCTGGAAGGGGTCTGGCTGTGAGAAGGAGGGGAGAGATGATGGAAGCTGGAGGAGAGAGTGATGGGGAAAGAGTTTAGTTTGTCTGTCTGTTTGTTTGTTTATTTTGAGACAGAGTCTTGCTCTGTCAGCCAGGCTGGAGTGCAGTGGCTCGATCTCAGCTCATGCAACCTCCACCTCCCTGGTTCAAGGGATTCTCCCTCCTTAGCCTCCCACTCAGGATTACAGGCACCTGCCACCACACCCGGTTAAGTTTTGTATTTTTGTAGAGACAGGGTTTCACCATGTTGGCCAGGCTGGTCTTGAACCCCTGACCTCAGGTGATCTGCCCGCCCAAAGTGTTGGGATTACAGGCATGAGCCACGGCGCCCAGCCTGTTTTGTTTTAAAAAATGAGAGACGTGAACAAATATAAACGCTGATGGACCCAGTAGAAAGATTGAAGAAGAAGGGCAGGGCGTGGTGTCTCACGCCTGTAATCCCAGCACTTTGGGAAGCTGAGGCAGGTGGATCACGAAGTCAGGAGTTCGAGACCAGCCTGACCAACATGGTGAAACCCCGTCTGTATTAAAAATACAAAAATTAGCCAGGCGTGGTGGCACATGCCTGTAATCCCAGCTACTCGGGAGGCTGAGGCAGGAGAATCGCTTGAACCCAGGAGGTGGAGGTTGCAGTGAGCCGAGATTGCTCCATTGCCCTCCAGCGTGGGTGACAAGAGTGAGACTCTGTCTCAAAAATAATAATAATAAAATAAAGAAAGACTGAAGAAGAGGGAGTGAGAGCAGGCAGTGGAGAGTGAGGTCCCTGAGGAGAAGATTAGAGGAGGAGATTGGTGTCTAGGACCAATCCTAGTGGGGATTCCTGGGCAGGCACACCCTCTACTGAGGAAGTAGGTGGGAGAGATGGGGGCGGTGTGGTGGGGTCGCCTTCCCCTCAGGAAGTTTCTGTCATTTCTGAAGAAGGAGGAGAGCTCCTGAGTTAAGAGGGAGACAGGAGCGATTGGAAACTGGGAGTGTAAACCCTTTGGTGTGGAGTGCCTGGTGGAGGTTTGTGATGGCGACTTCACAGGGCCCAATCTGCAGGGTGGCGTGGGAGTTCTTCTCTACGACACTCCAGGCTGGGTAGCAATGGCAGAGCATTCGAGGGGCCTCTAGAATTGGTTTTTTCCTGGTGGTGCCAAGGAGGGGCAATGGAGCAGTGGAGGGCAGGTTAGCGGCAGGCGGCTGGTGGCGTCATGGAACCTGGGTCAGGTGAAATGGAGGTGAAAGGAGTATGCCGGGAGGAAGAGGGCCCCACAGAGGGAAGGGTCAGTGTGTAGAGGCTTGCCCTATGTGAACACTGGGTATTGGCCCTACAAGGGTAGCAATATTCATTGATTAATGCAACCCAAGCTCCCACAGATTCATTACTGGATGGGTGATCTGAAGGCGAGAGCCTGGGCAGGAGGAGGCTGTGTGGGCACATGGCGTCAGGGGAGAGCCACTGCAGAGGGTGGCAGTCCCCACGATGAGCCTGGGATTGGGTGGCTGGAGTGGTGTGGAGTGAGTCACCAGGGCCAAGGAGGTCAGGGAACCCAGAGGCGAGGCCTTGGATGAGTCATGCTTGAGTGGGACGAAGTCCTCAGCACAATGACAGGTTTGGGATATGGAGACAGACTGTGTGTCAGGTGTCTGAGTCCCTGGGGAGTGAAGGCAGCAGATAGCAGTGGCAGAGGGGGTGCACTGGGTGGGATGGTGTGCCCCCAAATTCATGTCCTTCTGGGAACCTCAGAATGTGACCTTATTTGGAAATCGAGTCTTTGGAGATGTAATGAGTTAAGATGAGTTCCCACTGGAGTAGGGTGGGCCCAAATCCAACATGACTGTTTCCTCCTAAGAAGAGGAGGTGAGACCCAGAGACAGACATGCAGGAGAAGCCGTGTGAGGACGGAGGCGGACATGCGCCATGGTTTGCTGGGAGCCACCAGAGGCCGGAAGGAGTAAGGAAGGATTGTCCCGTAGGGCTCTCACAGGGAGCAGGGCCTGGAAACACCTTGCTTTCAGCCTTCTGTCCTCCGGGACTGGGAGGGATGTGGAGCATGGAGCAGGAAGGAGTGAGGGGCGGAGGGGCCAGGGGCTTGCCACCTGTGTGGTCATGTCAGGCCTTGGCCCCACGGTCGGTGGCTACCACCCAAAATATAGACACACCATATAATCTGTGTTACTCAATTTCACGGCACCTGAAAGATGAGTGTTCTCTCTATCTGGTGAAGAACGTGAAGAAATGGAGTCCTGAAGCAAGCAATGTGCTCAAAGCTGTGACAATGCTGAGGGGCAGAGCAGGGGTTCAGATCCAGCCTCCCTGAGTCCATAGCTGGGCTCCCCGCACCCCCATTGCTCTCACCCCTGGAGTTCCTGCTGTGCCCCAGGCACTGTGCTAGAGATACACAAGGGCTCTTGCTGCATGGTCCTGGAGCTGCTCACAAACTAATGGGGGAGAAGGACCTAGGAGGAGGCTCCCGGCACTGCTGTGACAAATGACCACAAACACGGTGGCCCTGCACAGCACGCATGTGTCATCTCAGAGCTCTGGGGGTTGGGTGCCTGAACTGGGTTTCGCTGCAGTAAGATCAAGGCGCTGGCAGGCTGGGTTCCTTCTGGAGACTCCAGGGGGTCTGTTCCCTCGCCCTTCCCAGCACCCAGAGGCTGCCTGCCTTCCCTGCTCATGGCCCTGTCGTGGTATCACTCTGGCCTCCTGCTCACTTCGAAGGGCCTGGAGTTAGGTGGGACTTGCCTGAATAACCCAGGTAGTATGAGCTGAGTGTCTGTGTCCTCCCAAATTCATACGTTGAAAGCCGCACCCCAAGGCAATGGTGCCAGGAGGTGGGGCCTTTGGGAGGTGCTGAGGTCATGAGGGTGGAGCCATTGTGAATGGGGTCGGGGCCCTGAAGAGAGAGCCCCAGAGAGCTCCCTGGCCCCTTCACCATGTGAGGATGCAGGAGAAGGCGCCATCTCTGAACTAGAAAGTGGCCCTCGCCAGACACTGTCTCCCAGTGCCCTGAGCTTGGACTTCCAGCCTCCGGCACTGTGAGAAATGAATATCTGCTGTTTATAAGCCCAGTCGCTGGTACTTTGTTAGAGCTCCCCGCATGGGCTTAGACACCAGCAGAATCTCCTCATCCCAGGATCTTTAATCGAGTTTGCAAAGTCCCCTCACCATGTAACATCACACATTCACGAATTCCAGGGATTAGACTGTGGACTTTTGGGAGCGGACTGATATTCTGCCTACCACAGACATGAAAACATCATTTCGATGCATTTTGGTGATTTTTATCATAGAAATTCATAGACAGGCGGTGCTATGGAAACACAGAAGAGGGACAATTAGAAAATGCCTCTCAGGAGATGTGACATTTGAGCTCAGTCTCGAAAGATGAATTTGTCACCCAGAGAAGGAGCAAAGCCATTCCAGCAGAGGAACAACTTGCGCAGAGGCGTGAGGCCCTCGGGGGATTCTGAGCACGTGGGAGACAGAGTGGAGAAGTCAGCTGGGCTGAAGCCTGGGGACAGGCTAAGCAGCTTAGCCTTTGTCCCGGGAGCTGGTGTGGCTAAGTCTTTTTTGATCATCTGTTTCAGTTGGCTGATGTTTACCTTGTTCTCCCCAATACATATATCAATGTATTTACTACATATATATATATATATAGCTGTCCTCATATCTTATATGCACTACATGATATATTATAAATAGATATTTAATTACAGAGCCTCTTGAATTTTAGCCGAACCAGCTAAAGACTGGGCACCAGCTAGACTGAACTTCTCAGCGGTTGGTGTGGCCATGAGCCTAAATTTGGGCCAGTGGGCAGTGGGCAGGTGGGTTGTTTGCAACTCCCAGTCACTCTCTGAAGATGAAGGCGCTTCCCTGGACTCCCTCTTGATCTCTGTTTTTTCCTCCAGCAGGGAGTGTGGGTGTGGCAGCAACCCAGCATCTACCATGCCGACCATGTGCCATGCCATGCACCGCGTGTCGTAACAGGACAACAGAGCAAGAGACCCAGCAGACAGGGGTCCCCAGCAACCTCATGAAGCGCCATCCACTCACCTCCAGACAGTCTGGGGAGAGAGACTGAAACTTCTGTCTAAGCCACTTCATCTTTGATCTCCTTGTTTTTGTGGTTCAGGTTGTATCTTAATAAATAAAACGTGTTTGAGTTCATGTTTACATCCAACCATTAAAAAAGTATATTTTGCCATGAGATAAACAATGAGACCCTGCACGAGATGAAATATTTCCATGGTCACTCGTCATCTCCTTACAGAGAATTACTAAGATTTTATTAAAACAGTGTAGATTATGAGAGTATGGTGACTCTAAAGTGAAGTTTACATTCAGATGACCCCCAGGCCCGCGTATGGAGCTCCGGTTCTGTAGCTGAAGATGGGACAGAGGTGCAGGGAGAGCTGCAGTCGCGTTCTCGGAGGCATGGCCCCGTGTTGATCGGACACGTCATGTTCAGTCAGTGCCATGCAGGTGTGCAGCGGACGGTCTGGCTGAGGCCGGGGGTGCCACGGTCCCCCCGTCTGCTGAGTAGTAGCAAAGCTGAATATTTTCCTGGAAACATTTTGTGCGCCCCTGGGGTGTGCTGCTGGGGACAATGGGAAGTCTTTGGAACTCAGGAGCAGCGCACGCTTGGTATTTGTGCTGGAAGATGACCAGCCACAGACTGGAGATCAGGATGGCCCGAGACCAGGGCCACTGCTGACCCTGGGCAGGGAGGACACAGTGTGGCAGAGGCCTGCATTGGTGGGATGGGAGGAGGCCTTGCTGGAGAGCTCAGAGGTGGAATATGGTGGTCTCATGTGGCTTCTCTTACCACAGACCCCAAGACAAAGGTGCCCACTGGTGGGAGGCTATGACCATTGTGCTGAGTCGCACGACCTGGAGCATCTCTGAGAGAGCAGAACTCACCGTCCCCACTGCATAGCTCTTCAGGCCCAGGGCTTTCGAGGAAGAAACAGGTGATCATCTTCCACCTGGCAGCTCCCAGGAGACGGGTGGGGTCAGTGGACCCTGTTCGCAGAACTAAAGGCGGGAAGACCGTGGCTTCCATTCACCTCCTCAGAAGTGAGCCAAGGGCCCTGGGCTGGCGACAAGGACTCTAAGGAGCTTGCGGGACCGTGCGGTGTTCGTGACGACAAGGACTCTAAGAAGCTTGCAGGACCGTGCGGTGTTCGTGACGACAAGGACTCTAAGAAGCTTGCAGGACTGTGCGGTGTTCGTGACGACAAGGACTCTAAGAAGCTTGCAGGACTGTGCGGTGTTCGTGACTTCCCCTTGCCTGTTGTTTTTAAAATCTTTTGTTAGTTTCTCTGTAGTTATTGGCAGAAAAATCTTTATTCGTGCCCCTGTTCAAGATTAGCAAGAAAGAGGAAATGTGGAAAAGCCACATCCTGTTTTGCAGCCAGGCTTGTGTGTGGTGGAGGGACAGGGGACAGGACCCTACGGGATGGGATGAAGAGGGATAAAGACGGCCTGGGATGGAGACGGTGGGAAGGCGCCTGTGATTCCTTAGAGCAGCACAGGCGGTGCAGAGGCTCCAGCTGGGGTCTGGAGGATGAGGCTGCCATCAAGCTCCACCATGGGCCCTGGGGAGGGGTAGGCAGGGCAGGGGGACAGCCAGAGGATGGGGAAGAGGAATGGGTGTACCATAGACCTACGGTGACATGGAACAGGCACTAGTAGGAAGGCAGCCGGGTGTTTGGGGGCCCGGGCCACAGCAGATTTCAACAATAACATGGACAAAACATGGAAAGAGCAAAGAAGACAGTGCAGGTGGCCCACAAGCACATGGAAAGGCACTTAGCTTCACCAGTCAGCAGGGAAATGCGAATCAAAACCACAGTGGGTCGTCACTTCACACCCTTTAGGATGGGTATTGTAAAAACAAAAACCAGAAAAGAACACGCACTGATGAGGGCGTAGAGAGATTGGAACCCTTGTGTGCTGTTGGTGAGAATGTGAAATGATGCAGCTGCTCCAGAAAACAGCACGGCGGTGTATTAGTCAGGGTTCTCCAGAGGGACAGAACTAATGGAATAGATACATATATATGAAGGGGAGTTTATTAAGTATTAACTCACACAATCACAGGGTCCCACAATAGGCCGTCTGCAGGCTGAGGAGCAAGGAGAGCCAGTCCCAGTTCCAAAACAGAAGAACTTGGAGTCTGATGTTCAAGAGCAGGAAGCATCCAGCACGGGAGAAAGATGTAGTCTGGGAGGCTAAGCCAGTGTCTGTTTTCACATTTTTCTGCCTGCTTTATATTCTAGCCGCCGTGGCAGCTGATTAGATGGAGCCCATCCGGATTGAGGGTGGATCTGCCTTTCCCAGCACACTGACTCAAATGTTCATCTCCTTTGGCAACACCCTCAGAGACACACCCAGGATCAATACTTTGTATCCCTCAATCCAATCCAGTTGACACTCAGTATCAACCATCACAGGGGGTTTCTGAAAAGAAATAAAAGAAAGAAAAGAACTACCATGTGAGCCAGCAAGTCTACTTCTGGGTGTTTGCACACAGAAACTGAGTGCAGGGCCTTGAAGAGATACGGGTACCCCCGTGCCCCTCACAGCAACATTCACAAGAGCCAAGGGTGGAGATAACCCAAAGTCCACTGATGGGTGAATGGGCGAGTGAGCAAGATGGGGCCTTTCCGTACCATAGAATATCACTCAGCTGTAAACAGGAAGGAGATGGAGGAAACTGGAGGATGTTATGGTGAGTGAAATCAGCCAGTCGCAAAAGGACAAAGACTCCTCCACTCATATGAGGTCCCCAGAGTCGTCAGATCACAGAGGCGGACAGGAGAGTGGGGGGTGCCGGAGTCTGGGGGAGGGATGGGGCATGAGTGTTTGGTGGGGACAGAGTTTCCTTTCAGAAGATGAAAAGGGTCTGGAGATGGATGGTGGCGATGGCACAACGATGCGAGTGTGCGTAATGCCACAGAACTGTGCACTTGAACATGATTAAAGGGTAAGTTTTATGTTATATATGACTTACCACAGTAAAAAAAATACGGAAGGAGGCAGAAATGACATCGGCCTGGTTCTTCCTTGACATTAGGTCCTGCCGGGACCTATGTTCCATAAGTCCCTGGGGTTGGAGTGCGAAAGCGATGAAGAGGAGACAGAACAGCAGAGGGGTGAGGGCAGGGGCATCGTCTTTGGGTGCAATGCTCTGTGCTCTCAGCTGCTGGAAGCTCCAGCGGCATCCACAAGGCAGCAGGTCCTTCATTAGGCTTCTTTGTCCTTCTTGAGCTTCTTCTCTGCATATTCTCTGGCCTCTCTTCCCTGCCCTCTCAGGCCTCCATCTGTGTGCTGTCATGCTGTCTGCACTCCGGAGGTTAGTGTTTGCTAGAGCTGAGCTTCATTGCAAGAATTCTCTCTGTTCTCATCTCCTTCATCTCTTCTGGGTCACCTGGTGATCCAACAATGTGTCCCTTGATTGAGTTCTCCCAGGGTGAGTCCCCCAGAGGTCTCATCCCCTGTGCTGGTCTCTCTCCCTTTGCTCTCAGTCTCCTGATCCATTCTCTGCCCTTCTGGGTCCTGCCTGGCTCCCCAGGCTGCCTGCTGGCCCACTACCTCTGCAGGTGGTGACAGCAGGTTGAGAGGGTGAGAGAGGGAGGTTGGATGCCCGTCCTGCTCCCTCCTTGCCCAGCCCTCTGTCTGCAGCAGTGGCTGTGCCCCCATCCCTGGACAATAGCTGCTCCCAAGGTGGACCCTCCCAGCTTCCCACTTAGTCTGCAGCCCTGAGGATGGGAAGGTGGGTCCGCTTGGCTCCTTCCTTGGTCTGCAGCCCTGGGGAAGGGAATGACTTCCTCTGTCTCCTGTGTTTGGTTGCCTCACCAGCCCTTGTTTGTTCCTTCACCCTGGCCACACCTCTCCAAGTAGTCTTTTCATTAATGCGTCTTTCCTTAGAGGGTCCAGGGGACTTCTGGTTCCTGCTGGGACCTGGAGGACTTATCACTACTTCTTGTCCCACTCTCAGCAAGCTGCTTTCAGGAAGAACTGACCCCTCTGCAAGCCTGGCTGTCCTCAGTCCAGGTTCCCAGGGATGACACGGAAGCCTCTGAAAGCCATCTCTGGGGCTAAGGACGTGGAGGCTGCTGCGGACATGCAGGCTTCCTCCCACTTAACCCAAGATCGCTGGGGGGCCGTTGCCTTACACCAGGGCAGGGCTCCCTGGGAGCTTGGACACGGAGGCACTGGGCCATTTAATAATATTAGAAAAGCCCATCCAGGCGAGGTGGCTCATGCCTGTAATCCCAGCACTTTGGGAGGCTGAGGCAGGTGGATCACTTGAGGTCAGACATTTGAGACCAGCCTGGCCAACATGGTGAAACCCCATCTCTACTAAAAATACAAACATTAGCTGGGCATGATGGTGCACGTCTGTAATCCCAGCTACTCGGGAGGCTGAGGCAGGAGAATCGCTTGAACCCAGGAGACGGAGGTTGTAGTGAGCCAAGATCATGCCACGGCACTCCAGCCTGGGCGACAGAGTGAGACTCTGTCTCAAAAAAAAAAAAAGGAAAAAAGAAAAGAAAAGCCCAAGACAATAAAAACATGATTTGGTTTTGATGGGATGGGGTTTTTTGTTTTGTTTTTCCTGTACTTGCACCAATAGGTACAGTAGGATTACTGAGAGTGGGATTAGGAGACACCAGGGTGACAGCCAGGCACCACTAACCCCAGCAACTGTTTGAAAACCACATTCTTTAATTTACAAGGCAAGACATACGGTTTGCCCACAGCAAGGAGTTTCAGCCACACTCTAGAGACTGCATATGATTAGGGTTGAGTGCACCTAATTTAGAGAATGTGTTTATTAAGAGTGTGAAAAATACTATGGGAATTTCATTGCATAAGCGTGAATAAAGAATTGAGATATGTTAGAAGTGGGAAATGCCCTGGAAGGTTGCCTTAAAAAGCTTGTTTGTTTTTAGTGACATAAGTAATTCATGCAGAAAAGCCAGAAAACACAGAGAAGTAAAAACAAGAAAATAGAACTCACCTATACTCCCCAAACTCAGGGCTGGTCATAGTTAGCATTGTGGCATATACACTACCAGGTTCTTTTGTGACATAATTATACATGTAAATTTATGTACCAGTTTTGATATGTAGAACCATATACTATACAGATTATTTTGTATCCTGTTCCTTAGCCTATCCCTTCCCCAAGAATTCAGGGCAAATATTATTCTGTGACAAGAAATACCTTCTCAGCTGGGCACTGTGTCTCACACCTGTAATCCCAGCACTTTGGGAGGCCAAGGCGGGTGGATCACTTGAGGTCAGGAGTTCAAGACCCGCCTGGCCAACATGGTGAAACCCCGTCTCTACTAAAAATACAAAAATTAGCCAGGCGTGGTGGTGGGTGCCTGTAATCCCAGCTACTCAGGATTCTGAGGCAGGAGAATCGCCTGAACCTGGGAGGCGGAGCTTGCAGTGAGCTGAGATTGTGCCACTGCACTCCAGCCTGGGTGACAGAGCAAGACTCTGTCTCAAAAAAAAAAACAAAAAAAAAAACCTTCTCAACAACATTTTTACTGGCTACATAAGGGTGTGTGTGTGTGTGTGTGACAGATTAGTTACCTATCTAATATTGTTGGGCATTAATAGACCATTTCATACTTTTCAGTATCGTAAACAAAGCTGCAACAAATATGTGTGCTAAGTGTGTACACATCTTTTATTCTTTTTCCTTAGGATCAATTCCAGCACTGTCTTCTGATAAAATAACCTGGTTGCACAGTCAACCAAGTGTGGTGAAATTCTTTCTCATGTGTGATCCTCCAGCCTGGCTTCTGCCGCTGGCATCAGATGCCCTGGGGGTGCTGCCTCTGGACAGGCTCTTCTACTTCCTCCGGTGGGCACGGGGTGCCATCAGTCATCAGCTCGGCGTCACCAGTCCCCTCATCCATTGCTTGTGGGACAAATGGCTCTTGTTCTGCTTTCCATTCATAATGATTTCCTGTTTCCCTTTTTAATCAGAGCTCGCCTAAAACATCTTAAGCTGTGCTTTAACAAGAAACCCTTAAACTGTACTTTTAAGTATTCAATAGCAGTTTTTTTCCTTAGTGTGTTACTCTTACTAGAACATTCTATATGTATATAACTAAGGAACTGTGTGTACGACAGAGCTGAGAGAATTCGGCAAATCAGAACAAAATGACAACCCCTCCTCACCCCAGGCCATTGCGATCCAGAAGCAAAGAATGGCAGGTAGGTTAACAGCAGTAAGTTTGGTTAAGGTTTATTATGTGAAGTTTTATCATTGCTCTGCTGCTGAATGGGTCGCATTGGAGGCTGACACCTGGCTGCAGGTAAAACAGGTTACACTGGAGGCTGTCTCCTCTTGCTTAGAAGTAGAGGTCATCTGTTCCTGCAGAGAAGTCACATGGCACCCACACACCCCAACTCCTAATGGTTCTCTCCCTTTGGGTGTGACCCCCTGGCCAGAGAACAACAATGCCCCAGTGCGTGGGGAAGGGTGAGCCTGGTCTCTTTTCTTAACCCTTAACGTGTAGACATGTTTACACCCAACACTCTCGTATCTGAGGAGGAAATTACTCCAATACTTAATTAAACTACTAAGTTAACAATTTCAAAGATTTTACTTAGTGCAAAAAAGAAAGAAGAACTTCATTAGCCAGATTCAACTGTTATTTAGCAAAATTTAATACACAGTGAAAGCAAGCTAAATCTAGCCTCAATGAAGTGACCTATTCTGTTTATTAATAGCACTGTCTTACTTTAAAACTGCGAGTAACAAAAGCAAGCTGAACTAATTTTGTGTTGATACACTTTATTATCACTAGTATTGTGTGTTGAGATCACAGCGATGGCTATGACAAATGAGGTGATGAAATGTCATCCCATTCCACACCGAGTCTACAACTAAGGATCCAAGCATAAGAAACACTTGGAAAATTCTGGGTTCTCCAAAGTGGACGGGGGCATGGTTTAGTGTGCCAGACGTCAGAAGCCTACCTGTGGGCTGCTCCAAATGTGGTCCTGGTATGGAGGTCCAGCGTGTGGACCTTTTATCATTGCACTGCTGCTGAGTGAGTCGCATTGGAGGCTGACACCTGGCTGCAGGTAAAACAGGTTACACTGGAGGCTGTCTCCTCTTGCTTAGAAGTAGAGGTCATCTGTTCCTGCAGAGAAGTCACATGGCACCCACACACCCCAACTCCTAATGGTTCTCTCCCTGTGGGTGTGACCCTCTGGCCAGAGAAGGTCCACACCCTGTGGGGTCACTGAGAAGGCAGAACCTGGGGCCCCACTCAGACCCTGGCACCGGAACCGAATGTCAGTAGTCTGGTGATTCGTGCATACATTAACCTTTGAGAGCTTTGCTTTCGATGGAACTTGATAAATATTCCTTGAAGATGCTGAATTTACCACTCTTTGTCTTTTTTATGTAATGAGGAGCCAACTGCTATCAAAAGAGGCTTGTTATCCTCAACAATGCTGAACAATTACTACATGTTTTTGGTAAGTATGATGTTGTAGTAGGCACTTTTGAAAAAAAAGAGGAACACATTTTTTTTCCTTCCCAAATAGGCTGAGTTAAAATAATTAACTGGCCTCTTACACAGGGGAGGGAGATTTCAAAAAGCCTCTTCAAAAAAGAAGCCTTCATCTAATTCCTTTAAGTTAACGAAAGTCAGAAATTTAGGAACCAGCAGAAACAGGTTTTGAAGGTGCAAGAAAGAGAGGATTACTGAGAGAATGCGGTGTCTTAGGATGGGTGGTATGGAGTCACAGGCTTCTCCAGACCGGAAAATAAAATAAAATAATGAAATAAAAGTCTGCAACTTGGGGTGGGGTGGAGGAAACTAGAGCAGCAGAGTAAGAAGTGGAGGAAATTCTTTGTCTCACAGCCCCATCAGACTGAGTCAGTGCTGAGAACCTGTGTCAAGGAAAAGGAAAGTGGCTCCTGTGATTAATTCGACAGGCGTCACCAGAGATGGGGCTGGGGGTGGGGAGGGCTGCCACCCGCTGTGGGGGAGACCCTGAGGTGAACGCAGGCTTCTCCCCAGACCTGCACACGTCCCTGCAGATAAGAGTGGAGAAAGCTCATGTCTCTGGGAAAGATACAAATTCTTGTTTCAGGTAATGCAGACTCACAGGCAGCCCTGCTGGGCGCCCAGTGTCCCCTGCTGGGAGCTCCACACTCACTCCACAGTGCACGCATCTACACAGCAAGACCTCACTTGGGGTTGTCCATAGGTTCTTGGAAACTGTGACTTTAGGTGAAACGACACATATCAAACATCAATTTCTCCGGAGGCTAATTGATATAAACAAGAGTTACATTCCTATGGTATAGTTCTGGCCACAAAAACATCACCAAAGAAGCACACTTCTAATACGAAACACTGAAATACATGTGAGCTCTACGTGCATTTAAGAAGGTAAGATCGCCCTGTCTGGGAAGTGAGGAGCACCTCTGCCCGGCCCCTGCATTGTCTGGGATGCGAGGAGCGCCTCTGCCCAGCCGCTGTGCAACCCTCCAAGTGTGAAGTGACAGCCTTGTGTGTGATCTTTCTGCCCTCCCCAAGTTTGCATTTTCGACATTAAAGTTTACTTTTTAATTAAGTTTTAAATTGGAGAATATACATTTAAAGTAAAAAAAAAAAAAGTAAGATCATTACCCAATTTCTGGTGAATCTATGAGTGACCAGGTCGTGGAGGGGCTGCGTTAAATCAAAAATAATGTTGGCCAAGCCAAAGCTCTGAAGTGCCTCCCCCTATCATGTGGTTTCAAAACAAACAAGAGCCAATTCTCAGCCCGCTGGGCCTTTCCTACTGCATCTGGTATTGTCCTGCATCTCTGTGTGAATACCGTATGCTTTACGAATTTTTATTTGACAAAATTTGTATCCTTTCATTTTCCAACCTGCTTATTCCAGTTCAGGGTGGCAGGGGGCTGAGCCCATCCAGGCAGCTCAGGACCAAGGCGGGCAACCGTCCTGGAGAGGACGGCATCCCATGGCAGGGCACAGTCACACTCACACTCACTCAGATGGGGATGTGCCAGTGAGCCTCATGTGCACAGCTTTGGGATGTGGGAGGAACCCGGGGTACCTGGAGGAAACCCACAGCACATGGGGAGGACATGCAGGCTCCACACAGACAGTGGCCCCTCTGGGGATCAATTATTTTTTCTCATCCATGTTATAACTACCTTATCACTAAATGATGTTGAATGAAGGACTTTAGTGAGAAGTGTGCCCTCGCCCATCTGTGACACTGCGGCTGGCTTTCCTAAGGGCTTGCTTATGAATCTGCTGTCTCTGGTCATTTCATCTTTCTGTGTGCAGGCAAGTTGCTGATTTTTATTTTCTGAAATAACTTCTAGAATCAGAGTGAGGTCCGTAGTACCTTGCTAGTGCACCCTGGCTTCAGATTAAAATGTATTGACTGCAAGAATGTAAGACCATTCCCTGGCTTTATAAATAATACTCTGTTTCAAATGTTTCTCTTACTGGACATGAACTTCAGAACCAGCTTGGGATCAACCACATCACGTTCAGAGACAAGCCTCCCAAATGCTGCGTGATGGGGAAGCTGACCGCCCTTTGCAACCATTCTTGACTGAGAGCCATGGGTGGGGCTCGCCGTGGGTGCTGTGAGAGCCGCACCCTGGGCGGAGGTTTCCAGGGCTTCAGCTGCAAAGTGCTAGGAAGACTCAAAGGGTAGGGCCTGAAAGCCCCTCTGAGAGGCAGCAACACAAACCCAGGGGAGGGCTCTGTGCGGACTTATATACTCGTGCCTCTGCTTAATTCATCTAGAACCCCTATGGCTGTTTACATAACAACTATAACACTTCATGCGGCTTATATGTATGTGGAGGTAACACATAGGCCACTAGGAAGGGGGACAGTGGTAGATGGACCTTTTTTAGGTGCAAAGTTCTTGGCTTTATGTGAAGTGAAGCAGTGTTAACTAAATAGGCTGGGGCAAGCTAAGGATGTACATTGCCATCACTAAAGCAACCACTGAAACAAAAGTGCAAAAGAAGATATAGATTATGATGGGGTGGTACAAAAGTGTTGGAAATAAACGGTGGTGATGGTTGCACAACATTGTGAATGCATGCAGTGCTACTGAATTATACAGTTTATCCACGGTTTTCACCATTTGGGAAGTTTTATGTCATATATGTTTTGACATGATAAAAGAAAAATTACAAAACATAGCTTAAAAAGCCGATAAATAGAAAGCCAATAGGTAAATAAAAATGGGATTGTAAAAAAATCAGTCAACTCAAAAGAAGGCAAAAAAGGAAGAAAACAGCAACAACAACAATGAAACTGAGGGACAAACAGAAAGCAAATCTCCGAATGGAAGACCCTGAGCCATAAGGAAGATCACATTATATGCACTGGATTCCACTTTCCAAAGAGAAGGCAGAGATACTCAGAGTGGATAAAAATGCAAGACGCAGTGCTACGCAGAGAAGCTGAAAGAAAAGATGGAAAAGGCAAACCACGCAAACAGCAGTGGGAAGAAGGCTGGAGGGGCTTTGTGAATATCAGATAAGATCCCTGAAGACGGAGCGTTACCAGAGACAATGAGGGATGTTCATAATCATGAAACGGTGTGTTTACCAGGAAGACATAACAGACATAACAACCAACAATGTATATAAGCCCAGTAACAGAGTTTCAGAATCATGAAGCAAGCCTCAACAGCGATGAGGGAGAAGCAGGCAGACCCTGGGCCAACTTCCTCGGAGGGCTGCCGGGTGCACAGGGCTGGGGTGTTAGTACAGGGGTCCTAGTCGACACCCAGCTATGCACGCTCTGCAGAACTGTCTACAAACCAAGAGAAAACCCCTTTTCCCCTGCTGTGATCAGAAATCCTGACTTTAATTCCAGTTGCAGTGTGTGTGGCAGAATGTGGCCCGTGAGTCAGAGGTTCTGAGTTCCGGTTGTGACTTGGCCACTCAATTCGTGACCTGGAATAAGTCATACACTTCGTTGAACTACAGTTTCCTTAAAAGTCAGTAGACAGTTTAAAAAGTCATCAGATAATGTTTAGGACCATTTCCACCTCCAGGAATTGGATACTCATTCTGGGCTTTGGATATTTTAACCATTTTTACAAAAAGGTATGAGGTATACAGTTTTATTGCATAAAGTCTTTGAAGAATTATCTAAGTAAAACCATTTCCCTTGAAAGCATATTGAGGAAATTTGAATAAGGCTGGAAATATTTTCATAATCTTGTGCTTGCGTAGGAAACACACTAAGTCCTTTTGTGCGGAACTTAACATCTGTGGCAGCTAGATTCCCTCACTAGCTTACCCGCTCCCCACCCTCTTCGTGGAATTGTTGTAACCATAGAAAGTAAATCCAGGTACAAAGCACTGGCTCCGCCTTCAAGCACCTTTGGGAAGTGGTTTCATCTCCAGTGCCTCAGTGCTCCCGTGATTGAGTAAAGGGAGAAAGGAGTCATCCCCAGCTCACAGAACAGTCCTGCGGCCCGGGGAGGCAGTGCCTGCAGACAGCCTGGAGACCCCGGAACCTGCTCGGCCCTCCCCTCCTGCTAGCTTTCTGCAGTTCCCCATCCCCCATTCTGCCTTCTCTCAAGGTAAAATTGTGGTTACAGCAATTAAAGGTATTCAAACACAGCAGAGCAGATTTACTCGATCAGCTGTGATGGCTTTGCAGGCACCAGGTCCTTCAAGGCGAGGCTGGAGGGTGCGGACTGTCCTCCCTGCTGGGTTTGGAAGGCTTCCCTGTTCCTGTCCTCTCTGGTCATGACCTGTGGTGACTGCGTCAGGAGTATTTGTTTGGCTCAGCATTATTGATTTATCCTGCAGTATTCCTTTCCCGAACTGAGAGAGGTCCAACAGCAGCAAGTTAAAGAAAGTCAACCTTTTGGGATATGGCCAAGGAGGCCCTCTTCCCAGAGATTTGGGCTTCACCGGCCACTGCAAGTAGCCTGCAGGGTTGTCATTTTGGATGGCTGTGGGGCAGTACACTTGGAGGCAGGTGGCTGTCTGCAATCCCCTCAGCTTCTTTGAACATGTGTTAAGATACGGTGGCATCTGCAAGTGGAAGCTGATGCTCAAACCGAATCGTGCCTTCACAGCCCCTGGGGCCTCGGTACCCAGATTCTGCAGGTGAGCAGGTCAGGAGTGGGGCCCAGGCTTCTGCATTTCCAGCAAGCTCCAAGGTGAGGCTGAAGCTGTGGGCCTGTGGACCCCACTTTGAGAAGTGGGCTTTAAGGAAACCCGTGTCACAAATGACGCAACCTGCCTTGTGTGTTTTCTTTGTCTCCCATGAGAACGTGAGCACGATTTCAGTCAGCATAGACTTCTACGGAAAAACATTCATTCAGAAACATACATCATGCTGTCTCCTCTCCGCCTCCTCTCCCTTTTCCCTGGATCTCTTTCCTTCAGACGTTGGTAAGCCAGTTTGGGAGACGATTTTAAAAATCCTTATCTGTAATGTATTTCCTTGTGAACTGGGAAATCAGGAGAGCCCTTGAACCATGGAGCATCTGCATCATGTGACGTGCTTATGACAGAAGATAATCAAACACTCCGTCGGCACATTATTGGGCTAGACGCTGCATCCGATGCTCAGTTTCTGCTCTCAGGGAGCTCACTTAAAGGAATCGCTTCAGGAAACGCTTAGTGATCATAAGGCATTAAATATTAGGATAGATGTGTGCCCAGTTTCCTATGTACTGTGATATGTTACTAAGCAAAAATTTGATTTAATTAGCTTTTATTAATTTAAAATTGTGTTTCTAGAAATGAGGCTCGAGAGAACTGCGACATTATCCGTGGTGCAGCTCAACTGCCCTACCCTGGTCTCCTTGGAAGGAGACAGTTTTTCCCACTCATGGTTGCTACCACACTTTTTTTTTTTTTTCAAGACAGGGTCTTACTCTGTTGCCTGGGGTCGTAGTGCAGTGGCGCAATTTCGACTCACTGCAACCTCAACCTCCCAGGCTCAGGTCATCCTCCCACCTCAGCCCCCCCAGTAGCTGGGACTACAGGCGTGCATCACCACACCTGGCTAATTTTTGTATCCTTTATAGTGACGGGGTCTTGCCATGGTGCCCAGGCTGGTTTCAAACTTCTGGGCTCAAGCAGTCTGCCCGCCTCGGCCTCCCAAAATGCTTTGATTACAGGCGTGCACCACTGAGCCTGGCCTGCTACTACACTTCTTTTGATTCTTACAAGCTCATTAACTGGTATTAGTAATATTTGTGAACCTCCCTGCTGAACTATAAATCCTTTGAAGGCTGAATTTATGTCCTAGTCATCTTTGGGTTGCCCACCATACCTGGCACAAAAAGGTGCTCAAAATTCCTCCTTCAATGATGCTCACTACTCCCTGGAGCTTGGAGTTGCTTTGCTCCAAACCAGTGTTAGGTGGGGCCAACTGGACCACAGGAATGGGAGACAGACAGGATTCCTCTTTCCCTTTCCATAGTCCTTCAGGCCCAGGATTTGAGGGCTGATGATGTGTTCATAGATCGATGCCCCAAATTTGAATGCTTTCTCAGTGGACAGGTCTTTGACATGCTGGTTGTTGCAGGCAGGGAAGCATTGGTTGGCACAGATGGAGGCACATAGGACTCCAGGCGTGGGGTTTGATGTCAACAACACAGTGGTGTTTGGTGTCAGTGACTGCCTTGCAACACAGATGTTACTGACATTTTAACAAAGTGTTCTCTCTTCCTAACCTCAACTGAGAAAAGCAAAATACTGATTTATTTTCCAAAGCTTTGAGTGTTCCAGAACATATTTGCTGGCATAGGATCAACTTCTGTTGTCTTGATTCTATATCGAGTGTCATCAATTTAAAAGCTCGTTTTTGTTTAGAAGAAAGAAGGGAAAGACCAAGTGGAAAAACTCACTGTTCCACCTGAAATGTTGTTTGGGAGGGAAAGCAAAAAAAAGTTTCTCAATCTTTCTGGCACTTTTAGCTCTCAAAAATATTTTTTTCCTCCTTCCAGCCAGCTTGGGATTCTCTCCAGGGCTGAATCCATTCATGTGCTTTAAGAAATAATCTTAGCAGGAGTTTACATGTTTAAAAAGTAAACTTAGGAAACCTTTTTTTCTAATGAAATGCTAACTGACACCTGTTTCGTAAATGATCCACATACCCACATTCCCCAGCCCTCCTGCCACCATTTTATTTGTTTATTTTTTGTAGAGGCGGGTTTCTCACTATATTGCCCAGGCTGGTCTCAAACTCCTGGGCTCAAGTGATCCTTCCACCTCAGCCTCCTAAAGTGCTGGGATTACAGGTGTGAGCCACCGTGCCTGGCCGATCATTTTCTCAACTTGCCTTATGACCTCATCCAGACCCTCTTTCATGAATAAGGGAGGTGCAGCCTTTGACCAGGGTTCCTTCTGCAAATATTTCTGCCCATTCTCAGGGAAGATGTACCTGTTCCAGGACCCCTCCCTGCTGCCGGCTGGGCTTCTCACCCTCAAAAGGCCTCTCACCCCACACCTCACCAAGCCCACCCCTGTCTTAACTCCTGAAAACACAGCACACCCAGGTTTTCACAGATAAGACATTTTTACTGAGAGTTTATGGGAAATTGAAAGGAATTACATTGTGAAAAAGAAAATATAAGCTGAGGAGTTTATGGGAAATTGAAAGGAATTACATTGTGAAAAAGAAAACATAAGCTGAGGAGTTTATGGGAAATTGAAAGGAATTACATTGCGAAAAAGAAAACATAAGCTGAGGAGCAAAAAAAAAAAAAAAAAAAAGGCAAGACTTTGGGCATTCTCCCCCGGCCCTGGACCCTTGAAGCTCACCTGGCCTCTTTCCCCCAATCAATATGACACTGGACTGTGGTTTGAATGTGTCTCCCAAAGCTCATATGTTGGAAACCTAAGCCCCAGGGCAACGTTGTTGAGAGGTGGAACATTTAAGAGGTGATTAGGTCATAAGACGTTACCCTTGAGATTGGATTAATGTCCTCATCAAGAGAGTGGATTCAGCCCTGGGGGAGTGTGTATGCTACGTGGGAGTGAGTTCGTTATAAAAGCCAGTTCAGCTCCCTCTCTCCATCTCTCTCTTATGCCCTCTTGCCTTCTGCCTTCTGCCTTCTGCTCGTGGGATGATGCAGCAAGAAGGCCCCCAAAAATCATGAGACCCTCAGCCTTGGACTTCCCAGCCCTCAGAGCTGTAAGAAACAAATCTCTGTTTTTTATAAATTACCCAGTCCTAGATATTCTGTTAGAACAGCATAAAACAAACTATGACACACAGTCAGGGTGGGGGCAGCCTTCCACATCCTCAGGCAGAGCGGATAGGCCCCCGGAGCCTCCATCTCTCCATTGCAGAGGGTAAGCTGAGCTTCAGCGTTGAGTAACCGAGGAACCATGCACGGTCCTCCCTGGTCCACCCCTGTCCATTCCCCACAAAGGTCAGACTTTTTACAGTAGGAATTCTGCTTTAACAGTGATACCAGCTGAACCAGAAGCCAATGGCAGCTTGAAACAGCAGCTTGCTCCTGTATCTGAGGATTCTGTGGTCCCGAATCAGCACGTGTCACAGGTAGAGCCGAGCTAGGAAAGAGCTGCTCTGGTCAGAGGGGCGGGGTGACCAGAACGTGCACCATCCAGGCCTCCTCCAAGATACTCCAAGGACCTCAGCCCACTCCCTCGCGGCAGGGAGCAACCCCCTCCTCTGTTGTTGACCAGGTGCAAGTTTATATCATTTTTAACAAGCACTATTAATTGGCTCGTGCTATTTTTCACAGCCAATCTTTAATCACATTTGTCAACATACTGTGCCTCATCCCTCACTTTGGGTTGTTGCTTATTTTGGTCAAATGCATCCTTTGTTATTTCAGAGAGCAGCCATAGGTGATAAACCCTCAGGGTTTTCAGACGTCTGAAAATCTTTTTAGTCTTGCCATCACGTGCGTGCGAATTCAGCTGGGTGCAACATTAGGGGCTTGTAGCTATTTCCCCTCACATCTCTGAATACATTATGTTGTCATCTTTTTGTTCCTATGGACAGGAATTCAGTCTAATTTTGTTCCTTTGTAGTAATCTATTTTTCTTCCTCTCATAGTGTTTAAGAAATCTTTTCATTTTGAGATAGCTTTAGATTTACAGAAAAGTTGAAAAGATATGTCTTCGGTTTCCCCTGATGTTATCTTTTTTTTTTTTTTTTTTCTGAGATAGGATCTAGCTCTATCACCCAGGCTGGAGTGCAGTAGCACAATCATGGCTCACTGCAGCCTCGACCTCCAAGACTCAGGTGATCCTCCTACCTCAGCCTCCTAAGTAGCTGAGACTACAGGTGCATGCCACCACGCTCAGCTAATTTTTAAAAGATTTTTTGTAGAGATGAGGTCTCACTATATTGCCCAGGCTAGTCTTGAGCTCCTAGGCTCACGTGATCCTCCTAAAGTGCTGTGATGAGAGGCATGACCCACTGCGACATAGCACATTTGTTAAAACTATGAAGCCAATATTGGTGCATGCGGTCATCTGCACTCTAGGCAGTGTTTGGGTTGCCCGGATTTTTCTGTTCCAGGATTCCGTCCAGGAGGAGTCCTGTGTCTCCCTGGTCACCTCTGCTCTGGGGCAGGTGCTTGGGCTTCCCTTGTGTTTCAGGACCTTGGCAGTTTTCAGGAGGACAGGGCAGGTGTGTCATAGAATGTCCTGCAACTGGGAGTGTCTGACATTTCTCTCACCGTTAGACTGGGGTTGTGGGAGTTTTGAAAACTACAGAGGTGAGGTTCCCTCTCATCCCCCAGTATCCAGGGGTCCTGGTACCCACAACATCAATCCCGGCTGAACCTGGCCTTTACCACTTGGGAAGGCAGCGTTTGGCAGAGTCCCCACTGTGAACTGTAAAGTCACTACTGGCTCTTCCCGGACTCCATGATGTGGAAGGGACTCTCAGTCCTGCCCACACCCAAAATGGGGGCTCGCCTTGGCCTCCCAGAAGTGCTGGGATTACGTGTGGGAGCCGCGACACCTGGCCAACTTTTCCATTTGAATGAAGTATAGCTTTATCATTTCCTTTGAGAGTGGGATCGATTGTTAATTCATTTTTTCTTTAAGACAGGAATGTATTCACTCTTGAAAAAGGTTTTACACCTCTTTACACTGAGAGGTTTACCTTTTTGACCTTGTTACGTAAAGTAAGAAAAATAAGTTCATTCAAGAAAGTTTTAAATAAATCCATATCTGATAGAAAACTGAATATCTGGAGTGCAGCCTTAGCCTCCGTAATGACATCATATTCTTCTAAGAAATATCCCCTGGGACTCCCATCAAAGACAGAATGATGGTTTTGACCCAGTGTGACATTTGTTTTATTTTGTCCTTTTGATTTCTGACACTGTAAGTACATCCATAATCCATTGAGGGATAAGGACACTTACATACTTTGCTGAAAAAATAAATATCATGAAATTACCTTAAAATTATTTCTATAATTGCTCTCTTCTATGATGATCATTGAAGGCCAATTCTGTTGCTATAAAAACTCTACTGATACATTATTCTCCATGTGTGTATTGGGGTTGATAATCAATGAGATCAAAAGTCAGGCCTATCAGTGGAAGAAACTGATAAGAAATTGTGGCTTCCTCTGTTCCTTGTCACCCTGTGTTTTTCTGGCATTATTTACATTTACACCAAATCGTGCAGGTGGAACTCTTTTTTTGTGGTTGAGAAATACATTAAGTTGCTACAATTCAAGAAGTTTCTTCTGGGTTTGTCAGAACGGATGTTTTGCAATGACAAGAGAAAAGTTTTTCTCACCTGAATGATGAGTGGAAAATAGTGGCTGTTTATGTGGGACTGTACCTGGTGACACTCGACATTATGTTTAATTTCTTTATTTTTATTGTTGAGGCAGAGTTGTGCTCTTGTCATCCAGGCTGGAGTGCAATGTCACAATCTTGGCTCACTGCAACCTCCGCCTCCTGGATTCAAACGATTCTCCTGCCTCAGCCTCCTGAGTAGCTGAAAAGACAGGCACCCATCACTACGCCCAGCTAATTTTTGTATTTTTAGTAGAAATGGGGTTTCACCATGTTGGCCAGGCTGGTCTCGAACTCCTGACCTCAGAAGATCCACCCACCTCGGCCTCTCGAAGTGCTGGGATTATAGGTATGAGTCACTGTGCTCGGCTTATGTTTAATTTCTATAGATGTGACACATTTGGGTGCCAGTGGTCCCACCTGCAGATCGCGGGTCATTTGCATTTGCTGCCACCCCTACTGCAAAATGACCTCTGCTTTTGTTTCCCTGCCCTGCCCTTCACTCCTGGTGCCGTCACGTGGAGATGTTTGGAGGAGACCGAGAGTGTGCTGTCGGCACGCATCGTCCGTGAAGCAATGGGGCAGAGTTCATCCCTTACTTCAACCTATGCATCGCTGTTTTGTGCATCGTCATAAAAACAACACATTCCAAATGCACTGTCATGGGCTTGGAAGGAAAATAATAAAGAAAACAAACCCCAAATGAAATTGCACAATGTCTAGAGTGTCTTCAGTGCGTTTTCTTCTGCCTTAAAAAACCAACCAAACAAAAGCGACCTACTTGAGACCATACAATGAGGCAGACACTGGATGTTTAGCTCCCAGCCCCTGACCCCCCTGCCGGCCTGGCAAGGTGAATCTTGGGGATATACAGACCTCCCAGCTGCCCTGGTTGCTGGGTGCAGGTGCAGGACCCAGACTCAGCCAACAGCACACACAGCCAGCTCTAAAGTGGAAGCTGGTGGCACAAGGCAAAAGGCCAGCATCCTTGGCTTCGGAGGTGGCTTCATCCCCTCTTCAGGAGCAGTGGGTCAGTGGCACTGGGCCCGTGTCCAGTCCTGACCTGTGCTGGCCCTGGAGCTGCAGTATTGCTGCCCCCCAGGCCCCTGGCTGGGCTCCTGGTCCTGCTGCTGCTCGGCCTCTCCCTCGTTTCTGACTCACGTCTGAGCCGGGTTCTCCAGCAGTTCTGTGAATTACTCCCAATATGAGATTTTCAATTAGTCTCATATTGGCTTAAATCTGCTGGAGTCAGTTTCTGTTGCTTGCAGCTAAGAACCTGCCTGATGGACATAACAGAGACAGTTTCAGGACCTGAACTTCTCATTTAACTGCATGTCTTCATTAGCTTGGATTTTTCTCTCGTCAGAGCTTCCTCGTGTGAACACTTTGGTTCATTCTTCCTTACTATTTATCATTGCAAGCACATATATGGGCCTTGCTCTGTGCCAGGCACAACCCTAAATTCTCAGTGTATGTTAGCTCCACTCTGCACAATGCAACCAAGTGGGTTCTGTTATCATTGGCACCGTACAGACCACAAAACCGATACGCATTGTAAAAAGGGGCCCACTTGGAAAGGGGTGAGAAGAAAAACAACAGTTCCCTCCCCATTCTCTAACCCCACCTTTGTATCAAACCTAAAGTAGACATAATTTTACATCAGCCTCTTCCAGCAGAAAACAGAATGGATCCAATTCAGGCTTCCACTGCTAAGTGCAAACCCAGCACTTTGGGTTGAAACTCTTCTGGATGTAAAGTTTGGATTTCTTTCATAGGAAAGTTATGAATGAGGTCACAATGGAGCCAGCTCCAGTGTCTACTGCAGCTCCTGCCCCAGTTCCTGTTGGTGGAAGCTGTGATCTCAGCCTGGGTAGAAAGATGAGAGGCCAGGGCAGGGGGTGGTGGAGATGTCATGGGATGAGGCATCAGGAGACCAGGCTGGGTCTTGATCTGCTATCCTTGCTGTGTGACTATGGAGAGGCCCTTTTCCCCTCTGGCCGAGGTGCCTGTATTAGTCTGTTCTCACAATGTTAATAAAGACATACCCAAGACTGGGTAACTTATAAAGGAAAGAGGTTTAATTGACATGTCTGGGGAGGCCTCGCAATCATGGCAGAAGGCAAAGGAGGAGCAAAGTCACATCTTACATGGTGGCAGCAAGAGAGCGTGTGCAGGGGAACTCCCCTCTATAAAACCATTAGATCCCATAAGACTGATTCCCTACCATGAGAATGGTGTGAGGGGAACCAACCCCTTGATTCAATTATCTCCACCTGGCCCCACCCTCGACATGTGGGGGTTATTATAATTCAAGGTGAGATTTGGGTGGGGACCCAGCTAAACCATATCTGTGCCTTATTTCTCAAATGAAGAATTTGGACAGTTATTCACTCGCTTGTTCCTGAGCAGACATGGTTTGAGCAGTTGCTATATGCCAGGAGCTCTTTGGGTCCTGGTCACACCTGCAGGGCCACGTGCTCCCAGTGCTCTCCCCTGCAGATGCCGCCCCCCGCCCCCTACAGTCCTTAGGATTAGCACCACCCAGTCCTGTGAGCAACCAAAAGCCGTTGGCAGCAGTGTCCAACACAGCCGGAACAACATGGAACCTTGCAGGGCCCAGGAGGCTCCCGGCAGAAAACGATGACCTCACGATGGGGGTGGGCGTGTCTAATTAAAAAGCCTGTTGTCACATGGTGAAACCCCATCTCTAATAAAAATACAAAAATTAGCCGGGTGTGGTGGCACGTGCCTGTAATCCCAGCTACTTGGAAGGCTGAGGCAGGAGAATCGCTTGAACTCGGAAAGTGGAGGTTGCAGTGAGCTGAAATCACGCCATTGCACTCCAGCCTGGAGAGGGAGCGAGACTGTCTCAAAAACAAACAAACAAACAAACAAAAAACCAAAACACCTGTCGTCATGTATCGTGCTTATCAATTCTAAGATGCATGCTGCTTCTCCTCCCGACATCTCTGTTAGGTTCCGTCTTCCTCTTAGGTTCCATTTTACTCTTGAAGGGACCTCACGGTTTAGTTGCCAGCATTTTTTTCTTCCCTGTTAGTGCATAAAACAATGGTACAGCTTATAGTTTACAGCATCTGAGAGGAGGTTGGATGTCAAACAAAATCAGGAAGCGAGGGAGAAGACCATCATTGTGGGCTGTGCTGATAGAAACGCCGTCAGACCTGCCCGAGATGCGGTGGTTCAGCCCATGCCAGGGAGAAGATGCCGCGTGGCCACGGAGGCAGAGATGGCGGAGAGGCAGCTGCAGCTGGGAAAGGGTTGCGGGAGCAAGTCTCGTCTCAAGACCGTCTGCTCCCCGAGGCTCCGTGGAGGAAGCGTGGCCCTGCTGGCGCCTTGGTTTTGGAGTTCGGGCCTCCAGGACTGTGAGGACGTGCGTTTCAGTTGTGTTGAGCCTCCCATTCGTGGTTGGTTGTTACAGTGGCCCTGGGAAGCAAATTCGCTTGCTAAGTGCAAAATCTGATGCAGACCCCGTGGGAGCACGGAGAGGCTCAACCCGTCTGCCTGCCAGCTTTGACCCTGCATGTACTCACGTGTGCCCAGCACACGTGTTCCTGGGACCTGTGCCTCCCAGTCCCTCCTACAGGGCCTACCCGTAAGGCCCTCTGTTGAGACCCATAGGATCCAGCATCGCCTTCCTAAGGGTTCTCTATCTCCACAGTGCCCCCAGAGCCCCTGTTGCTTAGTGGTTCAGTAGAACCATTGAGTAACACGGCTTTCCTTCTTATGCATAGCGCTCTGCCCAGGAGACTGGCCCTTCCAGGACAGAAGGCCCATCTTCCCAATGTTTTGGGGAGTTAGGGGAGGAGCTCAGGGTGGGGATAGGAATCCATCCAGGGCTTTCATCATAGAAGGTGGGTGGGGTCTGCCCAGGTGCTGACCACACTGCGGGGGGCCCACCCTTTCTTTCCCAGCAGCTCTCTGGGTCCCGGCAAGGAAAGGAGGGCTTGCTTCAGTGGGTGGTTGAGGAGGATTGAACAAAGCAGGTTTATTATATTAAAAAAAAAAAGGTGGGAGGGACTAAGGGATGCCAGCACAGGAAGAAGAAGCATCCAGGAGCTGTTCCCACCCCAGGCCAGATGTGGAGGGAGCTGTAGCCGTCACTCTGTGCTCAGCTCGAGCTGCCGTGGTCAGAGCAGGACCACCGGAAAGGAGTGCTGGCTTCCTGGAAAGGAGCACCTCCACGGCTGCCTCGGCCAGGGAGGGAACTGGACACTAGCCTCATGTTTCTCCAACCTCCAGCTGCCCCTCCCAGCTTCTGCTGTGACTGAATCCACCTGGAGGCCAGAGGATAGGGAAGCCCATGGATGCCGGCCATAGAGGCCAGGGCCTTGGGGCACAGAGCCAGCGGAGGTGAGTGGACAGTGGAGCAGAGGGCAGTGGAGTGCATGCAGCCTCTGCCGTCACTAGGCAGTTTGCTTTCCTTCTGACACCTGCCAGTCACCTCACAGTTTCAACAGGGCTGCTGAACGCCAGGCATCAAGCACATGTTCCAGCCAGTGACAGGAGGGGAAGGCAGGGAGACAAAGGCCGCCAGCAGACCTCCACTTCCAACTCACGAGCCGGAAATGGGTCCATAGTTTTTCCTCTTAGGGCAATAGCATGGGAGGCCATTGATTCCCAGAGACGTTCCCAATGTTAGGCCACCCACCAGGGGCCTAAGAAGTGAAAAGTCGATCAGTCCTGCTCAGAGGAAGTGGATAGTAAATAAACAATAAGGAAGTCTTTGCACAGAAACCTAGGCTTGTGTTGCTGTATTAGACACCACAAACATCGCAAAGTGAAACAGAGAGCATTTGTGATCTTCAACTGCAATCTGAGCTGG